>NC_000011.10:2787272-3090303 GCF_000001405.40 Homo sapiens | reverse complement strand
GGTGGGAGGGGCAGGTCCAGTGGCATCCTGCCCCAGCCCTCTGCTCCTTTCCTGTCACCAGGAGCTGTGTCTCCCCAACTTTGTCCCTGCCTCTGTAATGGATGGGCCTTGCCTTGGCCACTTCTGCCTCCCAGGCCTGTTAGTGGCTGGTCCAGCCTGGGGGTTCCCTCCAGAAACATCCTCAGCACCCCTCCCTCATCTCCGTGTCTTCAGCTTGGCCCTGCAGGTTTCCCATGAGGTGGGGTGGAGGCCCGAGCTGGATATGACCCTGTGACCCACGTGCCAGCCCCACTGGACCTCCAGCTCATCCTCACTCCTCCCCTCCCCTCCTTTGTCTCACTCGGGGCCGTCCCAGGCGGTGAGAGCCCATGCCCTCGGTGCAGGAAGGAGGCGCGGCGGCTGCAGGCCCTGCACGAGGCCATCCTCTCCATCCGAGAGGCCCAGCAGGAGCTGCACAGGTGGGCCACACTCAGGGTGTCCATCCAGACTCCGGGTCAGAGAGTGCGAGAGACCTGGTAGAGCTAGGGCGGGAGGTGGGGAGGCCAGGAGGCCGCGGCTGGGGTTGTCATCGGAGCTGGAACCCACAAGACCTGCAGGGTGATGAAAGGAAGACAACCGCCGAGGGCAGGAGAGAGGGTGTGGGAGCGGCAGGTGGTGCGGGATGATCAACCAGCCAAGTTGGCCATGCCTGGCAGATACTGAGCTGGAGATGTCCTGAAGCCTAGAGGAAGGTGCCAGCCCAGCATGGCCTGGGGTAGCCCCAGGAGAGACCTTGAGGTGTGCAGAGCGAGGTGGCAGCCTGGGCTCACTGTGGTGGCCCCATACCTGCGCACAGTGGCTTCTCAGGAATGGCTGGGGAAGGAGCAAATGGGAGTGGCCGAGAGCTGGCAGGTGCAGGCCACCAGGGCCACATGGCCCCTTCCTGTCAGCAGATCCCACCAATGAGGAGCAGAGCACAGGGTCCCTCTCGGGTCCAAAGCTCCTGACTCTGAGCCAGGCTGAGGGTCTCACTGGCTGTGGGACCTTGGCTGTCACACCTCAGCCTCCCCTCTGTAAAGTGGGCTTGATAGCAGTACCCCAGGGTGAAATGCAGCCAGGGCACAGGCCCGGGCTCTGTGAGGCTCAAGAGCCTTGGGGAACTGTCATTGTCCCTGTGTAAGCATTTCCAGAAGGTGCTCCCTGGTGAGGCTGTGTGGGCAGAGAAGCAGGGAGGCCTGGCTCCCCAGAAGCAGGTCAGCTGTCAGGCAGGTGGCCAGGACTCAGCCAGAAGCTTCTGCAGCAAACTGGATACCGCCTCAGAGGCCAGGTCCTCCACGGCAAAGTACTCCAGCTCAGGGCCAGGGCCTCCACAGCAGAGTACTGCCGGCAAGGGGCTCGGACAGCGCGTCTACTCCCTCGCGGTCCCGGAGGCTGGAGTCCAAGATCTCGGTGCCACAGGGCTGGTTTATCCCGAGACCTCTCTCCTGCCTGGCAGACGCCAGCTTCTCGCTGTGTCTGTGTCTTCATCTCTTCTTCATATAAGGACACCAGTCCCATGGGACCAGGGCCCACCCTAATGGTCTCCATTTAAATAAATACCTCTTTAAGGACCCCATCTCCAAATACAGTCTTATCTAAGGTGCAAGGGGTTAGGACTCCAACATATGAAGGTGGCAGAGGCATGACTCAGCCATAACCACAGGGGTGGGAGGGAGGATGTAAAAGGCTGACTCCCCAATCCCTGACCCTCCTCTGCCCTGAATGTGCCCAGGGAATCCCAGTATAGCCATGGTGCTGTGGGGCCCTCCCACTAACAAGCTTTCCACCCCCACCCGCTCTGTTGCCCCTGGAGGGCCATCCCATCTCCACCTCGGCCCTGTGTCCAGCACCTGGTCAAGTACCCAGGGCACTGTCCTGGCTTGTGGGAGGGGGACTTGCTGGCATTGGCACAGCCCCCACGATCTGTCGCCTGTCCTTGCAGGCACCTCTCGGCCATGCTGAGCTCCACGGCACGGGCAGCACAGGCACCGACCCCAGGCCTCCTGCAGAGCCCCCGATCCTGGTTCCTGCTCTGCGTGTTCCTGGCGTGTCAGCTGTTCATTAACCACATCCTCAAATAGGAGCCCTGAGGGCAGAGCTCCTGGCCGGTCCTGAGCCCTCCCTCCCAGGCACCCAGCACTTTAAGCCTGCTCCATGGAGGCAGAGAGGCCCGGCAAGCACAGCCACTGTGACGGGGAGTCCAGGCGCAGGAGGGACCCGGGGCCACAAGGCGCTGCGGGCCCAGGTGTGCTGGGCCCCTCTCAGGGGCACTGGCCTCTCTGCAGGGCCTTCCGCCCAGCGCTGGCCTTAATGCTAAAGCCAAATGCAGCTTCTGCTGTGCGACGCACTCCTGGCCATCTTGCCGTGTCACCCCCTGTCCGGCCTCCACTTGCCATGGGGGATGGATGGATTTAGGGTGGGAGGGCCTGTGGGGGCCCTGGACAGTCACACCCCAGCAGCAGTGAGTGGGCAGGTTTGGAGGAGCCCCGAGTGGCCCAGGAGTCCCCCCACACACAGATGCATAGGCCTGCCTTCCGGAGACCCTGTCCACATTGCCGGGACCACCCTGGTGGGGCCACTGGTGGGTGCCAGGGACAGGTTAGGGCCACTCTGGGGAAGGCATTTTGGTTTTTTATTCCACGCTGTGCTGTTTGGATGGGAGCCCCACAGAGGCAGGTCCTGGAACCACCCCACCCCCACACCTGGACGCTCGCTCTGGTGGGGGCACACGCAGGTGGAGGTGGTTGTGGGTGCAGGTGTGTGCAGGGGTGTGGGGGGCGCAGGGGTGTGGCTTAGCTGGCCCCGCACCCAGGCCGGGGAGGCTCAAGTTCGCCACTTTACTCAGACCGATGCACAGTCTTCCCATTTTACACTTTTTTAATAAACATAATTGCAATATTTTAGGTGGGCTGCGAGCTGCAGTCAGCCTTCACGTCTGGCCTCAGTCCCCGTGTCAGTGCCGCTCTGCGTGTGCGTGTGCGCGTGTGTGAGCCTCTACACATATATATACGTACAGAGCCTTAAACCACATCGTGGCGGTGCCGTCTGAGCTGTAGCGGGTGGCTTTGTTTCCAGTTTTTGTACCCGTGTCCTTGTCTCCCCTCCTCCCCCATCTGGGGATGTGTCTGTGTTCCACACCTTGAAATAAACAGACACATACGTGTTCTCTTCTTGCGGGACTTCTGGAAACGAGAGGAGGGCTTCCCAGGAAGACTCAAGGCCAGCATGGAGCTGTGTGGGGCTGGGTGGAGGGGCCCGGGAGGGAGGAGGGTGCAGAGTTCACAGGGAGCTGTGGGCAGCCTGCCCGCCCTGTGGAGCAAATGCTGGGAGGCTGGCGTCCCATCACCCAATGAGCCAGTGGGGGACACAGAGTGACACTGCCCACAGGCACTCCAGGCACCTCAGAGGCTGCTGGGGGGCATTGGCACAGCCCCTGAGGCCAATGCTGCCAGTTACTGAAGGGGACCCCCCCTGGCTGGACCACCTGGCCCGCTGCCCCTTGCTTCGGTTCCACTGTGGCCACCACCCCTGGTACTCAGACACCAAGGCCAGTGAGTGGGCCTGCTCAGGGTGCCCCTGAAGGCGGGGTGGGGGCACCTGACCACAGGCCTCAAGTGACAGCAGAGGGAGACTGCAGCCCACCCCTCACAGCAACCAGAGGACAAGGGTGATGAAAGGGAGGGCAGCCAGGCAGCACCCAGGAGAGGGGGACACGAGGGGCCTCGGGTCACCACCTCCCTTCTGCACCTCCCCACCTCGACCCCCAAGGCCCCAGGAGAGGAGGGGCTGTGGCTGGGGTGGAGGGAGAGGCAGGGGGTCCTGCCCCCCAGCTCCTCTGAGGAGCCTCATGTCCGCCTCAGACAGCCAGGACTCCCAAGACCCCCCCGAACCACCTGGAGGATGGGGCGGGGGGCCCTGCCTGGCTCCAGTGCCCCTCTGTGGAGGCCACACACCATGGGGCAAACATGAGCTCAGAGTGTGAGCCCTGGGGGTGACAGCCTTCTGCATCTTGATGGCGGGGCAGGCTGTTCCAGACACCCCGCCTGGGACCCCTATCTTGCCTCCTGCACCCCAGGCCCACGCGGAGCAAACGTGCTCAGCCAGGTGCCCTGCCCAGAGACAGCCTACCCAGGGGTCTGCCTCCCACCAGCTCCAGCTCACCACAGGGCAGGCCCTCCACCTGCACCCCAGCACCTTCACACACACAGGGGCAAGAATGGAATCCCCTCCAGAATTCTCCCTCTATCTTACTAAGAACTGTTTATTTTTTAACTTATTTTTGAGACAAGGTCTCACTCTGCCACCCGGGCTGGAGTGCTGTAGTCTGATCGAAGCTCACTGCAGCCTCGACCTCCCAGGCTCAAGCAATCCTCCTGCCTCAGCCTCCAGAATAGCTGGGACTACAGACACACACCACCATGTCTAGCTCATTTTTTTTTAGAGACAGGAGTCTGACTATGTTGCCCAGGGTCATAAACTCCTGGCCTCAAGCGGTCCTCCTGCCTTGGCCTCCCAAAGTGCTGGGATTACAGGTGTGAGCCATGGCTCCCAGCCTCTTGCTAAGAACTATTTTAAATCAACAAGGAAGAGAAAGCAACTATCCCAGAGGGAAAAAAAACAGAGTCCAGACCCCAGTGTGTCCAGGGTGAGCATAATCCTGAGGGAATAATTGAGCTGATGCCCAAAAAGGTGCCTACACAGGTGTTCAGGGGGCACTTTACAACAGTCGTCACCTGGCCTCCGTTTGCAACTTTGCAGGAGGTGGAAGGGAGAGCACCTGACCAGCATTTCAAATGTTCAACAAGATTCACTGTAGCCAGTGTCACTATTTGGAGAGCTCCAGATGTCACTCTTTGGAGCTCCTGGGGCAGGATTCATCAAATGAATATGCCATAGAGGCTGTCAAGGTTCAGGGGAAATCAACTCATCTGAAATCGAAAGCCCAGGCTGCACTGATTATATTGAAGAGGGCGCAGTGAGAGCTTCCAGCTCATCAGAAGAAAATCCTCCATGCCTCCAACCGTGTTGGTATCTCAGCTGCAGGGCTTACTGCAGATGCCAGACTGTGATGGATTTCATGCGCCAGGAGCGTTTGATTCCAGATGTGTGTTTGACACTCTTCCTCTGTGTCCTGTTGTATCTCTAATTGGGAGCAAGACAGAAACCAGCATAACAGGCTGGCTGGAGACCTTATGGTGCTTGTTGCTGGCTGTGATGACAGGTGCCACCATATTTTCTTTTCTTTTTCTTTTTCTTTTCTTTTTTTTTTTTGAGACAGAGTCACTCTGTTGCCCAGGCTAGAGTGCAGTGGCACAATCTCAGCTCCCTGCACCCTCCACCTCCCAGATTCAAGCGGTTCTCATGCCTCAGCCTCCCGAGTAGCTGGGATTACAGGCACGCGCCACCATGCCCAGCTAATTTTTGTATTTTTAGTAGAGACGGGGTTTCACCATGTTGGCCAGGCTGGTCTTGAACTCCTGACCTCATGATCCACCAGCCTCAGCCTCCCAAAGTGCTGGGATTACAGGCATGAGCCACCACCCCTGGCCAAGCCCCCCCATATTTTCCAAATCTGTCCATCTGGGATTTTGACCGCAGAGCTATGTCCACTGAAGCTCATTCTCAATCAGCTCCTACTTATGTGGAGAGACTTGTGTAAGTTTATGGAGTATGATTCGAGTGAGCTGCTTAAAGTGGTCTGCATGCCTTAAGAGAGACATTTCTGCAAGGCAGGACTTAACTACACTCAATGTTTCTGCTGGAATTGCTGGCAAAGGTATGGGGCTTACCACCTGTGGTGATGATGCTGCGTCTCCATTCCTGGAAAGACCTGGAGAAAGGTCACAGAGGAAAGCACGGCCCGCTGCACCTGCCGACGCACCTGCAGAGAAGGCTGGCGACCTGGGGACCATCCTGAGAAACCAGGATATATGTGCATTACCAAATACACAGAGTGAGGAGCAGGCAGTAATGACACTAATCTACACTTAGAGCCCGAAGCTGCGGCGTGGTTGGTCAGTGTGCTTTAAGAATCAGTCCAGACATGAGTTTCTTCCAAGCAACCTCACCGAAACCATACCATGGAGGGCCTCTCTCTCAAGGGGGCCTATACACTCGTTCTCCAGAAAGTACAGGTATCGGCACAAAGACAATAGTGTCATTTCGGTTTAAAGACAACTGTAGAATAAAATTATGAAAACAAACAAATAAAATAATAAAACCCTGAACATGGTTTTTGGGTCCATCATTGAAGGGTTCCCCAGGTGGGTTTTGTATGTGGACCCTGGAGAGAAAACAGCAGGTGGTGATATTTGCTGATGATGGGGGTGTCCAGAGCTGTGCCTCCTGCCCTACTGCAGCAGGGCACCCCTTCCTGGTCTCAGTCCCCAGTCTTCCCCTGCCCTGAGCCATGCCATTTGAGGGGCTATGCCTGGCTAAGCCACCTGGGCTTCTGTTCCACGTCCCAGACCGGACAGCAGAGTGCAGGAGCAATGGTGGCCTTTCCCCAACCTGCCCCTGTCCCCCAATCTGCTCAGAAAATATTGTGGGAATGAGGGAAGGAGGAGGGACAGACGCAGGGGGTGCTGGCTGAGCACCAGAACTGGAAAGGACCCCTAAGACATCTTGGGGGGAGAACAAGGCTAGAGGTGGTGCTTGCCCTGGAGGGGCTGGGGAAGGGGAGGCCAGCGAGGAGCCCCCTTTTCTCTTCTGCTGAGCAGGGCTGGTGGAGCCTGGACCCTCTTGGGGTGCAGGTCAGGGGTGAAAGTCAAGATACCTCTTCCCCTCCCTAGGAAGTGGCCAGGCAGCAAGGAAAACCTCTTGGGCTAGGCCGGGGGGCAGGGGTACTGGGGAAGGGATGGGGAGGGCCCGTGCTGGGGGACGCTGAATTCCGAAGCCCGGTCAGTGGCTTTACAGTTTTAGCTCTTATATTTAGGTCTTCGACAAATTGTAAGGAAATACAAATCAAAACTACAATGAGTCAACACTTCAGATGTCTTCAAGGTATATTCACATTGTTACATGTGCCAGAATTTCCTTCCTTTTTTTGGCTGAATTGGTATTTTCTTGTATGAATAGACCACATTTTGTTTATCCATTCATCTGTTCATGGATACTCAGTTTTTTTTCCTTCTACCTTTTGGCTATTATAAGTAATGCTGCGGCCGGGCGCGGTGGCTCACGCCTGTCATCCCAGCACTTTGAGAGGCCAAGACAGGCGGATCGCCTTGAGGTCAGGAGTTTCAGACCAGCCTGGCCAACATGGTGAAACCCCGTCTCTACTAAAAGTACAAAAATTAGCCGGGCATGGTGTTGGGCACCTGTACTCGGGAGGGTGAGGCATGAGAATCGATTGAACCCAGGGGGCGGAGGTTGCAGTGAGCTGAGATTGCACCATTGCACTCCAGCCTGGGTGACAGAGCAAAACTCCATCTCAAAAAATAAAAAATAAAGAAATAAGTAATACTGCTCACTGTTCACAATAGCAAAGACATGGAATCAACCTAAATGCCCATCAATGGTAGACCAGATAAAGAAAACGTGGTACATATATGCCACGGAATACTATGCAGCCATAAAAAAGAAGGAGATCATGTCCTTTGTAGGAACATGTAGCAAACTAATGTAGGAACAGAAAACCAAATACCACATGTTCTCACTTATAAGCAGGAGCTAAATAATGAGAACACATGAACGCAGAGAGGGGAACAACACACACTGGGGCCTACTTGAGAGTGGAGGGTGGGAGGAGAGAGAGGATCGGAAAAAATAACTCTTGGGTACTGGGTGATAAAATAACCTGTACAACAAACCCCATGACACGAGTTTACCTATATAACAAACCTGCACATGTATCCCCAAACCTAAAATAAAAATTAAAAAAAGAACAACAGCAATGAAAACAATGAATAATAAATAAAAAAATAATGCTGCTGTGGATGTGGGTATATAACTATCTGTTTGAGCACCTGTTTTCATGTCTTTTGGGTATAAAATACCCAAAAGGAGGAGGGACAGACGTGGGGGCTGCTGGCTGGGCACCAGAGCTGGAAGGGACCCCCAAGACATCTTCGGGGGGAGAACAAGGCTAGAGGTGGTGCTTGCCCTGGAGACGCTGGGGAAGGGGAGGTCAGCGAGGAGCCCCCTTTTCTCTTCTCACCTGCCACCACACCCAGCTAATTTTGTCTTTTTAGTCTAGACGGGGTTTCACCATGTTGGCCAGGCTGGTCTTGAACTCCTGACCTCAGGTGATCCGCCCACCTCTGCCTCCCCAAATGCTAGGATTACAGGCATGAGCCACCACACCCGGTCAATATATTGTTGTTAACGGTAGTCACCATGTTATACATGGAAGTTACTCCTCCTGTCTAGTATACCCAAAAGTAGAATCTCTGAATCATACAGTAATTCTATTTTTATTTATTTTACTTTATTCTTTAAAACTGACAGGGCCAGGCACAGTGGCTCAGGAGAATCACTTGAACCCAGGAGGCGGAGGTTGTGGTGAGCCGAGATCGTGCCATTGTATTCCAGCTGGGCAACAAGAGTGAAACTCCGTCTCAAAAAAAAAAAAAAAAAAGAAAAAGAAAAAGAAAAAAGTGACATATAAAGTTGAATATGTTGTAATGTACACCATGATCTTCTACAATATGTATAAATTGTGGAAAGGCAAAATCAAGCTAAGTGACATAAGCACACCTCACATACTTGTTCTCCTGATAAGAAGACTTAAAATCTACTCTGTCAGCATTTTTCAAGAATATAATATATAGTTGGTCTTTTGTGGTTTTTTTTATTTGTTTGAGAGGGAGTCTGACTCTGTCACCCAGGCTGGAGTGCAGTGGTGCGATCGTGGCTCACCGCAGCCTCTGCCTCCCGGGTTCAAGCGATTCTCCTGCCTCAGCCTCCTGAGTAGCTGGGATTACAGGCGCCCGCCACCACGTCCAGCTAATTTTGTCTATTTAGTCGAGATGGGGTTTCACCGTGTTAGCCAGGCTGGTCTTGAACTCCTGACCTCAGGTGATCCGCCCACCTCAGCCTCCCCAAATGCTGGCGTGAGCCACCACGCCCTGTCAATACATTGTTGTTAACGGTAGTCACCATGTTATACGTGGAAGTTACTCCTCCTGTCTAACGGAAATTTTGGAACCTTTGACCAACATTTCCCCAGCCACCTCCTCACCACCTCTCCAGCTCCTGGTAACCACCATTTTACTCTCCACTTCTGTGGGTTCAACTTTTTTAGACTTTGCATGCGAGTGAGCTCATGCAGCATTTGGCTTTCTGGGCTGGCTCATTTCACCTAACATAATGTCCTCCAGGCTTATCCATGTTGTTACAAATGACAGGATTTCCTTGTTTTTCCTTGCTGCATAGTATTTCATTGTGTATACATGGCACATTTTCTTTATCTATTTATCTGTTGATGGACGCAGGTTAATTCTCTATCTTGGCTGTTGTGACTAGTGCTTCAATGAACAAGGAAGTGAAGATATTTCTTTGATATACTAACTTCACTTGTTTGAAGCATCTACCTAGCAGTGAGATTGCTGGATTATACAGTAGTTCTATTTTTAATTTTTTTAGGAACCTCTGTACTGTTTTACATAATGGCTGCAATAATTTGCACTCCCACCAAGAATGAGCAAGGGTTCCCTTTTATCCACAGCCTCACCAACAGTTGTTATCTTTGGTCTTTCTGATAATAGCCATTCTGATAGGTGTGAGGTGGTATCTCATTGCGGTACTAATTTGCATTTCCCTGATGATCAAGATATTGAGCATTTTTTCATATACCTATTGGCCACTTGCATATCTTCTTTTGAGATATGTCTATTTAGTCCTTTGCCTATTTTTTAATTAGGTTGGTTTCTTGCTATTGAGTTGTTGTACACTCTGGATATAAACCCCTTATCAGTTGTATGGTTTGCAAATATTTTCTCCCATTCTGCAGGTTGTCTGTTCAGTCTGATGACTGTTGCATTTGCTATGCAGAAGCTTTTTGGTATGATGTAATCACATTTGTCTATATCTGCTTTTGTTGACTTATTTTTAATTTTTCAAGGAACTGTTTTCCACAACAGTGACACCACTTTGCATCCCCAGCAGCGGTACACAAGGGTTCCATTTTCTTCATTAACACCTCTTTTCTGTTGTTTTGCTTTGGTTTGTTTTTTGATAATAGTCATCCTAATGGGTCTGAAATGGTATATCATTGTGGGTTTGATTTGCATTTTCCTAACGTTTAGTAATGTTGAGCATCTTTTCTTTTCTTTTCTTTCTTCTCTCTCTTTTTTTAATGGAGACGGGGTCTCTCCATGTTGCCCAAGCTGGTCTTGAACTACTGGGCTCAAGTGATCCTCCAGCCTCAGTCTCTCAAAGTGCTGGGATTACAGGCATGAGCCATCACATTCAGCCAAGCATCTTTTCGTCTGCTTTTTAGCCATTTCTATATCTTCTTTGGAGAAATGTCTTTTCAAGTCCTTTGACCTTTTTTTTTTTTTTTCTTAGACAGGGTCTCACTCTGTTGCCCAGACTGGGGTGCGGTGGCATGATCACAGCTTACTGCAGCCTCAACCTCTCTGGCTCAAGCAATCCTCCCTCAGCCTCCCAAGTAGCTGGGACCACAGATGCACGTCACAACACTCAGCTGATTATTTTTTATTTTGTGGAGAAACAGGGTCTCCCTGTGTTCCCTAGGCTGGTCTTGAACTCCTGGCTTCAAGTGATCCTCTTGCCTCGGCCTCCCAAGGTGCTGGGATTACACATATTAGCCACCGCACCTGGCTGGGGTTAGTTCTTCTTTAAATGTTTGGTAGACTTGGCCGGGCGCAGTGGCTCACATCTGTAAGCCCAGCACTTTGGGAGGCTGAGGCAGGTGGACCACTTGAGGTCAGAAGTTCAAGACCAGCCTGGCCAACATGGAGAAACCCTGTCTCTACTAAAACTACAAAAATTAGCCAGATGTGGTGGCAGGCACCTGTAATCCCAGCTACTCAGGAGGCTGAGGCAGGAGAATCGCTTGAACCTGGGAGGCAGGGTTTGCAGTGAGCCAAGATCATACCATTGCACTTTAGCCTGGGCAACAGAGCAAGACTCCAACTCAAAAAAAAAAAATGCCGGGAGCAGTAGCTCATGCCTGTAATCCCAGCACTTTGGGAGGCCGAGGCGGGTGGATCACGAGGTCAGGAGATCGAGACCATCCTGGCTAACACGGTGAAACCCTGTCTCTACTAAAAAAAATACAAAAAACTAGCCAGGCATGGTGGCGGGCACCTGTAGTCCCAGCTACTTGGGAGGCTGAGGGAGGATTGCTTGAGCCAGAGAGGTTGAGGCTGCAGTAAGCTGTGATCATGCCACTGCACCCCAGTCTGGGCAACAGAGTGAGACCCTTGGGAGGCTGAGGCCGAAGAATGGTGTGAACCAGGGAGGCGGAGCTTGCAGAGAGCTGAGATCGCGCCACTGCACTCCAACCTGGGAGACAGAGCAAGACTCCGTCTCAAAAAAAAAAAAAGAAAGGAAGTTCCTAGAGCCAGGTCCACTCTTCTAACATTGCAGTAGGGAGCCTCATATCAGGGAGGCTGGTGGAGGGCTGCCGAGGTGAGAACTGGAGAAAACATTCTAGAAGAAAGAACTGGCCTGCCCTTAGGAAACATGCCTGAGAGGGCCTGCACTGTCTAAGTGAAATGTTAATGAGATTGCTAAAAGAAAAACCTTAGCCAAATTAAATTTATTTATTTTTATTTTATTTTATTTTTAATACAGAGTCTTGCTCTTGTTGCCCGGGATGGAATGCAGTGGCATGATCTCAGCTGACTGCAACCTCCACCTCCCGGATTCCAGTGATTCTCCTGCCTCAGCCTTCCAAGTAGCTGGGATTACAGGCAACCACCACCACGCCTGGCTAATTTTTTTGTATTTTTTAGTAGAGATGGGGTTTCACCATCTTGGCCAGGGTGGTCTCAAACTCCTGACCTCAGGTGATCTGCCTACCTCAGCCTCCCAAAGTGCTGGGATAACAGGCGTAAGCCACCGCGCCCGGCCTCAATTTAAGAGTTTAATTGAACAAAAAATAACTGGGAATGGGGCAGCCTCCCAAGCCAGAGCAAGCTCAGAGATTCCAGCACAGCCGCGTGGCGGAAGCAGATTTACGGACAGAAAAAGAAAGGAAGGCGACGTACGGAAAATGGAAGTGAGGTACAGAGACAGCTGGATTGGCTACAACTTGGCGTTTGCCTTATGTGAACACAGTTTGAGCAGCTGGCCACCTCTGATTGGCCAAAACTCAGTGACTGGACAAGAGTCGACTACACTCTGTTTACAACTCCATTTAGGTTTTAGTTCGTGATGGACAGAGAAACCATTAGGCTGAACTTAAAATACGGAAGGAGGCAGCTTTAGGCCAAACTTGATTTAACAGGATGTCAAATGGAGCATCCATCCTTTTCTGCCAGGTCTCAGGTCCTTCGCTGGAAACCAGTATAATGATTCACATGGAGACAGCAGGGCCTCTGATCCCATGGAGCACTCACCTGCTCTCATTTGCAACACGGGCAGTTGGGCGGTGAGCCCTGTCTGGGGAGGCGGAAGAGTTGTCCTCCTACTGACCACAAGCTCACCCTCAGTAGCCTCAGTTTCTGAGGTCAGAGGGAGCCTGGGATTCCTATCATGGCTCACAGTACAGCTGTTTGGAGAAGCAAACCCAACACAGATAGCCGGAGCCCTTGGAGGCCACCGAAGCAGTCTGTCAATCATTTATAGGAAATTGTAACAACCCAGAGATTATTTTGATCCTAAACTCCAGTACATAAGTATTTCTATTTTCTCATTCCAGGTGTGAGCCTCCTGAGCCTGGATGGGTAGACAGTGCAGCCCAGGACGCCAGAGTGCCCCGGTGCAGGATCTGACCTCTGCCCAGCCTCTTGCCCAGGTGAGTGTGTTGGTGAACCCTGTGTGAACTCCTACACCCAAGGAAAGTGTATGAAGTGTGACCAGGTGACACTTACAGCCTTCCCCAATGGCCTGGACTCCTGCTGCCGTGTTCCGTCTGCTGTGAGGGTGGGTGCACGGAGGGCATCCTCTGTGACTTCAAAACCTGCAGCCTCTTGGCCCAGCAGTGGCCAGGCTGGGAATGTGCCCTAAAGAAGTCAATAAAACTGAACCTAATATTTAGTCATGAGGATGTTTGCTGTTTAGCTTTGAAAATTTAGGAGAGGCCAGGCACGGTGGCTCACGCCTGTAATCCCAGCACTTTGGGAGGCCGAGGCGGGCGGATCACCTGAGGTCAGGAGTTCAAGACCAGCCTGGCCAACATGGAGAAACCCCATCTCTACTAAAATTATAAAAATTAGCCAGGCGTGGTGGCGCACGCCTGTAATCCCAGCTACTTGGGAGGCTGAGGCATGAGAATCACTTGAACCCGGGAGGTGGAGGTTGCAGTGAGCCGAGATGTCAGCATTGCACCGCAGACTGGGGGACAGAGGAAGACTTCATCTCAAAAAAAAAAAAAAAAAGAAAGAAAATATAAATAACTTAGGAGAAAGCCAAATACCCATTGATCAAACATTTGGACAGAGGAACGGAACTATCCAGCAAATGCCCATTGATCCAGCTTTTGGATGGACGAACCATCCAGGACAGTCTTGGCACTCAGCAGTTGCTGGGAAGATGTGGCTGGAGGATTTTTATTGGCATAAAAAATTGTACCCGGTCGGGCACGGTGGCTCATGCCTGTAATCCCAGCACTTTGGGAGGCTGAGGCGGGTGGATTACCTGAGGTCAGGAGTTCAAGACCAGCCTGACCAACATGGAGAAACCCCATCTCCACTAAAAATACGAAAAAAATTAGCCGGGCATGGTGGCACATGCCTGTAACCCCAGCTACTCAGGAGGCTGAGGCAGGAGAACCGCTTGAACCCAGGAGGTGGATGTTGTGGCAAGCCGAGATCATGCCATTGAGCTCCAGCCTGGGCAACAAGAGCGAAACTCTGTCTCAAATATATATATATATATATATATGTATGTATTGTTTCCAATATATTTTCAGAATGGGACAAAGTAACAAGAATTATACTTACATTCTGATCCAAATTTCAAAGCAACTTTTCTTTTTCTTTGTTTTGAGGCCGAGTTTGGCTCTTGTTGCCCAGGCTGGAGTGCAGTGGCGTGATTGATCTCGGCTCACCGCAACCTCCACCTCCTGGGTTCAAGCGATTCTCCTGCCTCAGCCTCCCAAGGAGCTGGGGTTACAGGCGTGTGCCACCATGCCCAACGAATTTTGTATTTTTAGTAAAGACAGGGTTTTGCCATGATGACCAGGATGGTCTTGAATTCCCGACCTCAGGTGATCCACCCGCCTCAGCCTTCCAAAGGGCTGGGATTACAGGCATGAGCTACCGCGCCCGGCCTGATGAGAAGTTATGCTTTGTAGGGCATGACTCCCCAGACTCCTTAGATAGGAATTTGGGCAAAATATTAAAAATCACTTTAGCCTCAGTCCTAACAGTTCACGTGCATAGACGCCTGGTAGACAGTGAGGTGGTCTATAAAGAGTGAGTTTGCCTCCTCTCTTTGGAAGCTCTGTGTTTTTATTTCTTTTCTGGTTTTGTGCTGCCATGCAAGTGATTCAAACAGAATGAGGCCAGTAATAAAATGCTACTGGCCTCATTCTGTTTGTAACAGTTTACAGTCGCCCTACAAAAGTAGGTGGATTGCTTTCTTTCCTTCTCCTTTCTCTACAAGGAGAACAGACAAGGAGGATTCAGAAATCTCCAGCTCCTCCTTCTCAGAAATCCTGGATGACCACAGTATATTCTAGGCTTGAGGAGAGAGCTTTGGTCAAGGAGACCCTGCTCACCCACTCCAGTGCCCCTTCGCCCTGCCCCCGCCAGCTCTCTGCTTTCAGACGGGATGATCACCTCCAGAGCCCAGTTTCTTCTGTAAAAGTCCCACCCAGCAGGTGTAGCTGATGTGATTTGAGATACACAATGATGGGCCTGGCATCATTCCTGCTGCCCAAGACCCGCACCTGCCACCCCATTAAGGCTGTGCCCTGAGGTCACAGTCTCCTGCTGCCATGGGAGAGGCCTCTGATTCAGTCTGGCTGCTAGAGAAGCAGCTTCCACAAACAGCTTAGGCAGGAAGGCGCTCATGAGAGAGCTGCTGGGCAGTGGGCCAGGCTGATGGGGGTGCAGGTGTGGCGATTCCCAGGGATGGCAAAGCTCAAGTTCACAGCCCAGGTTAGGTGTGGGTGGCATGCCCACAGAGCCCCTGCTACCCGCACACCAGGCCCTAAAGGCTGCGTCCCCCACAGCCAGATGTGGGCTCTGCCACCAATGCCAACATCACCACTGGTGGCACAGGCAGCCAGCTGCAGAGAGACCCTCAGTGTCCGCTTCTTCACGCACCGGATGCCAATTGCAAGTCTAAGGCCGGGCATCCACCAGGGACCCACTTGTCTGGCTTCTCCCATTACTTTCTCGGTTTTAGCACTGAAAGTGCAGTGTCCTGGGCAACCCAGGATGGCTGGTACCTTCACTCCCTGAGGCCGCTGGAACAAAAGACCATAAAGAAAAAGTGGCTTAAAACCTCAGGAATCTATTCTCTCCTAACTCTGAAGGCTCAAGGGGAGAATCCTTCCCAACTCTGACTTCAGTGGCCCTTCTGTGGCTTGGGCCATATCACTCAGTCTCCACCTCCATCCTCACATGACCTTCTCCCTTCTGTGTGTCCCATCTTCCTGTGTCACTCTTCTTATAAGGACATCTTGTCACTGCATTTAGGGCCTACCCTAAATCCAGAATGCTGTCATCTCAAGATCTCCCCACTACCTTTGTTTTCTTGAGACAGGGTCTGGCTCTGTGGCCCAGGCTGGAGTGCTGTGGTGCAATCTCAGATCACTGCAACCTCCCTACCTCCCAGGCTCAAGGGATCCTCCCACCTCAGTTTCCTGAGTAGTTGGGACTACAGGCGTGCATCACCATGGCTGCCTAATTTTTGTAATTTTTTTTTTTTTGAGATGGAGTTTCATTCTTGTTGCCCAGGCTAGAGTGCAGTGGCACAATCTCGGCTCACTGCAACCTCCACCTCTCAGGTTCGAGCGATTCTCCTGCCTCAGCCTCCCAAGTAGTTGGGATTACAGGCACCTGCTACCATGCCCAGCTAATTTTTGTATGTTTAGTAGAGACGGGATTTCACCATGTTGGCCAGGCTGGTCTTGAACTCCTGACATGAGGTGATCCACCCACCTCGGCCTCCCAAAGTACTGGAATTACAGGCATGAGCCACCATGCCTGGCCATTTTTGTAATTTTTGTAGAGATAGGCTCTCACTCTATTGCCCAGGCTGGTCTCAAACTCCAGGGCTCAAGCGATCCTCCTACCTTGGCCTCCCAAAGTGCTGGGATTACAGGAGTGAGCCACTGCACCCTGTCTTTTTTCAAGGGTCATTATTCTTCAAAATTAGTTTGTCATAATAAATGACGGATGTTTCCAAAAGCAGCAAGCAGAGAATATGACTACTACATGACTGACTCCTCGGTAAACTCAAATCAAGCAAGTGTAAAAGAAGAAGGATCGTTGGCCAGGCGTGGTGGCTCACACCTGTAATCCCAGCACTTTTGGAGGCCGATGTGGGTGTGGATCACCTGAGGTCGGGAGTTTGAGACTAGCCTGACCGACATGGTGAAACCCCCCCTCTACTAAAAATACAAAAAATTAGCTGGATGTGGTGATGGGCACCTGTAATCCCAGTTACTCAGGAAGCTGAGGCAGGAAAATCGCTCGAACCCGGGAGGCGGAGGTTGCAGTGAGACAAGATCGCGCCATTGCACCCCAGCCTGGGCGACAAGATCAAAATTCCGTCTCAAAGAAAAATAAAAAAAGAAGGATTGTTCACGCCCAGGGACCTGTTGCACAGACTTCTCTCCTTTCAACTTGTAAGTGCTCCCAGAGAGGCTCAGACTTTCCACCCCTCCTGCATCACTGAATTTTCCTGAGTCAAACTTTCCACAGCATGGATATTTTCCTCCCTTGATAATAGTGCCTTTCCTGATTTAGTCCTTTTAAACAATGGGTATTGCATCAACATCTGTTTTTGTGCATGTGAAATTCCTGGCCTTCATGTTTTTTTGCTTGAAGTGCACTCATGCAGAACACCTCCTAAGAAGTGTGCTCAGCTCTCTGGGCTGCCTGCTTCTGAATGTGTACTTGCTGGATTTACATAGGCCATATCTGTGGGCTTCTTTTCCACCGCAAATTCAGATGAGGGAGTGTGTGGCTGATGCTGCGCCCTCACTGCCTCCATCCTGCCCTCCTGGCTGGTAGTTTGTAGCTTCCTTCTTGGGATCAATTGTGCCCTATAGCAAAGTCCTGCCAGTGATGCCAAGAGGCAGAGGCCAGGGTACCTACTTTTTTTTTTTTTTTTTTTTGAGACAGAGTTTCACTCTGTCGCCAGGCTGGAGTGCAGGGGTGCGATCTCGGCTCACTGCAACCTCCGCCTCCTGGGTTTAAGAGATTCTCCTGCCTCAGCCTCCTGAGTAGCTGGGACTACAGGGTGTGCCACCACGCCAGCTAATTTTTATATTTTTAGTAGAGACGGGGTTTCACCATGTTGGCCAGGATGGTCTCGATCTCCTGGCCTCGTGATTCACCCGCCTCGGCCTCCCAAAGTGCTGGGATTACAGGCGTGAGCCACTGTGCCCTGCCTCATGGTACCTACTTTTAAGAGCTGAAGAGTGCCTGGGCGTGTTGGGAAGCCAAGGCGGGCAGATTCCTTGAGTCCAGGAGTTTGAGACCAGCCTGAGCAACATGGTGAGACCCTGTCTTTACAAATAATGCAAAAAAAAAAAAAAATTAGCTGAGCGTAGTGCCATTCAACTGTGGTCCCAGCTACCCGGGAGGCTGAGGTGGGAGGACTGCCTGAGCCTTGGAGACTGAGGCTACAGTGAGCCACTGCACTCCAGCCTGGATGACAGAGTGAAAAAAAAAAAAAAAAAAAGGCCGGGCATGGTGGCTCACACCTATAATCCCAGCACTTTGGGAGGCCGAGGCAGGTGGATCACCTGAGGTCAGGAGTTCGAGACCAGCCTGGCCAACATAGTGAGACCCGCATCTCTACGAAAAATACAAAAAATTAGCTGGGCATGGTGGTGTGCACCTGTAGTCCCAGCTACTCAAGAGGCTGAGGCACGAGAATCACTTGAACCTGGGAGGTGGAGGTTGCAGTGAGCTGAAATCATGCCACTGCACTCCAGCCTGGGCCACAGAGCGAGACTCCGTCTCAAAAAACAAACAAACAAACAAACAAACAAAAAATAAGTTGAACGGCCTCAGTCTTTCTTCTCTTCCATGACTTGACACTTCCAAGTGCTGGTCAGTCACTTCATAGGATGTCTCCAATTTGGGTTTGTTCGATGGTTCCTTGTGATTAAATTTCAGTTTTATTATTATTATTAGCAAGAATACTACAGAAGTGATGTGTCATTTTAGCTGCATGATATCACAAGACACTTCCAAAACTTAGGTAAGCCAGTGTTCTCCACGGTAAAGTTACCATTTCTTCCCTCTGTTATTACTAAGTCTCTGTGGGGCATTTCTTTGAAACTATGTAAATATTCTTTTTTCCCCTACACTTTCACATACTAATGCTAGAGTCCAATGACCATTCTTGACTGAAATAGTTATCACTGTGGTGTTTGCAAACTGGATTTTCTTCTTCAAGCATATCAAAATACTTTTTTCCAGTTTTTTTTTTTTTAACTTCATTTTCCCCAGGTTAACACGGTATTAGTCTGTTCGGGAGGCTGAGGCAGGAGAATCCCTTGAACCCGGGAGGTGGAGGTTGCAGTGAGCCAACATCGTACCATTGCACTCCAGCCTGGGCAACAAGAGCAAGAATCCATCTAAAAAAAAAAAAAAAAGGCCCCGAACCATTTTGCTGAAGTGCTGACTAGCATTCTCAAGCACAAGGGCCCGGGATGAGTCTTAACGTAGAAAACGTGTGTTAGAGAGGCTTCATTCAGGCGTGAGTGACAGTGCTGTTGGCCGTGAGTTTAATGTGAATGGATCAACATTATCTATGACATGAGGTGTCTTTATTTGATTGTATTTTATTTTAATTCTCCACATTGTTTCAGAAAATGAGGTATCTTTAAAGAGAAACACACATACAATAAGGAAATAGACTGATCGGCTGATTAAAATGTTGTGACCAGAGGGTCACAGGAACCAGACCCTGAATCTCCCTGAGCAGCAGTGGCTCAGTGCTAGCTAATTCAGTATTCACAGCAAAGCAGCACCTCAAATAGGAGAATCAGCTGTCATCTCTGGGCCTTGTTCCTCTGTGTGTCGCTTTATGGTGTATACGTCTTTCCCCACCAACACTTTCTAGCTTGAATTCTCTTATCTTGTTTTTTGTTTTGTTTTGAGACTGAGTCTCACTCTGTTGCCCAGGCTGGAGTGCAGTGGCGCAATCTCAGCTCACTGCAAACTCTGCCTCCTGGGTTCAAGCGATTCTCCTGCCCCAGCCTCCTGAGTAGCTGGGATTACGGGCACCCACTACCACACCCGGCTAATTTTTTTGTGTGTGTATGTTTAGTAGAGACAGGGTTTCGCCATGTTGGCCAGGCTGGTCTGGAACTCCTGACCTCAGGTGATCCACCCGCCTCGGCCTCCCAAAGTGCTGGGATTACAGGCGTGAGCCACCACGCCAGGTCGGATTCTCTTACCTTGTTTTGATAACCCACTCCTGCTATCATTAGGAGAATATATCTGGGGTCTAGTTTTCTAACCTTTCATTTTCCACCCTCCTGTATTATTTCCTTTTTAGGTGTAGCTCTTAAAAATGCCACATTACTACATTTTTCTTTCTAATTCGACCTGATAATTAATAAATGAGTTTAACCTATTAATATGTGTTGGATTACTATTATATTTAGACTTATTTTTAACATCTTATTTTGTGCTTTTGATAATGTATTTTCTCTTTGGGGTTTTTGTTTGTATGTTTTTATTTTTTGCTTCTTCCCTGACTTTTGCTTTCTTTCTTCCTCCTGTATTCTCATTTCCCTCTCCAACTTTTATTCTCCTTCACTGAAGAACTGAATAGATTCTGGCTGGGTGCGGTGGCTCAGGCCTGTAATCCCAGCACTTTGGGAGGCCATTGCAGGCTGATCACTGGACTCCAGGAGTTCATGACCAGCCTGGACAACATGGCAAAATGCCGTCTCTACAAAATACAGAAAAAATTAGCTGGGCATGGTGGCATGTGTCTGTAGTTTCAGGTACTTGGGAGGCTGACATGGGAGGATGGCTTGAGCTCAGGGAGGTTGAGGTTGCGATAAGCCATGATCGCAACCCTGCTCTCCACCCTAGAAGATAGAGTGAGACACCATCTCAAAAAAAAAAAAAAAAAAAAGAACTGAACAAATTCTATTTTTATTTAATGGTTTACGTTTGATATGGTTTGACTCTGTGTCCCCATCCAAATCTCATCTCAAATTGCAATCCCTACATGTTGAGGGAGGGATCTGTAATCTCCAAGTGTGGAGGGAGCGAGGTGATTGGATCATGGGGGCAGTTTCCTCAGGCTGTTCTCGTGATAGTGAGTGAGTTCTCACGAGATCCGATGGTTTTATAAGGGGCTCTTCCGCCTTCACTCTCTGCTTTCTCTCCTGTGCTTTGTGAGGAAGGTGTCTGCTTCCACTTCCACCATGATTGTAAGTTTCCTGAGGCCTCTCCAGCCACGCGGAACTGTGAGTCAATTAAACCTCTTTCCTTTATAAACTACCCAGTCTCAGGTCTTCCTCCCTTCCTCCCTTCCTCCCTTCCTCTCTCCCTCTCTCCGTCTCTCCCTCTCTCCCTCTCTCCCTCTCTCCCTCTCTCTCTCTCTTTCTTTTCTTTCTTTCTTTGTCTCACTCTCTCACCCAGGCTGGAGTGCAGTGGTGCAGTCTCGGCTCACTGCAACCTCCGCCTCCCCAGTTCAAGCGATTTTTGTGCCTCAGCCTCCCGAGTAGCTGGGGTTACAGGTGAGCACCAGCTGATTTTTGTATTTTAATAGAGATGGAGTTTCACCATGTTGGCCAAGCTGATCTTGAACTCTTGGCCTCAAGTGATCTGTCCACCTTAGCCTCCCAAAGTGCTGGGATTACAAGCAAAGCCACCCCTCCCGGCATAGGTAATTTCTTTATAGAGTTTTGCTCTTGTTGCCCAGGCTGGAGTGCAGTGGCGTGATCTCGGCTCACTGCAAGCTCCACCTCCCGGGTTCAAGCGATTCTCCTGCCTCAGCCTCCCCAGTAGCTGGGATTACAGGCACCCGCCACCACGTCCGGGTAATTTTGTATTTTTAGTAGAGACGGGGTTTCTCTATGTTGGTCAGGCTGGTCTCGAACTCCCAACCTCAGGTGATCTGCCTGCCTCAGCCTCCCAAAGTGCTGGGATTACAGGGGTGACTCACTGTGCCCAGCCTCCGCTGGGGGCCTTTTAAAAAATTATTATTTTTTTGTAGAGATTATTTCTTTCCTTCTGTTGCTCAGGCTGGAGTGCAGTGGCGTGATCGTAGCTGCAGTCTTGACCTCCTGGGCTCAAGCGATTCTCCTGAGTAGCTTTTCCTGAGTAGCTGGGAGTACAGATGTGCACCACCAAGCCTGGCTTGAGGGCCATTTTAAACAGTGAAATCACAAACACACACACACACACACACCAAAAATGGGGAAAATGTGCTATTGAATAGAACTTGAACAGAACGTATATTTACAGTGACAGCTGAATTGACCTCAGTGGGAAGGAGTGTGTTGGAATTTTCCCCACCCCATGCATATTTACAAGTGACCCCAAAAGTGCCATTGATTTGGGGGATACAAATACATTTTAACAAGTAGATGGATTTGCAGATACAGAATCCGAGAATAATAAGAATCGACTCTGCTGGTAAAACAATCATGAAATTGTGTATATCCAGTAACACTCCTTCAAAACTGAAAAAGCAAACACTGACTTAGCTACATGGTGAAATCTACAAATCCACAAACTTGGTGGGAGAGTTGCTCAGACCCTCCCAGGGGATGGCATGGCTCTACTGGCAGCAGGGGTATCTCTCCCTCACACCCATCTCCCCTTTCTTATTGAGGGTGACCATGGCCACCCGTGTGACCCAGATAAGTGTCCTTTTGAGAACCTCTGATGAAAATGCTGCCTGGTGGGTGAGTCCCAGGACACCTTCCAGAGCCTTCCGGGACTGACCTTCCAACCTGGGAGGAGGGAGGCCACAGGTCCTTGGTTAGGACAGAACTGGAGACCGCCCTGGGTGGGGAGGACGTGTCCGACTGGGGTGAGTAGACCTTTCCATGTCCGTTCCCCACCTTTGACCATCCTACCCCTCCCCAGAAGGGGTTTTCTTCTGCCCTTCCTTCAGGGGAAGTGCCCTGGTGAGCAGAGAGGGGGTCGATGCCTGTTCTGAGATGGGTGGGCTGTGTTCTGCTGGGGTTGGAGGAAAGAAGTGTGGGGTGCAGGTCCAAGTCACACACTGACCCTCCTGGCACTGGGTATACAGGGACAGAAGAGCCTGCCACAGGGTGGGCCAGGACTTCGGTCATGCCGCTCTCACCCCAAGGCAAGGGTCCAGGCTCAGTGTTAGCTGACAGGTGGCCTTTATGGGAGGTGGGACAGAGATGGGGACCAGCCTGCTCCTGCACAGGCCTGACCTGGGGACTGTACTGCCAGCCATCCTTGTGTTTGGTTTGGACAGGGTTTTTGTTTTGATCATGATGGTGTATGCCTACGGGCTTAAAGACTCATGGCTGGGCATGGTGGCTCACACCTGTAATCCCAGCACTTTGGGAGGCCGAGGTGGGCAGATCACCTGAGCTCAGGAGTTTGAGACCAGCCTGGCCAACATGGTGAAACCCCGTCTGTACTAAAAATACAAAAATTACCCAGGCGTGGTGGCGGGTGCCTGTAATCCCAGCTACTTAGGAGGCTGAGGCAGGAGAATCGCTTGAACAAAAATCAGCTGGGCGTGATGGTGGGTGCCTCCAGCTGCTCAGGAGGCTAAGGCAGGAGAATCACTTGAACCTGAGAGGTGGAGATTGCAGTGAGCCGAGATTGAGCCACTGCACTCCAGCCTGGGTGACAGAGCAAGATTCCATCTTGAAAAAGAAAGAAAGGAGGAAAGAAATAACACAGTCCCAACAGTCCCATTTAAAATAGCCACACAGAAAAAAAAAAAAAAAAGAAAAGAAAAGAAAAAGAAAACCTACTAATACATCTAACCAATGAGGTCAAAGATCTCTATAAGAAGAATTATAAAACACCGCTGAAAGAAATCATGGATGACACAAACAAATGGAAAAACATTCCATGCTCATGGATAGGAAGAATCAATATATTTTGTTTTGTTTTGTTTTGTTTTGAGACAGAGTTTCACTCTTGTTGCCCAGGCTGGAGTGCAATGGTGCAATCTCTGCTTACCGCAACCTCTGCTTCCCGGGCTCAAGTGATTCTCCTGCCTCAGCTTCCTGAGTAGCTGGGATTACAGGCATGCACCACCACGCCCGGCTAATTTTTGTATTTTTAGTAGAGACAGGGTTTCTCCATGTTTGTCAGCCTGGTCTTGAACTCCCAACCTCAGGTGATCCACCCGCCTCAGCCTCCCAAAGTGCTGGGATTATGGGCATGAGCCACTGCCCCTAGCCTCAATATCGTTAAAATGACCATACTGCCCAAAGCAGTTTATAGATTCAACACTATTCCTCTCAAATTACTAACATTGGTTGGGCGTGATGACTCACACTGTAATCCCAGCACTTTGGGAGGCCAAGGCCTATGGATTGCTTGAGCCTAGGAGTTTGAGACCAGCCTGGGTAATATGGCAAAAACCCCCATCTCTCCCAAAAAGACAAAAATTAGCCCAGTGTGGTGGCATGCACCTGTAATCCCAGCTACTCAAGAGGCTGAGGTGGGAGGATCACTGGAGCCTGGGAGATCAGGGCTGCAGTGAGCTGTGATCATGCCACTGTACTCAAGCCTAGGTGACAGTGAGACCCTGTCTCAAAAAAATAAAAAAAATTAAAAAATTAAAAATAAACAAATTACCAACATCATTTTTCACAGAACTAGAAAAACTTCTAAAATTCATATGTAACCAAAAAGGAGCCCAAATTGCCAAAGTAATCCTAAGCAAAAAGAACAAAGCCAGAGGCATCACATTACCTCACTTCAAACTATACTATATGGCTACAGTAACCAAAACAGCACGGTACTGGTACAAAAATAGACACATAGACCAACAAACAGAAATAAAGCCACACACCTACAGCCATCTGATCTTTGACAAAGTCAACAAAAATAAGCAATGAGAAAAGTATTCCCTAGTCAATAAACGGTACTGGGATAGCTGGCTAGCCATATGCAGAAGAATGAAACTGGACCCTTGTCTTTCACTATATACAAAAATTAACTCAAGATGGATTAAAGAGTTAAATGTAAGACCTCAAACTATAAGAATGATAGAAGAAAACCTAGGAAACATCATTTTGGACATTAGTCTTGGGAAGGAATTTATGACTAAGTCCTCAAAGGCGATTGCAACAAAAACAAAAATTGACAAGTGGGACCTAATTAGACTAAAGAGCTTCTGCACAGAAAAAGAAACTAGCAGCAGAGTAAACAGAAAACCTACAGAATGGGAAAAAGTATTTGCAAACTATCTGTCCGACCAAGGTCTAATATCCAGACTCCATAGGGAACTTAAACAATTCAACAAGCAACACACAAATAATCCCATTAAAAAGTGGGCAAAAGGCCAGGTGTGGTGGTTCACACCTGTAATCCTAGCACTTTGAGAGGCTGAGGTGGGTGGATCACGAGGTCAAGAGGTTGAGACCATCCTGACCAACATGGTGAAACCCCAGCTCTACTAAAAATGTAAAATTAACCAAGCATGGTGGTGTGTGCCTGCAGTCCCAGCTACTCAGGAGGCTGAGGCGGGAGAATTGCTTGAACCCCAGAGGCGGAGGTTGCAGTGAGCCGAGATCACGCCACTGCACTCCAGCCTGGCGACAGAGCAAGACTCCAGCTCAAAAAAAAAAAGTGGGCAAAATACATGAACAAACATTTCTCAAAAGAAGACATACAAGCAGCCAACAAACATGAAAAAATGCTCAACATCTGATATGATTTGGCTGTGTCCCTACCCAAATCTCATCTTGAATTGTACTCTCATAATTCCCACATGTTGTAAGAGGGACCCAGTGGGAGATAATTTGAATCATGGAGGCAGTTTCCCCCGTACTGTTCTTGTGGTAGGAATAAGTCTCACAAGATCTGACAGTTTTATCAGGGGTTTCTGCTTTAACACCTCATCATTTTCTCTTGCCGCCGCCATGTAAGAAGTGCCTTTTGGGAGGTTGCAGTGAGTGGAGATCGAGCCACTGCACTCCAGCCTGGGCAACAAGAGTGAAACTCCATCTCAAAAAAAAAAAAAAAAAAAAAAGTGCCTTTTGCTTCCCGCCATGATTCTGAGACCTCCCCAGCCATGTGGAACTGTGAGTTCAATTAAACCTCGTTTTCTTCCCAGTCTTGGGTATGTCTTTATCAGCAGCATGAAAATGGACTAATACAGAAATCGGTACCAGTAGAGTGGGGCATTGCTGAAAAGATACCCAAAAATGTGGAAGTGACTTTGGAACTGGGTAACAGGCAGAGACGGAAACAGTTTGGAGGGCTTAGAAGGAGACAGGAAAATGTGGGAAAGTTTGGAACCTCCTAGAGACTTGTTGAATGGCTTTGACCAAAAGCCCAAGAGCAATATGGACAATAAGGTCCAGGCTGAGGTGGTCTCAGATGAAGATAAGGAACTTGCTGGGAACTGGAGCAAAGGTGATTCTTGTTATATTTTAGCAGAGACCGGCAGCATTTTGCCCCTGTCCTAGAGATTTGTGGAACTTTGAATTTGACAGAGATGACTTAGGGTATCTGGCAGAAGAAATTTCTAAGCAGCAAAACATTCGAGAGGTGACTTGGGTACTGTTAAAGGCATTCAGTTTTATAAGGGAAGCAGAGCGTAAAAGTTTGGAAAATTTGCAGTCTGACAATATGATAGAAAAGAAAAACCCATTTTCTGAGGAGAAATTCAAGCCAGCTGCAGAAATTTGCATGAGTAACGAGAGCGGAATGTTAATCCCCAAGACAATGGGGTATGTCTCCAGGGCATGTCAAAGGTCTTCGCAGGCCTGGAGGCCTAGGAGAAAATGGTTTTGTGGGCTGGTCCCAGGGTCCCCGTGCTGTTTGCAGCCTAGGGACTTGGTGCCCTTCGTCCCAGCTGCTCCAGTCGCGGCTGAAAGGGGCACTTCTTACATGGTGGCAGCAAGAGAAAATAAGGAAGATGCAAAAGTGGAAACCCCTGATAAAACCATCAGATCTCATGAGACTTATTCACTACCACGAGAACAGTATGGGGGAAAACACCCCCATGATTCAAATTATCTCCCACCGGGTCTCCCCCACAACACGTGGGAGTTATAGGAGGACAATTCAAGATGAGATCTGGGTGGGGACATACCCAAACCATATCATTCCACTCCTGACACCTCCAAATCTCAAGTCCTCACATTTCAAAACCAATCATACCTTCCCTGGAGTCTCCCAAAGTCTTAGCTCATTTCAGCATTAACCCAAAAGTCCACAGTCCAAAGTCTCATCTGAGACAAGGCAAGTCCCTTCCGCCTATGAGCCTGTAAAATCAAAAGCAAGCTCGTTACTTCCTAGATACAATGGGGGTACAGGTATTGGGTAAATACAGCTGTTTCAAATGGGAGAGATTGGCCAAAACAAAGGGGTTACAGGGCCCATGCAAGTCCAAAATCCAGAGGGGGAGTCAAATTTTAAAGTTCCAAAACGATCTCTTTTGACTCCAGGTCTCACATCCAGGCCACGCAGATGCAAGAGGTGGGTTCCCATGGTCTTGGGCAGCTCTGACCCTGTGGCTTTTCAGGGTACAACCTCCCTCCTGGCTGCTTTCACAGCAGCTGGCGTTGAGTGTCTCCACTCACTGCAGCCTTGACCGCTGGGCTTAAGCGATCCTCCTGCCTCAGCCTCCCAAGCAGATGTCCACGACAGAGAAAGGGCTGTAAACAGCTGTGAGTTCCCACAGCGGCACACTGCACAGCTGTGAGAGAGGACTGGGGGTCCCTGCACAACATGAGGGGTCCCACAGAGGGGAGGGCATGCCACAGGATGGTATGCAGAGCATGGTCCTCTTGATGTCGGCTCATGGACATGTGCTGTTATACACGTCTGGTCCAGGGACGTTCAAGAGGGTGGTGTAATTATAGACAGAAGACGAAGGCTGACCTGGGACGCGAGCTGTGCGCCATGATGTTCCTGGTATCAAGCCGGGAGAGACTGGAGCTACTTGAGCCAGGGAGGTCCTCGGGGCAATTGGGGGGTTCCAGGCTGGGCACTAACGAAGCCCACCCCCGCCCCGTGTTCTCCCAGATGTTCAGCAATGGGTTGACAAGTTTTTCAAATGTAAGTAGGATTTCTTGGTTATGAATTAAAAGCATTTTCATTCCTTCGCAGAAGTCATGGTCCCAGTTAATAGAAATTCATTTCATGTCTCTTCTTTTTGCTTTCAGAAGAGGCAAATGAGCCTGGCAGCCCTGTCAGGACCATGCTGGCGTTTGGGCACATCCTCCTGGAAATGCCTGACGGTGTCTCAGGGCCCTGGCACAGAGCTGGGCATTTAGACCTTTGCATGAGCAGCAGCAAAGTCCCCAAAACTTCCAGGAGTGGGTGTGGGGCAGCCCCAGGCCTTCCTGCCTGCACTCCCAGTTTTAGCCTGCGTCATGGTGTCTGCATTCACCTTATTGCAGCCCCAGGTGTCTGTGCTGGAAGACTGAAATTCTGGTTGTTTAAACGGCTGAGTGGAAACTGAGGCACAGAGAGGAAAAGGACTTCACACAAGCGTCCCCAAGCTGCAGTAACAAATGACAACAAACTGGGGTGTTCAAACAATCGGGATTTACACACCCACCATGCACCCACACAATTAAACATTAAAAACAGAAACAATACAAATTCACACATCTACCATGTAGATTCCCACACAATTAAACACTAAAACTAAAAACAGAAACAATCGGGATTTACATACCCACCATGCACCCACACAATTAAACATTAAAAACAGAAACAATACAAATTCACACATCTACCATGTAGATTCCCACACAATTAAACACTAAAACTAAAAACAGAAACAATCGGGATTTACACACCCACCAAGCGCCCACAACAATTAAACATTAAAAATAAAAGCAGGCTGGGCGCGTTGGCTCACGCCTCCAATCCCAGCACTTTGGGAGGCTGAGGCAGGCAGATCACCTGATGTGAGGAGTTCGAGACCAGCCTGGCCAACATGGTGAAACCCCGTCTCTACTACAAATATAAAAATTATTACGTGGCTGGGTGTGGTGGTGCACGTCTGTAGTCCCAGCTACTCGGGAGGCTGAGGCAGGAGGATCACTTATACCCAGGAGGCAGAGGTCGCAGTGAGCTGAGATTGCACCACTGCACTCCAGCCTGGGTGAGGGAGCGAGACTCTGTCTCAAAAATAATAATAATAATTTTTAAAAACAAATAGGAATTTACATGCCTACCATATACCCACAACAGTTAAACATTAAAAACAAAAACAGAAACAATAGGGATTGATTCTTTCACAGCTCCAGAGGCCAGAAGTTCCAAACCAAGGCGTCCGCAGGGTGGGTTCCTTCAGAGGCTCTCCAGGAGGTCCTTCCTTGCCTCTCTCCTGGCTTCTGGTGGCCACCGGCCATCCTTGGCTTGTGCTACATCACTCCAATTGCTTCCCCCTTCACACCTATCTCTGTATCTCTGAATCTCTCTCTCATAAAGACACTAGGCATTGGATTAGGACCCATTCTAATCCAGGATGACCTCATTTTAACTTGATTATATCTGCAAGGACGCCTTTTTCAAATAAAGCCAGCCAGGTCCAGTGGCTCACGCCTGTAATCCTCTCACTTTGGGAGGCCAGGGCGGGAGGATCACTTGAGCCCTGGAGTTCAAGACCAGCCTGGGCAACATAATGAAACCCCATCTCTACAAAAAATATAAAAAATTAGCCACGTATGGTGGTGCACATCTGTGGTCCCAGCTACTCAGGAGGCTGAGGTGGGAGGATCACTTGAGCCCACGAGGTTGAGGCAGCAGTGAGCTGTGATTGCACCACTGCACTCCAGCCAGGGTGACAGAGCGAGACCCTGCTTTAAAAAAAAATAAAATAATAAATGAATAAAAATCAAGTCACAGTCGCAGGTACCAGGGGTTAGAACATGGGCATAATCATTTTGGGGGGACCACAGCTCAACCCACAACAGGCTTGTCTTGGGACCCCCCCGGGAGTTGGCAGCAGAGCTGGGAGCTCACCTGAGTGTATTCGTCTCTAACGCTGCGCTACCCTGGCTTGCAGGCCATGTGACATTTCTTTCCCTAAAAGTGGTTTGGGTAGGGCCTGAGCTGCTGGCTGTGCCAGCAAAGAAATCACTCTGCTTTAGTCACCTCAAAGCAGTGGGCCCAGCGACACCCTGCTGCCCATGGACACTGAGGGGGACTGTCCATCCTCTGGCATGGAAAGAGCAGCGTTCTTGGAGAACTTGGCCTTGGCCCTTAGGAGACTCAAGGGAGAGCCCTGCACGGTGGCCACTGGTGGCCGAGGAAAGTCCAGCTGCCCGGGGAAGGTGCTGTTCACTCACCTGCTGCCCATGGCCCAGGGCCAGACCAAGGCATCAGCCCCTCAGCCATCCAGAACAGGCCAGTGAAGCTTCCAGGATGGGTCTGCACTTGCGGAATATTTAGTAGGCAGGGTTCTGTGTGATGTCCTTACCCTACGTGCTCTTGTGAAATCCTCATTATCAGTTTGCTGGGGCTGCCAGGCTTGGGGGCTTCAACAAGGATTTATTGTCTCACAGTTCTGGAGGCTGGAAGTCTCAGGTCAGGGCATCAGCAGGGTGGGCTCCTTCTGGGGCTGTGAGGGAGAATCTGTCCCAGGCTGTCCCCTGACTTCTGGTGATTTGCTGACAATGTTTGGTGCCCTTTGGCTTGTGAAGCATCGCCCCAGTTTCTGCCTTTATCTTAACATGGCACCCTCCCTGCTTGTCAGTGTCCAAATTTCCTCCACTTAAACATTTTAATTAATTGGCTGGGCATGGTGGCTCACGCCTGTAATCCCAGCACTTTGGGAGGCCGAGGCGGGCGGATCATCTGAGGTCGGGAATTCGAGACCAGCCTGGCCAACATGGAGAAACCCGTCTCTACTAAAAATACAAAATTAGCCGGGCATGGTGGCACATGCCTGTAATCCCACCTATTCGGGAGGCTGAGGCAGGAGAATCTCTTGAACCTGGGACACTGAGGTTGCGGTGAGCCAAGATGGCACCATTGCATTCTAGCCTGGGCAACAAGAGTGAAACTCCGTCTCAAAAAATTTTTTTAAATTAATTTATATATGTGTATTTATTTATTCATTTATTTATTTTAGAGACAGGGTCTCACTCTGCACCCAGGCTGGCATGCAGTGGCACAATCATAGCTCACTGCAACCTGAAACTCTGGGGCTCAAGCCATCCTCCCTCTTCAGCCTCCCAGAGAGCTGGGATTACAGGTGTGAGCCACCATGCCCAGCTGAAATTTTCCCTTTTTACAAGGATATCAGTTATACTGGATTAACGTCCCCCCTAATGACCTCATCTTATGACTTTATCATCTGCAAAGACCCTATTTCCAAATAAGGTCACATTCACAGGTCCTGGTGGTTATAGGATTTCCACATCTTTTGGGAGAGACACAATGCAACCCATAACAACCTGTAACCCAATGTGCTGTCCCAAAGAACTACAACACCAGGGGGATGCTGAGGTTCAGAGAGTGTCCTTGCCCTGGTGGTAGGGCTGGGACGCAGCAGGACTGGGGAGGCGGGACCCACTGCTGCTAGACACTGCAGCACTCTTAGACACAGCTCGGCCACCTGAGCAGGTGATCATTTCCCAGTTCCGCTCTGCAGACCCTTTTTTTTTTTCCCAGTAGAGATGAAGTTTCACTATGTTGGCCAGGCTGGTTTTGCACTCCTGACCTCAAATGACCTGGCCGCCTTGGTCTCCCAAAGTGCTGGGATTACAGGCGTGAGCCACAGTGCCCGGCCCCACTTTGCAGATTTAAAAACAAGACATCTGGAAGCTCAGAGAAGTTAAACTCACCCCAGGTCTTACAGCCAAACTCTGGCTTGCCTGACCTGATGTCAGGAGGCTTTCTTAGTGCAAGAAAGGAAGGGCAGGGCAAGCCTTAGCCGAATGTTTATCTCTAAGAGGCTTCTGACTCTCCTGGGCGCCTCCGGTTCCTTCTCCCAGGAAGGCATGTGGCCGAGCTGGGCTTGGGTGACTCATGGTCCTAGAGTGATGAGTGAGAAACAGGCACTGTGAGAGTCATGGTAGGACCTGGCCAGAACTTCGTCCCCTAAGTCCTGGACTTGGTCCCTCCTTTGGGATTAGTTGGGGTCTCACAGAGCCTCCCACATCCTGGGCAAGTTACAGCACATGCTACAGGATCTTTGCAGAAATGTAAACAAACTCTTTCTTCTTTTTTTTTTCCAGCCACCAGTAGAATTTAGAATTTATTTATTTATTATTTTATTTATTTATTTATTTATTTATTTATTTGAGACGGAGTCTCACTCTGTTGCCAGGCTGGAGTGCAATGGCGCAATCTCGGCTCATTGCAACCTCCACCTCCCTGGTTCAAGCGATTCTCCTGCCTCAGCCTCCTGAGTAGCTGGGACTACAGGCAAGCGCCACCATGTCCAGCTAATTTTTGCATTTTTAGCAGAGACAGGGTTTCACCATGTTGGCCAGGATGGTCTCGATCTCTTGCCCTCATAATCCGCCCACCTCGGCCTCCCAAAGTGCTGGGATTACAGGTGTGAGCCACCGTGCCCGGCCTTAGAATTTATTATGAAATTAGACATGAGGTTCCAAAAAGTAACTAGAAGATTTTTTACTTTTTATTTTTTGAGAAAGGGTCTCACTCTGTCGCCTAGGCTGGAATGCAGTGGCACAGTCGTAGCTCACTGCAGCTTCAAACTCCTGGACTCAAATGATCCTCCTGCCTTGTCCTTTCAAGGTGCTGGGATTACAGGCATGAGCCACTAATCCTGGCTAATAATTTTTCTTGACATATTAAAATTCTGTTTCTTAAATAGCATTTCCTCTCATTTTGGATGGGTGCACGAACCTTGGGTGGGATATCCTTGGGAGGTGACATCATGCACACAGAAGGCAGGAGCCCTAAGGGGGTTGGGGATGGCTCCAGAATGGGGTCTGAGAAGGAGATGGAGAAGCCTGTTCACGCAACACTTCATAGTGGCTTGCTTTCCGCAGGGTCATTGGCAGGGCGGTCCCTAGGCCTGGAGCGCTCTTCCCGCCCATCCCCAGGCCCTGCTCCAGGTCGGCCTCCTGGGAACCATCCCGTCTCGCCAGCACACCCTGTCCCGAGGCCGCCTCTGACCTCCAGGCTGGGCCTGGTCCCCACGGCGCTTAGCGCAATCATGACTTAAACACCTATTACAGGACGCTCAGTCTTTAGTGCTTGTCTCCCCGCGGCTGGGCTGACTACTCCCAGCACGGCCACTGAACGCTTGGCCGCGCGATGCTCCGGAGCGCGGGTCGCCATTGGGTTGAACTACAGCTCCCAGCATGCTCCGGGCCGGCGACATCCGGAGCCCCTGGTAGTTGCCTAGCGACCGGGCGTGTCCCGGAAGACGGGCCCGGCGTGGGGCGCGACTTCCGGGGCGGCGGTTGCATCAGATTCTAGGAAGTGTCTGTAGCCGCAGCTGCGGGTCCGGGATTCCCAGCCATGGCAGATTCCTCCGGGCAGCAGGGTGAGCGGCGCGGCCGGGCCAGGCTGAGGGCGGCTGGGGGCCTGACTGGGCGCTGGGTGCTCGGCTCGAAGGGCAGCGAGTCCTTATGTCTGAGGGGCCCGGGTGCATGGGTTCTGAGGGGCAGCTGTGTCCGTGGTCTGAGGGGCGGCAGTGCCCGAGGTCTGAGGGGTGTCAGTGCGCGGGGTCTGAGGGACGGCACGTCCTTGGGTCCGAGGGGCGGGGGTGCTCGGGGTCTGAGGGGTGTCAGTGCCCGGGGTCTGAGGGACGGCGGGTCCTGAGGTTCGAGGGGTGGCACGTCCTAGGATCCGAAGGACAACGGGTGCCCGGCTCCGAGGGACGGCCACTGGGACCCCTGGGACTCCTGCGTGAGGGTCTGCCAGACCCGTGGCTGGAGCACAGACCCCGCGGGGACCCGAGCCCGAGCGGGGCGCTGCCCAGACCACCCAGCCTCAGTTTCCTCACTTGGTTCCTGCCGAGGTCCCCTTGCATCCTCACCCCGGGAGGTGGCCCTACATCAAACAGCCTTTCCCCAGCCGGTGCCTGGGCGGGCCCTCGCTCCCTCTTGCCCCAGCTGGCCTTTAGGGGGGAGACAAAGGCCCAAGGGTTGTTTTGGTTTTCTGCCCAGACCTGGCAGCTTCCGGGAGGTGGGCGGAGGGCACCTGAGGTTGGTATTTAGGGAAATGGGGCAGAGGACGCCAGGGGTACGCGTACACACAGTAAAAGGGCTTGGGGCTTTACGAAGGCTTTCATCTCCAGTTCCGCAGGCAGTCCACTGCAAGCTGATTGTCAGAGCATTACTGCCCCATTTTATTGCCAACCCGGGAGGTTCCCCAGGGACACAGCTGTGTCAGCTCCCCCAGTCACTCATGTCACCAGCGGGTAGACCTTGAGAGACCAGTGGGTTCTTCTCTCACTGTCCCTCCAGCAAGATTTTAGGTGCTGGAAAGGCAAGAGACTGAATCAGAAAGCCCAGATTCCTAACAGTCTGGAGCAGCCTTTCCAAAGGAAACATTCTCAGTATCTAGTTTTTAATTCTTTTGGCTGGCAAAAATTAGATGCAAGTTCTTGTAAGACACCTCCAGCCCCCACCCTCAGTTTAGATCGTACCAAGATTTCCTTAGCATCTGGTGGTGCCCTTTGCCCCTGAGGGTTTATTGGGTTATAGATAGGTAGTTATGACAACCCGAGTAATCTGGCGGCATGGGGACACCCAGATGACAGGGCTACACTCTTGTGCCAAGTGGCAGGAGGTGGTCACCTTCCAGGCACGCCGCCTACCACCCTACCTGTGTGCCTGGATTCCAGCACCATCTCCACCCGTCCCAGAGCCAAGCGGCCCTCAGAAGTCACCCAGATTCCTGTAAAACAGCATCATAGTTAACAGCCCCAACTCTGGAACCACCCTGGAAGGGCCAGGGTTCCAACTCTGCCTCCCGCCCCACAGCAAACCATGCGTAATGGCTCCTACCTTGGAGCATGGAGTGTAAATGAATTAATAGATGGGAAGGACGTAGAACAGTGCCTGGCACTCAATTAAGTGCTGTGTCTGTGCTGAAAGTTAGGGCCTGTTTGTTTTCAAACTAAAAATGTGTTTTTGTTCATTTGTGAACGTAAATGACGTATTAGTAGTGTTTTGTATCTTGTTTTTAAAAATAGCTTTAGAATTTTAGGTTTTCAGAGCCTTGTAAGAATTGCCTTCTTTTTGGAGCTTGCCATATAGGTTGGGATTGCCCTCTCCGGGCTGTCAGGGCAGCAGGCAGATTGCCCAGTCCTCAGCCTGCGCACAGCATCTCCAGCCAGTGTTCTTCTGCCCCAGGGCATGGCCCACCTGCCTTTACTATCGCCTCCTCCCATCACACACACACTCTCAAAGATGAGAACAGGAAATAAAATCCAATCGTAGGCCAGGCGCAGTGGCTCACACCTGTAATCCCAGCACTTTGGGAGGCCGAGGCAGGCAGATCACGAGGTCAGGAGATCGAGACCATGGTGAAACCCTGTCTCTACTAAAAATAAAAAAAAAATTAGCCGGGCGCGGTGGCGGGCGCCTGACTACTCGGAGGCTGAGGCCGGAGAATGATGTGAACCCAGGAGGCGGAGCTTGCAGTGAGTCGAGATTGCGCCACTGCACTCCAGCCTGGGCGACAGAGCGAGACTCCGTCTCAAAAAAAAAAAAATCCAATCGTAAATGCTTTCAGTGACCATCTTCCCAGATTTTTCAAGGAGGCCATCATTTTTGTACCATCTTCCCTAAGTTGACTCAGAAGGTCTATTTCTCTTTCCTGATCTCACTGGGTGTACAGCTTTTCCTTTGCGGTCTTGAAGGTGCATAGGCTTGGTGCCTGTCCAAGAGCCTGATTATTTCAGAAGGATGAGTTTCATTTCTGAGGTTTCTGGGGTAGATGGAGCCTACCTCAGGGCCTTTCCGCACAGACTTGGGATACCACTTGGTCGGCTGCTCATCAGGTCAGACTTATAGTTTAATTTTTATACAGTTTAATTCAAGGGTCTTCATAATAACACAGCCAGCATTTTTTCAGCATGAGTCTGTGCCAGGCACTGCTCTAAATGCTTTGCATCTGTTATCTCCTGCCACCCTTGGGGGAACCCCTTTGAGGAAGATCCTGCCGGCATCTTGTACAGATGAGAATCCTGAGGTTCAGAGAAGTCAAGCAATCTGTCCACCATCACGACTAGCCAGAGGCACAGCCAGGCTCCCAACCTGGGCAGCCTGACTCAATAGGGACCTTAACTGCTGTGCTGTGCTGCCTTTGATGATTCTCTTCAGACTCACAATAGCTCAACCCAGTGAGTTAAGGCAGACGAGAATAAAGCTGATGCCCTTCGATGTTTTCCCCAGAGCCACATGAAATGTTTGCTCCTCTATGAACTCAGGTACCATGTTTCCGGGTATTTGAAGAGCCTTAGGCAGTACCCTTGGGGTGGAGATTAAGCCATTTCCAGTGTGGGTGCTCTGGGTGGCAATATTGCTGTCTGATCACCCCACAGGCTCATTGTGAGGGATGTTGGATGCCCCTAATAATGAATAACCTCCCTCCCAGTAAGGAGGAAGATGGAGATGCTGTTCTTGGGGGTGAGAGAGGATGCCTGGGGGCCACCTTTGTGAACGAGTTGCAGCTGGACCTCCGGGGCTGGTGATCAGGACGGGGAGTGGGAGGGGAAGCCCTCACCTGTGGGAGGAGGCGCTGGTCTCTGGGAGTGGGCAGTGTTGGCTCCTAGTTGGTGAGAGCAGGGGTGCATGCCCCTCTCTCCTCCCCACGATTCATGTCTGGGGGCTTTTTCCGGTCCCCTTTCTGAACACTTCTTGGGCAGGGAGTGGATCACTGGGAAGGACCCAAGAGGAGCAGCTGTAGAGGGTGGGACCAGGGGAACATTTGCAGAAAGGGAGTAACCTGCAGGGTGAGATGTTGCCTGGACACCCACAAGATGAGGACCCTGGTGGGACCTTTGAAGTAGCAGGGTCAGAGGGCAAAGGGTCAGGGTGAGTGAGGGGTGCAGACCCCCACCAAACCGGGGCACTTATTAGGAGCTCAGACCTGCTGTAAAGGGGTCTGCATTTTAGCAAGCTTTCCACCCATGGGGAAGCTGGTTTAAACCTCACTTGCTGGGCCCACCCCAGAGATTCTGATTTGGCAGGTCTCTGGTGAGCCCAAGAATGTGACTTCTCTGGATCCCCCAGGTTCTGCTGCTGAAGGCACACCAGGGCCATGCCTGGAGTGGACCTGGGAGAGCCTCAAGGGAACGCAGGAAGAGAAACAGGGCAGCCGGGAGAGGTTTAAATGCTTACAGGAGGCCAGGCATGGTGGCTCACGTCTGTAATCCCAGCACTTTGGGAGGCCGAGGTGGGTGGATCACCTGAGGTCAGGAGTTCTAGACCAGCCTGGCCAATATGTAGAAACCCCGTCTCTACTAAAAATACAAAAATTAGCTGGGCATGGTGGCGGGCACCTGTAATCCCAGCTACTCGGGAGGCTGAGGCAGGAGAATCGCTTGAACCCGGGAGGCAGAGTTTGCAGTGAGCCGAGATCATGCCACTGCACTCCAGCCTGGGTGACGAGCGAGACTCCGTCTCAAAAAATAAAATAAAATAAAATAAAATAAAAATAAATAAAAAATAAATGCTGATAGGAAAGAGCCAGAGAGAGGGAGAGGTCGCACTGCCACAGTTGTTTGACGTGTCAGGGTTGTTGTTCATTTGGTGTGGCTTTGTTTTGGTATCTGTGCTGAGCAATTGCTTGGTACTTGCATGTGATTTCAATAAATGTTCTGTAGAGACTCCACCTTTGTAGCCGGTGACAACCACCATCCACCTTTGGGACATTCCCATGTCCCTCAATGTGTTGATGAACTGAACTGCAAGGTCATCCGGTGGTGGACATTCCTTCTCATGGGGGCAGAGCAGGAGTTTCGGCACGGAGCGTGCAGGCTCTACGATGAGGGCCAGTGTCGAGGAACAGGTCCCTGGGAGGTTTTCAGTCTGCTCAGAAGTGTTCTCATCTGATCTCAGCATCAGACTGATCCACAGCCTGGCTCAAACCCATGACCACTTGAAAGCTGACCTATTTTTATTTGTTTCCTCGAGACACACTTAAATGCAGCTACCACGATTACCCAAATGACTGTCTGCGTCCATCTCATGGAAGCCTGTCATTCTCCTGTGCTTCCCTGGGCACCAGCACCTTTCTGCTCTGAGAAGATCCTTCCCAAGCATGGTCTTGGTTCCCTTTTGATGAGCCGTCTAGCCTGCTCTAGACGGTACATTTAAGAATTATGTGATCCAAGATCAAGGCAGATTTGGTAATAAACTTTTAAAATAATAAAATTAATTAAATAAAAATGGGTGTGTGAGCCCTAGGAAAACTCCAGGAAATTCTCTGTGTGTAGCATGCGGCTATTACAATAACATTAATAATACCAGAGCGATTATGATAATAATGATGGCAAATGGGGCCCCTGGCTCTGTGCCAGGCAGCTTTTAAACATTTTACAAGTGTCATTTGACTTAATGGCCTGCAGCTTTACAGGGCTGATGTTATGAGCGTGTTTTACCGTGAGGAAATGCCGCCGTGTGTGTGAGTGTAGGTACTCAGCCCTGGAGGGCGTCGGGGCCGCCCCTCAGGTCTCCAGAGAGCGGATACACAGCGGCTTCAGTTCCCAGACTGCTTCCTCAGCGCTCAAAAGCCACTGCAGCCGCCGTTAGGACATTTGATGTTTTTCTCATTTTAAAAATAGCAGATGCTTACTGCAGAAAATGTGAGCAATGAAGAAAAAGAGGGAATTAAAATCACCTGTCACCCCCTCTCATCAACCATCGTCACTGTCAGTGTTCGGGCTGTTGCTGGTGGTCTCTCCATCAGAATCCATTCTGAGTGTGAGAGGCACGTGACTGTCAGCTCGCTGTCTCAGCTGGAAGCCGATGCTGTGTCACTGTTTCTCAGGGTGCTGCTGTTGTCTCTTCTTCCCTCTTGCTGTCGTGGAGTCCAACCCAGGCATGAGCAGTTGCAGAAGACCAAGGCTCAGGGAGGGGACAGGGGAGAGGAATGTGGAGGGTCAGCATTGGGGAACAGCTTTCGAACTGTGGCCTGATCTGTGAGGGGACAAGGCTCACCTTCCAGCTCTGTCCATCCCTCTGGCAAGTTCTCTAATCTTTAGTGAACTTCATTTTCTTTATCATGAAATGGGACCCCTGCTGGCAGCTGCAGAGCTGTTGGAGGGAAATATCCAGCTAAACTAGAAGTCTCCTGGCTGGAAGTTGCTCTGCAAAAGAGTTTGTAGGAGTCTGATATTTATTTAGAGTTAGTTTTCCAGGACCTCACTTTGGGGTGCTTGGAGCTGCCTCTGTGGGTCTGCCTCCGCCTCCGTCCTCCCTGATCTCATCTCCAGCTGGGAGGAGAGCGCATCTCCATGTAAGCAGCCTCCTTCTTCTCAGAGGGAAGCCCCGGCAGTGTCAGTGCTGACACTGGGCCTGTAACTGTGGGGATGGGGCAGGTGAGAGGCCCTCAAGAGCTCCCGGCACCCCCCAGGCGCCTTCAGTGGGGCCAGAGTCCACCCCTGTCTTTCTCTTTCCTTGGACTGTTGGAAGAGCTGAAGTGAAAAGTGACTTGTTCTTATGTCTCTGGTATCTTTGGGCAGCAGGGCTCCTGCTAAGCAAGCCCCTGGGGGCTCAAAGCAGCAGAGGCTGTGGCCGGTTCCCAGCACTGGTCCTTGTGCAGGTGTCTTTCTGAGAAGGGTGCATGAGGCCCAGTGCCACAGGGGAACGCCAGCCCACCACTGGTGGCATGCACTCTGTGGTGCCATTCTGCTGTCCACTCATCTGTGCCCTAGGCAACTTTAGCTGATATCTGGAATGTCACACGCTCAGTTGTAGATGCTGAAGATCGAGCAGTGAATAAGGTAGATGGAGCGGTGGGGCAGATGGTGAAGGAAAGAAATGCGGGCACGTGTTAGACAGGGGTGCTGCGGAGAGAAAGAGCAGCCAGGCTCAGGGTCTAGAGGCGGGCGCCATATGGACAGGGAGTCCTTGAAGACCTGGTGGGGAAGCCGGCACCTAGCAGAGCTGTGAAGGATTAAGGGGCCTGCTGGTATCTGGGGAGCATGCCCCCTAAAAAAAGAGCAGCAGGTGGAGGGGCCATGTGACTAGGGTATTGTGAGTCAGGTGGGGGCCCATGGCCAGCATGAGGACAGGCTTGTGCTGCTGGCGAGGTGGGTGTTGGGGGCAGTAATGTGAACGTGCGCTTTTCAGCAGGGCCGCTGGAGGCCTGTGGCTGTGAGGGGAGAGCCATGCTGGCTACAGGTGGCGGTGTCTGGCTTGCAGGAATCCAGGTGACAAGGGCTGGCTCTCAAGTCCAAAGCTTCTTTTGAGTTAGAGGCCCCGGATCCTCCCGTGGGTTGGCTATGGGTGCTCCTAAGGATAACTTGTAAAGGGGTGTGATTCCAGTTTTGGCTAGGGAGTGTGCCCAGAGCTTTGCTTCTGGGTGCCTGTGGCTGCTTGGAGTGGGTGGCCATCTTATTGGGGTCAGATGGGACAGTGGCTCCGTGCAGTGGGAAGGAAGCAGGGCAAGTTAGAGGGACGCTGCACTCGTCATCCCACCAGCGAGAGTCATCCCAGGAAGCCATTTTAAGCCCTGCATCCATGTTGAGACTTCAGGAAGGCTCTCCCACAGAGTGCCCACCCCTTTACTGCAGAGAAGAGGTGGCTTCAGGACATCTTCTCCGGCAGCCACGGAGGCTGGGCCTTGGGGCATCACGTGGCTCCGTAGGCTCCCTGGCGGGTGAAGAGCTCGGCCCAGTGGGGCATTCTTGCTGCTGCAGCTGTGCACTCCATTCTGACTCATCTTTGCTGACACCACAGCGTTCCGGGAAGTGCCAGTTATTGGCCTGACACGAAGGGCTTTCCCCACACTAAGCAAAGCAGAGAAAGGCATTCGTGTGCAGTTACCCCCGCAACACACTCTGCTCTCTGTTTTCAGAAGCTGTGTGGGCTTGGTTGGGGTGACTCTGGCTCTGTGCCAGGAGTAAACACGGAGATGGGGGACAAAAGGGAATGGGAGAAGGCAGAGAGGGGGACTGTGATGTGCAGGGCATCCACGCCCCATGGCTGTGATGTCGGGCAGCCTGTGCCCAGGAAGGGCAGCTGGCACAGCAAGGGGTGGCCAGACATGTGCATTCCTACCCTGAGTGAACTCTGGGGTGAGAGGGTATCTGTCTGGAAGGAGCAAGCATCGGTCCTTTTCCCACAGTCCTCTCAGCAAACACAATCACTGGTTCAAGGTTTGGATGCACCTGTGCTCATGGGCTCAGGGACCAGACTCCCTCCTCTGGCCAGAAGCCTGGCACCATCTGCCTGGTCTGCCCCCACTTTAGGGACGTGGGCTGTGGACACAGCACCTGGTCCACAACTCCCGTGTCAGAGGTAATTGCAGGGAGATATTCCTTAGAATGGTGAGACAGATTTTATTCCCTAATTCCTGACAGTAGGGGAAGGAGCTGCGTTCCCTGCCAGTTCAGCAGAGGTGACTTTTGGATTTAAAGGGAGTATGATTAGCTGGGCCTGGTGGCATGTGCCTGTAGTCCCAGCTACTCAGGAGGCTTAGGCTGGAGGGTCACTTGAGCCCAGCATTTTGAGGCTGTGATGAGCCTTGATTGCACCACTGCACTCCAGCCTGGGCAGTAGAGTCAGACGCTGTCTCTAAAAAATAAAAATAAATAAATAAATAAATAAATAAAAATAAAAAAGGGAGAATGGAGGAGGAGAAGGAGGGTGAGCAGGGGCTCAAATGAAAAAAGCCATGGAGCTGGTCAGCGTGCATGTGTCAAGGCGGCCTTGTCTACAGCTGGCAGTGGTGAAAGTTAGGGTTCTGCTCCTCCTCCCAATGGTGACATGCGGAACAGTGGCTCTTGGGTCCTTGAGTGACACACCTGAGTGGTGGAGGTGCACGCTTACTGCTTTGAAGGCTCTAAGGAGGGAGGCTGGGGCCTGGGGCCAGGGGCCAGGGGCCAGGTGAGGCTGGCTGGAGCAGCCACATTTTCCTGGCAGCCCTGTGCTTTCTTGGGCTGGTCCTTTGAGGGGGCCCAGTCCTCCTGAGGCTGTGGCCTTGACCTGCAGAAGCCATGCTAGAGTCCAGCTGTCTCTTGGTGCAGGGGTGTAAATGGCACACATTGTCAATGTGGGGTTCTCCTACCCCTCATCCCCCAGCACCCAGAGGGAGAGGGTGCCGCTGCGGCAAAGAGGCTTGAAGTTGGTTTGGTTTGGGGGATTTCTGTTGTGAGTTTTTAAAAATTGAGGTTAAATTCTCGTAACATACTTAGCTGACAGGAGGGATACCATGATCATGTAGGTAGCTTTCCCAAGGCGAGGCTTATCCGTTATACTCCAGATGTGCTGACCCCTATGATTTCCCCAAATGTCAGAAACTGAACTGTGTAATTTGTGATGGTGTGGAACTGTGTTCCTGCTTTCCCTGATAGAAAACATAAATTAAAAATGTAAAAACTAAGTAATTTATATGACATAAAGTGAAAAGTACACAATTCTGTGGTATTTGGCGCATGATGTTGTCATGCAGCCTTCATTTCTGTCTAGTTCCAAAGCATTTTCATCACCCAAGAGGGAACCCATCCATACCTGTCAGGCAGTCACTCCCTCGCCCCCAGTCGAAGCGCTGCCCCTGTGCCTTTGCCTGTTCTGGATGTTTGGCGTCCAGGGAAGGGCTTGAACACCTTTTTCCTTGGTTCTGTGCCATCCCCTAGTCCCTGTCTTTCTGGCGGCCTCTGGGCTGCCCGCCTGCCTGCCTGACACCATGTGCCCTCTGTCTTTGCAGCTCCTGACTACAGGTCCATTCTGAGCATTAGTGACGAGGCAGCCAGGGCACAAGCCCTGAACGAGCACCTCAGCACGCGTAGCTATGTCCAGGGGTACTCACTGTCCCAGGCAGACGTGGACGCGTTCAGGCAGCTCTCGGCCCCGCCCGCTGACCCCCAGCTCTTCCACGTGGCTCGGTGGTTCAGGCACATAGAAGCGCTCCTGGGTAGCCCCTGTGGCAAAGGCCAGCCCTGCAGGCTCCAAGCAAGTGAGTAACAGAGTGGGTTCCCTGGCCATTAGAACCTCTCTCCCAAGGTCAAGGGCTTTCTCCATCACCCTGGTGCTTACCTGGCGTCTGCGGATACCCCAGAGGGAGCCTCGCCCAAGTGTGTCTCGAGCAAGTGGCCTGGATGGGCAGATGCAGCGCTTGCTGGATGGAGGTTGGGATAAAATCACGCCCTATGGAGTTGGTTATTCAGGAGCAGTATGTTCACATCACTGGTGTGGCAGGATTGCCTGAGGTGGTGGGGTGCAGAGCCGCTGCGGCTCTGGGGTTCCACGTAGCATGCCCAGGCCACGGGCCCTAGCCTTGTGATTTTTAGCTAAGGCTGTGCCTGGCTCTGGTTGACTCAGTTCTTTCTCTTTATTTCTTCCATAAGATTGTAGCGTGTCTATCCTCCAGCTTTAGAATTGTTGAATCCTAAAGTATTAATTGGCATTGAACTTTTTTTTTTTTTTTTTTTTGAGATGGAGTCTCGCTCTATCGCCCAGGCTGGAGTGCAGTGGTGCGATCTCCACTCACTGCAAGCTCCACCTCCCGGGTTCATGCCATTCTCCTGCCTCAGCCTCCCGAGTAGCTGGGACTGTAGGCGCCCACCACCATGCCTGGCTAATTTTTTGTATTTTTAGTAGAGACGGGGTTTCACCGTGTTAGCCAGGATGGTCTCGATCTCCCGACCTCGTGATCCACCCGCCTCGGCCTCCCAAAGTGCTGGGATTACAAGTGTGAACCACCGCGCCCGGCCGGCATTGAACTTTTTAAAAATCAGAAATAAGTCATTTTTTCTCTTTGAGATGATGTCTGTCCCGTAGCTCCAGCCTGTTGGTGCTGGTTGTGTCTGTGGAACGTGCCTGTGGTTATTTGCGGGAGATACTCCTGGGATGCCTGCATGGCTTTGTCACTCTGTGGCAAATCTGAGGGGGCTCCATGCCATCATCACTGAAGTATGCCTTTGGGTGGCCCAGCTCCTCCTGTGGCTGTGGGCACTCCTCCACCTTCATGTGGGGGCAGGTTTAGTGCTGTTTTCTGGTGGTCCTGGCTGTAGCTGGCAGCCTTCTGGGGGCTTCTCCAGACTCCGTTGGGGCCTGGGATTGGGAACATGCCCCCCCGCCTCTGCCGTGGGTCAGGCCTCTGCTAGATCACTGTTTTAACCAGGCTGGAGGTGGGGATGTCACATCTCCTGTGGGTCGTGTTTTCTGGATAACTCTGCAGCAGACACTCCTTCCCCAGCGTAGGGCAGAGGCCGTTGCTGTGCAGGTCACGTCCTTCCCCATGTAGCCGTTCCTGCCTGAGCCTCCAGCGCGGTCACCCAAGTGACACCTGTGCTGTGAGGTGCCTTCTCTCCAAGGGCTCGGGTGTCAGGTTGTTCCCCCTGCCATGTGCCATTCCAAGACACAGCCAGAGGGGGGCAGGATTAGGGAGGGTGAAGCGGGCCTGGTACGTCCAGCTCAGCAGTGGCCTGTCCAGGCTTCCCTCATAGGGACTTGTTGAAAGAGCGGCACAGACGCAAGCCTCCATCCACACTGTGAGAGGAAGGAAGGGTTTTGCTCTTGCAAACACTTTTTAACCTACAGAGAGGAAGCAGAGCCACGTTGCTGTGTAACAGAATGGACCATGGATAGCACTAATGGAGTTGCTGTGCCCTCCCCAGGTTCCAAATCCCCTCATCACCCAGGCTGCGCAAGAGGCTGCCAGGGTCTGCTTGTGCCAGGAATGATGGGCATTATGTCAGGCGACCCTCACTCAAGCTTGCTGTACACTGAGCAGGGGCTGAAGGGGGAGGTGGGAGCTGGAGTCTGGGACTGCTAGAGCATCCAGTGACCTCGAGTGGGTCCAAGGCGCCATGGAGTCCAGTGTAGTGTCCTCGCCCATGTCCCTGGGATGACAGTAGCTGTGGATCTCCCTCCATGTAGCTGTGACAATCAGAGCTGCTTCCCCCACTGAGTGGGAACGCCCTCTCTTTCCATGGCTCATACTCCCCAAGCATGCACCTTCCTTGCTGGCACAGTGGGCCATGTGCCCCTCCTCCTGCTCGCCCTTCCACCTCTGTTGGACATCCCAGCAGCATCAGATGTGCCTGTGTCTGGCCCTCAGTGTGCCCGCCTGTTACCAGCTCCTCCCATGTGCCTTCTGTGTCCTGTCTCCAAGATCCTCTCAGACATGGAAAGACTCTGCTTGGCCCGGCGCGGTGGCTCACTCCTGTAATCCCAGCACTTTGGGAGGCCAAGGCGGGCGGATCACGAGGTCAGGAGATTGAGACCATGCTCGCTAAGTCGGTGACAACCTGTCTCTACTAAAAATACAAAAAATTAGCCGGGCGTGATGGCGGGTGCCTATAGTCCCAGCTACTCGGGAGGCTGAGGCAGGAGAATGGCCTGAACCTGGGAGGCGGAGCTTGCAGTGAGCCGAGATCGTGCCACTGTACTCCAGCCTAGGTGACAGAGCGAGACTCCGTCTCGGGGTGGGGGGTTGGAGATAATGGAAAGGCTCTGCTTAACCCCCAGGTCCCTACTCCTGTGAAGCCAGACCCCTTCCTGGTGGATCCCTTCCCTGGATCACCAGCCTCCAGCACGGAGGTCCACTGGATATCAGGACGTTGAACTTGTTGAGCACTTCTCACCCGCAGTGGAGGCTCAGCCCTTCCAGCCCGCCGGCCTCTCCCTACCCCCCGGGAAGGAGTGTCAGCTATACCCTTCACTGAGGAGGGTGTGGGTCTGTCAGACGCCGAGGCCATAGTTTCAGGAACATGAAGGTTTGGTGTTGCTCTCACCCCTCCGATGGAGGACCCTTAACTTCCTGATGAAGGATTTCTCTCCATGAACCCCTTGCTTGGGTCCTATCTGCATCTGGTGTGTTGTAGGCAGACTGCTTGCCACTTCCTGGCTTCCCTCTCCATCATTTTATCTTCAGCCTCCCACATCCCTGTTTCAAAGCCATGTCTCTCATGAGCGGTTCATAGTTGGTCTGTTGTTGGATCACTCAGGTCAGGGTGGGACTCTGGAATCAACGAATGTGTGTTCATTTTTTCCAAAGAAACAAAAGCACAGGCCAGGCGCGGTGGCTCACACCTGTAATCCCAGCACTTTAGGAGGCCAAGGCAGGCAGATCACAAGGTCAGGAGTTTGAGACCAGCCTGGCCAATATGGTGAAACCCCATCCCTACTAAAGATACAAAAATTGGTGGGGCGTGGTGGCAGGTGCCTGTAGTCCTAGCTACTTGGGAGGCTGAGGCAGGATAATCGCTTGAACTCAGGAGGCGGAGGTTGCAGTGAGTTGAGATTGCGCCAGTGCACTTCAGCCAGATTTTATCTAAAAAAAAAAAAGGGGGGCAAGGGTCCTTATGTGATATCTCTCAGTTCTTCCCTTTTGCAAATCTGAATTTGTATATCTGGGCCTGGTAACCCGTTTTCCTGGGGAGCCCATCGCCAGCTGTGTGGAGATAGCAGCCTTAGGGGAGCAGGAATGCTGGCTGTGGCCAGGCTTCTTGGACAAGCTTTCAGTCCTGTGAACCCTGGGCCGTTTCCTCATAGCAGGGTGAGTGTGATGATCCCGTGGCCTCATGGCTGTGTTTCTGGGCAGCGTCTCCAGCTGTCTGAGATGGCAGCAGTGTCCTATTGAAGGAGCTCCAGGGTCTTTGTGAGGGAGGAGAGTGATGGGATCCTAGAGTGGCCGGTTGAATGCCTCCAGGCATTGAGTGAGATTCTCCTTCAAGGGCTTGTGAGGCATTTAAAGTACACTGAGGCCGAGCTGCACTTGGCCTCAATAAGCACATGATGTTTGATTAAGATTGGAGATTGCCTACGCTTTAGAATCTGACCACCTGTGACCACTGGAACTCACCTAGAGTGGGGGCTCCTGCTGAGCACTGGCCCTCTCTCCGTCTCCTGCCCCATCTCCCACCTGCCCACAGTACCCCCACTGCCCAGACACAGTGCAGCCGCCCTCCTTCCTCCCCTTGGCCTGTTAGTCATCAGCGTCTGCCGTCCTGGCTCGTGTGGCCTGAGCTAGAGCCGGGAGGCCAAGAGATGGCTGGTGCCCAGGACCAACTTCCCCGTGATCAGTGTGTGGCAATTTGCTGGCCATGCTGCCAGACCCTCTGGCACAGAAACCAGGGACAGGAGGAGGCAGGATGCGAGCACCCTGGTGAGCTGCCAGGCGGCCTGCTGGGGTGGGCACAGGTCAGTGCTAGGAGTATCCATCTCGTAGGCCTTCCTGGTGCCACTCAGCAGAGACATGTGAAGCCCTTCCCAGGGCCAGGCACCAGCTGGGGTCAGAGGTGCCCAGCAGAGCATAACGCAGAACCTGGACCTGTGGGCGACGACTGTGGAGAAAAGTGGGGATCTGCTGAGGGGGCAGGGCAGGCAGGAGCCGGCTGAGGGCAACGGGAAAGTCACCAGGTACCGTCCTCCACACCTAGCTTTGCCAGATTGACGTTTCAGAGGGTGAATAATCACCCTGTGGCTGCCCCTGGCCCCAGGGACAGAGCTCTGCCCCTTCAGGGATCTCAGATGCAGGTTGTGTAAGGACAGCCTTGTGCCAGGTTGGAAGCCAGGCCTGGAAGCAGTGTGCTCAGAGCAGCCCAGGCGGCCCACAGGCGAGTGGAGGGGAACAACTAGGGAAGTCTGGCCAGGAGGAGGTGACTGCACTGAGGGGCTGGCTGGCAGGGGTCTCTGCCTGGAGGCTGAGAGGAGCTCAGGTTATTTATGAAGGCAGTATAGACCTATGTGGAGCTTGAAGCCCAGTGTCTGGATCAGAGTCTGCTGGGCTGTGGGCCCAGAGCTGGGAGCCAGCCACTCCTGCAGTGTCCGAAGTGATGAGGAGGGGCTGGGCTGGAGCCAGTCTTGCCTGCTGGCCGTGGCCACAGGGGGTCCTTTCTGCTCTGACTCCTGGCTTCTGCTGCCAGGGCTTGGAGGCTTGGAGGTGGCCTCTGTCCCAACAAGAGTCCTCAAAATCCTCAGTTTGTCCAGGTGAGGGATCCTGGGTGGGGGAGGTTCCCAGGGCTGCGGCAGAACAGACCATACCTTGTCAGTGTCAAGCCCTGACTGACCCAGGAGTGCCAGGTGGTGGTGTGCTCACTGCCAGAAAGGGGCCAGTATTTGAAGAGCAGTGGAATGTGCTGGGCACGCTGTGCAGGCATTCCTCCGCCCTCCTGGGGCTCTAAGGGTGTTATTGGGGTATGCTGCCATACAGAATATTAGAAAGCAAAAGAAAGACGCGGTTGTCGGGAGGCAGAGCTTGCAGTGAGCCGAGATCACACCACTGCACTCTGGCCTGGGCGACAGAGCGAGACTCCGTCTAAAAAAAAAAAAAGACGCAGTTGTCTTTGACCTGCGTAATGTTGACCGAGATTCGTGTGGTTTCACATTGTTTAAATTTCATGGAAAACTATGGTCCCGTTGTAAAAACCAAGTCTCCAGGTGAAGAGGCGACTTGCACTTCCTGGTGCTGCCCCTGGACCCTGATCCTGCTCTCTCTGCCTCCCAGGCAAAGGCCGGCGTGTGCAGCCCCAGTGGTCCCCTCCTGCTGGGACCCAGCCATGCAGACTCCACCTTTACAACAGCCTCACCAGGAACAAGGTAAGGAGAACACAGATGCCGTGGCACACGCACACAATGGGGAGGCAGGAGGCAGGACAGCCCATGTGCCTTGTCGCACAACAGACTTCTCTGTTCCTTGTGTTGGGATCTGGAGTTCCATAAATCCAGGTTTAAGATCCTTCAGTCACTTCCATGTTATAGTCTCTGTGGCCCAGAGGCAGAGCTGTCCTCTGAAACCCAGACACGTGAAGTATCATGCCTCATGTGGAAGCCTGCCCATGACTTCTGGGCATGGATCACCCTGGCTTGTCTCTCGGACTCTGCCCAACCATGAGTACTTGAGGTCATCCACAGCCACGCCTTTCAGGAGGACGCGTGGTTGCAGCAGGTGGCACTGTATGAGCCAAGCAGGATGGACAAAACGGCAAACTGGCTGGATGTTGTTGGGAGCACAGCAGGTTTTGAGAAGAAGGCAGGATTGGTTCCTAACAGAATGGGGTTTGCATGGTTTGCTTGGCTCAGGGCATGGCCAGTGACTCCAGTGATTTCAGACCAGGCTCTGGGCGGGGCTGCTTGGATTTCCATCAGGGAGCATGTTTGGCAGACAGAGAGTCAGGTGTGAGGGAGTTCATGGCCTTCCTTGGGAAACTGGTTGAGGATGATGCCCCCAGAGAGGTCTGAGGGTGCTGGGATGTTGGGGAGTGGTGCCAGAGCAGCACCACGATTCAGGGGTCCTGGCCTCCAAGCCGCGCTCCCCCAACAGGGACTGACCCTGGCCAAGTGTTGTCTGCCTCAGTTTCTTCATCCGTAAAAAGAAAATGACATAACCTACGTCCTAGAGTGTACTGCATATTGAATATTTAGCTCAGGGCCTGGCACATGGTAGGTACTCAGTAAATATTAGCTGTGTTATTGTTAAATAAGCAGCATTTCAACAATCAATAAAATCATTGATTCCCTTTATCGCCTCCCTCCATAGATGAGTAGAACCCCAGGGAGGAAGAGGCCCCACCCACCCAGGGCTCAGTTGGTGGGAGGTGCCGTACATCTCACTGGGCTCCCACTGAGACTGTGACTTTTCACAGTAAAACAAAATGGTCTCTGTTGAATTGTTTACACTAAACACAAACCACACTGTGATGTTTGTTGCTGTTTTTGGTAATCCTGTGCAGTGTTTCTTGCATTTCTTGTGATCGTCATTCCTTCATTCCTAACAAAGGAAGTGTTCATACCTCAAGATGGGAAAAAGGTGACGTGGTATTGCTGTGGGCCAACCGTCTATGACGCATCTCACATGGGGCACGCCAGGTAGGTCCACCGCGGGGTGTCCCTGCAGCTTCTGCAGTTGCACGCAGAAGTCAGAGCCATTGGGATCCACAGCAGCGATCTTAGGTCCACAAAGATCTTAGATCTGCTACAGAGACCTGAGATTTGAGGAATCAAGACTGAATTTCTTCTCTTATTTTTAAGATGAAAATTTTAATGCCATAAGTAATCTATATTCACTGCAGAAAGACTACAGATCACCAAAAAGAAAATGTCCATAGCCCCACTGCTAACATGCTGGACTCGACCTGGGCACTTTTTCTCACATACCTTAAAGTTTTCTCTCATCCCTCAAGCTCTCGTGGGGTCCCCAGATGCTGAGTTCCCGTGACACTCAGACCTGACAGGCCTGACGCTGGGTTGGCTGTGACCGCCCCCCGACCACTGGATGGTCATGGCTGTAGCTCCTGACGAGTAGCTGGCTGTTGGGGTAAATGCCACAGAGTCCTTTTATGTGTTCATGTTTTAGTTGCAGTGCCAAGGTCATGTATAGTCAACCCTTGAACAACCTGGAGGGTAGAGGGTGTGACCCTCTGCACAGTTGAAAATCCACACATAACTTTTGATTCCCCAAAAACTTCACCACTAAAATAGCCTCCTGTTGACCAATAGCATGCCAGTCAATGAACACATATTTTGTATATACATTACATACTGTATTCCTAATGATAAAGGAAGCCAGAGAAAAGAAAATATTATGAAGAAAATCATAAGGGAGAGGCAATATATTTACTATTCATTAGGTGGAAGTGGATCATTATAAAGGTCATCATCCTTGCCATCTTCACGTTGAGTAGACTGAGGAGGAGAAGGGGGGGTCTTGCTGTTTCAGGGATGGCAGAGAAAATCATATATAAATGCACTCATGCAGTTCAAACACGTGTTGTTGGAGGTTAAGCTATACATATCGTCTGGTGTGGAAATGTTTGTTTTTTCATTGCTTTAGGTCCTACATCTCTTTTGATATCTTGAGAAGAGTGTTGAAGGATTACTTCAAATTTGATGTCTTTTATTGCATGAACATTACGGATATTGATGACAAGGTAAAGGGAATTTGTAAGATTAAATTTTAAATGCAATTGGATGGTGTAAAAGAAGATAGAACTTTCGCATAAGTAAATAATGTAGGCTTGAGCTAGCTTGTGTTTTCACCTGATAAACATCATTTTAATCCCCTCAGTGAGTTAATATTACCACTTCTGCTACTGATATGATCATTTCTATGATGTTCAGACACGGTTAGAAACCTGCATGTTGCTCAGGGGTCGGTAGCCCTGGGTGTTTTGCAGAAGGAAGGCCTCCCACAGCACGCACTTCGACATGTGGCTTGCAGGGGAAGCTGGGGCCCCCAGGGCTCATTTCATTAAGCGTCAGAAAGATCATGTTAGGCCTTGGGCACTACTTGGCAGGTGGGAGATGGAGGGTGGTGTTTCTATTTGATGATGGTGTGCACGTCCGGGGCCCACAGTTGTCTCCCACCACCCTCACCCTCACTTAGAGTTGGCCAAGGGAGAGAGTGGCCTGCTGCAGAGGGATGCATGTGGGATCCAAGCATCACTCCCCAATGTCTGCCTTCCCTCCCCAGATCATCAAGAGGGCCCGGCAGAACCACCTGTTCGAGCAGTATCGGGAGAAGAGGCCTGAAGCGGCACAGCTCTTGGAGGATGTTCAGGCCGCCCTGAAGGTGGGCCTCTTGCTGTCTGCTCTAGAAACCGAGCCCTTTGCTTTCTGTTCTCGGTCCTTTGTAGGCTACTGTCCCTAGGGTAGTGTCAGTCTCACAGGCTTTCACAAAGTGTATGTTACTCAAGCCAGTTCCGTCAGGGGCGCTGAAGTCTCCATAGGTAAGGTCCCCTGGCCTGTGACAAAGTCACCAGCAAAGATGTACTGGAGTGGAGTGGAGAGTAGGTGACATTCCTGCCACTTACAGGAAAACAACTGAATTCATCACAGTGCCACTAATTACACTTATAAAAATGCTTACCAATATTGCTGTCTAATTTTCAATGCCAAGGTTACAACTAAATCAGAAACTTCTGCCCAAGATACAAAAGCTATACTAAGCTTTTTAATTTGGTAATACTGTAAATTTTCAGAATCTTTTGAAGAAATTAGTTCTCTCTAGTATTTTCATTCTGAATAACCATCGTTATATACTTATTTTTATTACAATAGTAAGAATAGGTCATTTTACTCTCTACTAATTATCCTTAGTAATTACAGTAATCATTATGGATATGCTTATGGCATTTTATCTCTGGAATTAAAAACAGGAATAAAATTAGAGCTGAGCAATCTTTTAGGTCAGTGAGGCCTGAGTACCTTCCTGATGGATGTGTCTGCAGCACACCTCAGAACACACTGGGTGGCCTACTTTTCCTCATCCCCAGAACAGCCCTAGAAATACTGCTCTCACACCCAATTTGCATTGGAGAAACTGAGGCACAGAGAGGTTAGGTGCCCTGTCCAGGGTCACACGTGAGAGGGCAGAACCAGGAGCTCCTGAGCCGGGAGCTTCAGTCTCTCTTAGTTCCTTACTGCCTGGCCACTTGGGTTGCACACTTCTCTATCTCTATGGGGCCATGGGAAAAACCGTTCTGTTTTCTACCTGGAATCACCTTTATGAATTTAGGTTTTGCTGAGCAGTATCTAATAGATTTGACGTCTCTTTATGGTTGCAGCCATTTTCAGTAAAATTAAATGAGACCACGGATCCCGATAAAAAGCAGATGCTCGAACGGATTCAGCACGCAGTGCAGCTTGCCACAGAGCCACTTGAGAAAGCTGTGCAGTCCAGACTCACGGGAGAGGAAGTCAACAGCTGTGTGGAGGTGAGGCTTCACACATCTCCCAGACAGCCCGTTCGGGTCAAATGTCGGGCCGTGCATAGACTGATCTGTGTGCACGGATTGATTCCACAGATTGTCTTAGTGGAAGACACTCTGTGTCTCCAGTAGCTCCACTGTGGCAGGCGGCCCTGTTCTGCGGTGGCTGAGTCAGTGCCCCTCCCCTCCCACACCCCTTTGCCCCATTTCCTGGGTGCAGAGCCTGTGCCACTGGAAGGAGACTCGGGATCCACACCCTCCCACCACTTCCATCAGATAGGCAGGAGGTGCACTTGGAACGTGGGGAGGCAGCCTTCTGTCGAAGTGTTCCAAGATTCTCCAGCGGACTCTCCCCACACCAGCTGGAGAAGGAGGAGCAGGGATTAACATTGAATTGAGCATTGAGGCCTGTGGGTACCTACTGAGCTTGGGGCCTTCACGTTGACCAGCTCTCCTGCCCCTGCCAATATCTCCTTCAGACACAGGGCAGAGACCTGGGTGCAGAGGGGACCCTGCCCTCTTCCTCAGGCCTTTCCCTGTGGCTGGCGCCCTGGACACAGTCAGGAAGGCCTTCTCCTTTGTGCCAGCGCCGCCTGCTGGTCACCCTTTAAGAACTCGATGGAAAAGAGAAGAGACGGCTGCAGCTGTGTGTAGAAAAAGAGGCCCCACTGAGGCCGCAGCCCTGCCTTCCCTCACCACTGCCCTGGCCCCACCTCAGTGATGGGGCAGGGAGTCTGTGTCTGCCCTTCGCCAGCATGTTTCTTTCTAGTTTGGTCTCTTCTGTGTCCTGACTCAGCAGATCGCTTCGTTGCGCCTGTTTCCAAACTTCACGGAAACACGCCACGTGTATGTAGTCGTCAGTGTGCTTTCACCCAAGCTGTGCTTCTGGGACGACCCACATGTGGTCACTGTCACTGCCTCAGTGCCTGCCTGGGAGCCGAGCTGTTTGTCTGTTCTCCTGGGACGGGCAGTTAGGTTTCCTTCTTACCAACAATGCTGCTGTAATTTTTTTCCCAGTTGTTCCACTAATATTCTTTTTTTTTTTTTAATTGTGGTAAAACACACATCATAAGAAATTTACCATCTTAGCCATTTTTAAAAACTTTTTTTTTGTAGAGACAGGGTCTTTTTGTGTCTGGTTTATTTTGCCCAGCATAGTGTGCCCATGGTTGACCCATGCTGTAGTGCATGTCAGACTCTGCTTCCTTCCTATGGCTGAATGATACTCTGTTGTGTATAGATGGGCCACATTTTGCTCATCCTTTCACCTGCCCGTGGACACGTGGGTTGTTTCCACCTTTTGGAGATGCAAGTAATGCTGCTATAAACCTGGGTGTACAAATATCTGTTTGGGTTCCTGCTTTCACTTCTTTTGGGGATATACACGGAAGTGGAATTGCTGGGTCATGTGATGATTCTATTTTTGATATTCTGCGTAACCACCGTATTGTTTCTGCAGTGGCTGCACTATTACACATTCCCACCCATAGTGCATGGGGTTCTGTTTTCTCCACATCCTTGCCAAAGCTTGTTATTCTTCATTTTTTTCATCCCAGTAGGTGTGAGGTGGTATACTGTGGTTTTGGTTTGCATTTCCTTAATGGCTAGTGATGTGGAGTGTCTTTTGCTGAACTGTGAGTTGTTTTGTGTTGTCTCTAGGTGGACATTTGCAAGTTTCTTTAGGCCATATACCTGCAAGTGGAATCGCTGGGTTGTGTAGGATATATGTGAGTGACTGTCGGGGGTTCCCAACACTGCCCACACATTCTGGGGCCCTAGAAGGACTCATGAGACTCGGCATCGAGTTATCATCTTGTCTAAGGTTTGTAGCAGTGACACAGCGAGGAGCAGAAGCTCAGGCGGAGTCTTCAATCATCCATGGGCAGGCTGCTGAAGCTTCCTCCCTGCCTCCCATGAGGGGACACAGCACACTCTCCCCCACCAGGAAAAAAATGCAGCCACATGTGTGAAATGTCCCTCCCTAGGGAAGCCCATCACATAGGCACCCTCTGCCTGGCACGTGCCGCAATTCCTGACTCCCCAGGAGGAAAGCTGGTGTTCCACCTGCATAAGCCACAGTGTTTGTTCAACAGCCCACTGGGGGCTGCTGCCACAGAGCTGGGTTTCCCGGCCTCTTAGCACAGGGGACATTTCAGCTCCTGGATGCCAGCTAATGGCCAGCTCTGTAGGCAGGCCTTTCTCAGGTGGCAGACACAGACCTTCTAGGCTCACTTTTATCTTCATAGTAGCCATATCAGAAATGTCTATATGGCCAGGCACAGTGGCTCACACTTGTAATCCCAGCACTTTGGGAAGCCAGGGCAAGAGGATCACTTGAGCCCAGGAGCTCCAGACCAGCCTAGGCAAAATAGTGAGACTCTATTTCTACAAAACTTTTAAAAATTAGCCAAGCATGGTGATGCAAGCCTGTGGTTCCAGCTACTGGGGAGGCTGAGGTGAGACAATCACCTGAGCCCAGGAGTTTGAGGCTGCAGTGAGCCATGAACACACCACTGCACTCCAGCCTGGGCAGCAGAGTGAGACCCAGACTCTTAAAAAAAAAGAAAGAAATGTCTATGCAAATTTCTTCTTCTTCTACCACATTTTGGGTGTGCTGTGTATTTGCACATACACCTGCATTTGTATTGTTGGATTCTTCCCTTTCATCAGTCAATGAATGTGAAGTGCTGATTGCTGTGGTTTGAATGTCCCTTTTTCCAACCTCTCCTGAGACTGAGCATCTTGTCAAGTGCTTGCTTCCAGCTGTGATTCTGTGCCCCCATCTCTCCCCCTTTCCCATGAGGTTATTGGTCCTTTTCTTACTGTTTTGTATCATTCTTATGTCTTCTGATACTAATTACTATGATTTGAATGTTTGTCCCCTCCAAAACTCATGCTGAAACTTAATCCCTAGTGTAACAGTATTAAGAGGTAAGGCCTTTTAGAGGTGATCGAGTCATGAGAGCTCTGCCCTCATGAATGGGTTAATGGATTAATGGGTTATCACAGAAGTGGGGTAGTTATCATGAGAGTGGGGCTGTTACAGAAGCCAGTTTGGCCCTCATGAGCCCCCTGGCCATGTGATGCTCTGCGCCACCTTGGGACTCTGGGAAAAGTCCCCACCAGCAAGAAGGCCCAGAACAGATGTGGCCCCTTGACCTTGAACTTTCCAGCCTACAGAATTGTAAGAAATAAATTTTATTTAAAAATTACCCATTCCCAGGCAGGGCATCGTGGCTCATGCCTGTAATCCCAGCACTTTGGGAGGCTGAGGTGGGCAGATCACGAGGTCAGGAGATCGAGACCATCCTGGCCAACATGGTGAAACCCCGTCTCTACTAAAAATAAAAAAAAAAAAATTAGCTGGGTGTTGTGGCGTGTGCCTGTAATCCCAGCTACTTGGGAGGCTGAGGTGGGAGAATCCCTTGAACCAGGGAGTCAGAGGTTGCAGTGAGCCGAGATCGTGCTGTTGCACTGCAGCCTGGCGACGAAGCAAGACTCCGTCTCAAAAAGAAAAAAAATTTTACCCATTCCCGGCCAGGCGCAGTGGGTCACGCCTGTAATCCTAGCACTTTGGGAGGCTGAGGCGGGCGGATCACCTGAGGTCAGGGGTTTGAGACCAGCCTGGCCAACATGGCAAAACCCCGTTGCTACTAAAAATACAAAAATTAGCCAAATGTGGTGGCGCGCGTCTGTAATCCCAGCTACTCTGGAGGCTGAGGCAGGAGAATAGCTTGAAACCAGGAGGCGGAGGTTGCAGTGAGCCGAGATCACGCCACTGCATTCCAGCCTGGGAAACAGAGTGAGACTGTCTCAAAAAAACAAAACAAAACAAAACAAAAAACAGAAAACAAAAAAAAGAACAAACAAACAAAAAAACAGAAAACAGACTAAGACACGAATTCATCTCTGTTACATGTTGGCATGTGTTTGTGTCTCTTAATTCTGTTCTGTTGGTCAAATTGTCCAGCCCAGACCAGGTGCAGTGGCTCGTTCCTGTAATCATAGCACCTTGGGAGGCCAAGGCAAGAGGATCCCTTGAGCCCAGGAGTTTGAGATCAGCCGGGACAACATAGTGAGACTCTATCTCTACAAAAAGTTTAAGAATTTAAAATTTAAAAAATTTATAAAAATTGCCCAGTCCTGCAGGAGTATCATGCTGTCTCTCACAGGTATCTGATGGGTAAGAGGCCCCATCTTGGTTTTGTCGTTAGGTGTGTTTTGAAGCCTCAGCTTGTCAAGTTCCATGTAAGACACTGTTGGGATTTTACATGTTGTATCTAAGAACCATCTCAGATCCAGTTTGGCTGTGTTGATCCTCTGTAGTCTTTTTGTTTTATCAGTTTTTGTCCATTCTTTATTCCTTCTTTTCTTCTTTTTCCTTTGGATTTATTCTGTTTTTCTTTGTCTCATTTAGCAGTTTAGCTTATTTTCTGATTTAAGAATTTAAGGCTATACATTTTCCTCTGACTGTTTTTGCTGCAAAATTTGACATCATTTACTTGTAAACAATTTCTAATTTCCATTTTGGATTTTTTAGCCCAGGAATTATCTAGAAGTAATTACCTAAAAGTTAATTATCTAGAATTACTTAGAAGTTTTAAATTTCCAAATTTAAATTGGATGGTACTTTTTCATATTAACTTATTGTTATTCGCTTATAACTTAATTACCCAGTGGTTGGAGAGTATGGTCTGTCCCAATCTGGATCTGTGAACAGAGACTTGTGTTGTGGCCCCTGTGTGTGCTGGTTTCTGAATGTTCTCTTGTGCTTGAGAAGATTCCGTCTAATCCCCTAGTGCACAGTTCCACATGCCATCCACTTAGCTATACCTGTTGGCCGTGTGGTTAATATTTTGTGTGTCTTTGCTAATTCTTCCTGTTGGCTTAGCCTATTCATACAGTTTCTTAAAAAAACAAAAACAAGAACCAAAACAAAACTCCCCCTCTGATGATGAATTTGTCTGTTTCTCCTTATTTTTTCACTTTTTAGAAAAAAAAAAAGTTTTTTTTTAGAGGAGATTCTGGTTCACATCAGAATTGAGAGGCTATATATATCCCCTACCCACCTCACCGTCACCTCCCCCAGCATCCGCACCCACCAGGGGGTACGTTTCTTACAGTCAGCGAACCTGCTCTGAGCGTCATTACCCTGAGTCCGTGGTTTACTTTAGGGTTCACTCTCAGGATTGTTACATCCTATGGGTTTGGACAAATACTATCTCGTATCCACCATTACGGTATCACACAGAATAGTTTCACTGCCCTGAACATCCTCTGTGCTCCAGCTATTATCCCTTCCTCCCCACCCCAACTCCTGACAGCAGCTAGTCTTTCTACTGTCTCCGTAGTTTTGCCTTTCCCAGAATGTCACATACTTGGAATCCTACAGTGTTGCAGCCATTTCAGATCGGAAAAAATTTTTAAACAGAATACTTCACCTCTGATCACCAAAATGCATAGGGATTTCTTCCTCACCCAGCCCACCTCTGCCCCGACAACCAGTCAGTTCTCTAGCAGGCATCAGCTGGGAGTCCTAAAATTTAATTCATTTCCAACACAGTTTGCCAGGAGGAAGCGTCAGATCTGACAGGTTGAAGGGCTCAGTCCCATAAGACTGTCCCCAATTCAGATGCCAGTTGAAAGTAGTAGTTTGTTACCTATACTTCTGACCTACCAGTTATTGGCCGGGCGCGGTGGCTCACGCCTGAACTCCCAGCACTTTGGGAGGCCGAGATGGGCAGATCATGAGGTCAAGAGATTGAGACCATCCCGGCCAACATGGTGAAACCCCGTCTCTACTGACAATGCAAACATTAGCTGGGCGTGGCGTCACGTGACTGTAATCCCTTCTACTCGGGAGGCTGAGGCAGGAGAATTGCTTGAACCCGGGAGGCGGAGGTTGCAGTGAGCTGAGATTGCACTACTGCACTCCAGCCTGGTGACAGAGCTAGACTCCATCAAGGAAGGAAGGAAGGAAGGAAGGAAGGAAGGAGGGAGGGAGGGAGGGAGGGAGGGAGGGAGGGAGGGAGGGAGGGAGGGAGGGAGGGAGGGAGGGAAGGAAGGAAGGAGAAAGAAAAGAACAGAGTGCACTGGTATATTTTGGAATGCTTCCTTTCCCTTCTTGCTATTGGAAACACAAGGGGATTTTTCTCCAATATTCACTGTGAGGCCTGGTCAGGTTCCTAGAGGTAAAACTCACAAAAGTATGGGGTCCCCTATGACTGGGTCCCTGGGGTTTTCAACTGTCTGACTTGCCTACACCAAGCCTGCAGCAATCTCTGTTACAGTCCTGGTTTTCCTCCCCCAACACTGGTTCCCACAGAATTTTCAGCTTATGAGTCTCTGCTCTGGTAAGTTGTGATTGTCTGTCTTCTCCTGTTGGTCTCTCCAGTTTAGGGGGCAGTGGTTTGCCCTATGACCTAACTTCTCTTATGGATCTAAGAAGAGTTGGTTTTTCAGTTTATTCAGCTTTTTACCTGTTGTTAGGTAGAGTGGCAACTTCCAAGCTCCTGACTTATGTGAAACTGGAAAGCAGAAGTCTCTTATCATTTTGTATTTATGCATTTTGATTGTTGATCTGTATGCTTGACCAGCAACATTGAGTATTCCAGCCCTATCATCAGGCAAGTTTTAGAAACATTATCTTAGAAGTATTGGTGGGAAGCAGCTTTTGTCTATCTTGAAGTGTGTATATTTCCCTGTTTGTTCAAGGTGGTTGCCGTCTTCTGGCTTCCATTGTTGGCTGTTGTTGAAAACATCGGCTGCCCTTCAAATTACTTTTCTTTGATTGGTAAATATGTCTTTTCTATCAGGCGCATTATAAAAGTATTCTCTCTTTTCAGTTTTCTGCTATTTCACAAAGACATTGTAAGAGATTTGTTTTTACTTATCCTATTGGATATTTTGTGTGCTTCCCGGGGCTGGATTGTTGCATGGGTTTTGAGAAATTCTCAGATGTGTCTTCAAGTATCACCTTTACTCGATTCCCTCTCTCCTCTCCTCTGGGTTGCCAATTAGATGTGAGTCTCATCATTTCATCTCATCCTTCTCCGTGTCTCCTAACCTGTCTTTCATAAAATTTTCCTTCTTGTCTCTGTTTCATTTTGGATGACTTCTTCAGTTCTGTCTTCCTGTTCACAAATTCTCCTTCAGACAGGAAGTGAAACAGTCACTCAGTAGGATGGATAAGACTGTTTCGCCTGTTAATAGATTTCATCTCTGCAGGTTCCGTTTGCTTCTATTTTCAGATCCAGCTGGGCCGCTTTGCTGGCCTGTCCCTGCTTGCTATTGCCTGTCATCTGGGAGTCCGTCCTTATGTCTTTAAGCCTGTAATATTTACTGGATTTTATTATGTATCTGATAACTCCTCCATCTGAAGCGTCCATCTGTTTGTCGTTTCTGCTGACTCCCATTCACAGTTGCTCATGTTCTTGGGTGTTTGGTGACCTCGATTAGGATGTCGGTTCTTGCTGGGTCGTGACCTTGGTGATCCTGAGGGCCAGGATGCGCGTTTCCCTGTACTTGGGGCAGGCCCAGTGTTTGCTTTTCGGGCAGCAGACTTGGCAGCCTTTGCTCCCCAGAGCGCACACCCTGCTTTTGGTGCTTGTCTGCCCACTGGATGCCCTGCCGCGGTGGGGAGGGTGTGCTCATTCCTGCAGACGTGCCTTGCCACTTGCAGGCCTGCAATACATTTAACACATCTGTTTGATTCAGGAGCTGTAGGCAGGGATTGCATCAGGAACCTGGCCCACGTGGGCCCTGTGCCCCTTCTCTGTCTGTGTTGTGGCTTTGTCCACCCTGTGTCCTTGCTGTCTGCCAGGCCATTTTCCTACACTTTTTCTCTCCAGCCTTGGTTCTTTGCCTCCCCTTCCCATAGTAGGCCACAGACCATCTGCTTGGTGTCACGCCCTGTCCTGGGTCCACGTCAGTGCATTGAGACTCTAGGTCCCTCCAAGATGGCGGAGGGTAGACATTTCTCTTTTCTGACATGAGTGCAGTTGGGGCGTGTCTCATGCCTAGAGTGTGTGTGGTCAGGACCTGGTTCACATAGGTGCCATGTTTTGCTGGGATTGGTGGTTTTTACTCCCATTCCATGGTGTGTCAAGTGGGGATGGCATCTTCAGTCAATGGCGTCAGGGAGATGGGGCTTTTGAGACCTCTGGGACCAGTGCCCTGCCTATCTCTCCTAACCTCTGGCTGTGTCCGTCATGAATCTTTTCCTGAATGCACCAAGGGGTTGTGCTGTAGGTGACACACTGTGTGCTCCTGCCCAGCCTCTGCCCATAACCCTGCCCTGCACGGCCCAGGTAGGCTGCACATGCTCACCAGGCCCACCTCGGCCCTCCCACCTCTTTTTGCCTCTGCACCCACAGTCCCCTTGGCTTTGCTCCTCTGAGTTCATGTGAGACCTGCCCATTTGTAGAGTCTTGTATTTGTCCCTGCCGAGCCAGTTGTGTAAGCATCACAGTCTCCCTAGGAGACGGTGGCTCTTCACAGGTCAAGGTCAGCACCTTTGAATTCAGGGCACTGATGGGCTCACACCAGCTGCACGAGATGTTCTCATGTGAAGTGTGTGGCCCGCTGCTGGATTTTTGTTTCTTTCTCTTCAGGTGTTGCTGGAAGAAGCCAAGGATTTGCTCTCTGACTGGCTGGATTCTACACTTGGCTGTGATGTCACTGACAATTCCATCTTCTCCAAGCTGCCCAAGTTCTGGGAGGGGGACTTCCACAGAGACATGGAAGCTCTGAATGTAAGTGTCACGATTGTCTTGTGCTGGCTCTCTTGCGCTAAGGGCCCTGATTTCTAAATTCCTGTTTTGGCAAGGCCAGCTCAATTAAGCGGCCAAGTCAACATTGAACTTGAGTTGAGGGGCATAATGGGCTTTTCGTTTTATGAATTGGGAACGTTTTTATGGAGCGCGTGGTTTTCAGAAGGGAAAATCCCAGGACATTCTCATGTCTTGCACAGGTTCTCCCTCCAGATGTCTTAACCCGGGTTAGTGAGTATGTGCCAGAAATTGTGAACTTTGTCCAGAAGATTGTGGACAACGGTTACGGGTAAGCACAAGGGCCTTCCCTAGGGAGGGAAGGGCTGCAGAACATCGCACAGGGAGGAGCTCCCCAGCTCTGAGCCTGAGTTTGGGAAGCAGAGGAGCAGGTGTTCTGGGGCTGCGTAGCTAGAAGTCCCAGCAGACTTCCTCCTACAACTCTGGGCCCACCCAGGGGCTGAGGAGCATGGGTCTGCACTGTCCTGGGGGCCATGGTGAGAACCTAACCCAGAATCTGCTGGGAAGCTCGGCAGCCAAGACCATCAGTCATGGGGCCCCAGAGCTGCATAATGGTGAGTGCGAATACTGCTGGGCCTTCACAGACATCAGTGCCATTGCGTAGACATTTTGAGAGTGCTAGTCCTGGTGTCATATCCCGAAGGAGGATGCATTTCATCAGCATCTATCGCTTGGCTATGATTTTAGTGACTTTTTGTTGGCAAATCCATCATACACTTCCCTGGCCCGTATTGTCTCAATCTCCAAAGTAAGCATTTTCAGAAATGGCCAACAAATGGAAATGCAGACAGGAACCCGGTTATCTGTCTGTAGTGTGTAGGGACCAGCCCCACAGGGTCGGTGGGTTTTTCTCCCCATGTGTGGAGATGAGAGATTGTAGAAATAAAGACACAAGACAAAGAGATAAAAGAGAAGACAGCTGGGCCCGGGGGACCACTACCACCAAGACGCGGAGACCGGTAGTGGCCCCGAATGCCAGGCTGCACTGATATTTATTGGATACAAGACAAAGGGGTAGGTTAAGGAGAGTGAGCCATCTTCAATGATAGGTAAGGCCACGTGGGTCACGTGTCCACTGGACAGGGGGCCCTTCCCTGCCTGGCAGCCAAGGCAGAGAGAGAGAGGAGACAGAGAGAGGCAGCTTACGCCATTATTTCTGCATATCAGAGACTTTTAGTACTTTCACTAATTTGCTACTGCTATCTAGAAGGTAGAGCCAGGTGTACAGGATGGAACATGAAGGAGGACTAGGAGCGTGACCGCTGAAGCACAGCATCACAGGGAGACGGTTAGGCCTCCGGATAACTGCGGGCGAGCCTGACTCATGTCAGGCCCTCCACAAGAGGTGGAGGAGCAGAGTCTTCTCCAGACTCCCGCGGGGCAAGGGAGACTCCCTTTCCCGGTCTGCTAAGTAGCGGGTGTTTTTCCTTGACACTTACGCTACCGCTAGACCACAGTCCGCTTGGCAACGGGCATCCTCCCAGACGCTGGCGTTACCACTAGACCAAGGAACCCTTCTGGTGGCCGTGTCCGGGCATAACAGGAGGTTCACACTCTTGTCTTCTGGTCACTCCTCACTATGTCCCCTCAGCTGCTATCTCTGTATGGCCTGGTTTTTCCTAGATTATGATTATAGAGCGAGGATTATTATAATATTGGAATAAAGAGTAATTGCTACAAACTAATGATTAATGATATTCATATATAATCATATCTAAGATCTATATCTGGTATAACTATTCTTATTTTATATTTTATTATACTGGAACAGCTCGTGCCCTCGGTCTCTTGCCTCGGCACCTGGGTGGCTTGCCGCCCACAGTAGTGCTCAGCACTGTACCGTGCGCCTGCTCCCAGAGACCCACTGTGTCCAGCCTCAGATTGCTTCCCTCCCACAGGAACCACACAGGCTGGATGAAAGAGAAACAAGAGGTTGTGACAGTGCCAGGAACGGGGCAGACTCTTAAGCAGTAGCGCTGCTTCTCTCCCCACTTCACACAAACTACTGTGGGGCAGCATAAGAGCCTGTGCCAAGCCGAGAGGCATGGGCAAGCCGAAGCTCAGAGAGGACAGGTCATTCCAGACTGGAGTAATCTAGAGTGCTTCTTGGAGGCCAAGAGCCTCAGCTAAGCTAATGGGTAGAGTGTGGACATTCAGGGAAAGGTGAGGCCACACAAGAATGAGGACGGCAGCAGCCCTGAGCAAGGCAGGGTGGGAGCTGCATGGGTCACAGGACGCCAGGCAGAGGGACGAGCTGCCCAGGGCAGGCAGGCTGCCTCCGCAGCGGGATGGGCCCTGGTGTCCCACTCAGTCCAAACAGCTGATACGGTTTTCAGTGGCCACCACAGAGAGTAGATAGGCCACAGATTTCGCACTTTTATAGCCCTGCTTTATTTTGTTACTGTCATCCTGCTGACACACTTTCGGGTCTGTTAGATGCACCCACCCAATTCCTTTTCTGTTTTCCAGCTATGTCTCCAATGGGTCTGTCTACTTTGATACAGCGAAGTTTGCTTCTAGCGAGAAGCACTCCTATGGGAAGCTGGTGCCTGAGGCCGTTGGAGATCAGAAAGCCCTTCAAGAAGGGGAAGGTGAGGAGGGCATGCCTGAGAGCATGTGGGCTCTCCCTCCTGGCCCAGCCTGGGTTGTGTTGACTTTGCAGGCCACGGGGGCTGCGCTGAGCCCACCCCTCAGACTCTTGGGAACAGTGCTTTTTCACCTGAAGGAATTTTAGGAGTTTTCTGCACTCAACATTGTGCAGCTCTAAGACCATGACATGTGTTTTTTTAATGGATATATAATAATTATGCAATTTATGGGGAACATGTGATGTCTTAATACATGCACACCGTGTGTGATGATCGGGGTAGTTAGGATGCTCGTCACCTTAGACGTTTACCTTTTCTTTGCATTGGGAATGTTCCAGATCTTCTGGCTATGTTGAAATATACAACAAATGTTTTGGTAACTATAGTCACCCTACTGTGCTAGTGACCACAAGAACCTATTCTTTCTGTCTGTGTGTTTGTGCCTAGAAACCAACCTCTCTCCACTCACTGCCCCTGACCTGACTCTTCTCAGCTTCTGGTGACCACTGTTCTATGCTGCACCTCCTTGAGGTCCACCGTTTTTTAGCTCCCACATAAGAGAGAGGACATGTGATATTTGTCTTTCTCTGCCTGGTTTATTTCACTTAACAGAATGTCTTCCAGTTCCATCCATGTTGCTGTAAAAGACAAGATGTCATTTTTTTATGGTGTGTTATTTTTTAAGAAACAAAAGACAGTAAACGCAGTGCTGTCTTGAGAAACATAGTGGCCCCTGGGGCCTGGATTCACAGGGCTGGTGTTTGCTGGCTGAGCATGTGAGGTTTAGGGGGATTGTGGGGTGCTGGGATGTGTGCCGAGTGATGCATATTTGACAACAGCCTGTGCGCCCATCTGGATCCAAATGCTTCAAACACAGATATCAGACTTTTTCTAGACCAGGCAGAATTATATTGGGAACCCTTTCGTTGGTGTTTTCTTCATGTTTATCCCTTAAGTGAATCTGGGGACACATCCACAAGAGGCAAGGTTGGAAGCCTCCCTGCAGAGTGGGGATTCCCGCAATGTGCCAGGGCACGTTCTGCACCCCCACCCCGCCTGTCCTAGTGTTTCTGGAAGACAATTTGGCCATAAAAATGTTCATACTTTTATCTAATTTTAGGCTCTATTCTAAAGAAATATCAGAACCTAAAATAAAGGTGCGGTGGCTCACGCCTATAATCCCAGCACTTTTGGAGGCCGAGGTGGGTGGATCACCTGAGGTTGGGAGTTCGAGACCAGCCTGGCCAACATGGCGAAACCCCATCTCTACTAAAAATACACAAATTAGCCAGGTGTGGTGGTGCTTGCCTGTAATCCCAGCTACTCAGGAGGCTGAGGCATGAGAATCACTTGAACCCAGGAGGCAGAGGTTATAGTGAGCCAAGATTGTGCCACTGCACTCCAGCCTGGGTGACAGAATGAGACTCTGTCTCAAAAAAATATATAATAAAATAAAACCAGACAACACAGACTGAAGAAAGATAGAGATAGCCAGGTTGACACATAAATATCAGACCCATGGCATTTCAGGCTCCGGGTTTGTGGGAGTAGAGGGGCGGGTTTGTGATGATGAAGCGCCTCAGCTCTGAGAGGATGCAGCCTGGGCCTCTGGACCAGAAGGCTTCACTACCCTAGAACCAGAGTGGACATGCCCACGTTTCATGCACTTCCCAGGAGTTGACAGATCAAGTAGGCCAAGAATTAATACGGATATGAAAGGTTTGAAATACAGTTAACAGGCTTGGTTTGAGAGCTGGGAACTTTGCACTCAGGAATTAAAGAACATCCTTTCCTTCCAAGAACACAGAAACATATGCCAGGCCACAGAAAGATTTCCACAAATCTCAAAGAACCGTTTTCAAGGAACCCTCATTCTGTCAAGGAGCCCTCATTCTGTCACCATGGAGCGATTGTATTAGATAACAACACTTGGCCAGACATGGCGACCCACACCTGTAATCCCAGCACTTTGGGAGGCCGAGGCAGGAGGATCGCTTGAGCCCAGGAGTTCCAGACCAACCTGGGCAACATAGGGAGACCCCCTTTCTACAAAAAATTTAAAAATGAGCTGGGTGTGGTGGCACGTGCCTATAGTCCCAGCTACTTAAGAGGCTGATGCAGGAGGATCACTTCAGCCCAAGAAGTCAAGGCTGCAGTGAGCCCTGATTGTGCCATTGCACTCCAGCCTGGGCAACAGAGCAAGACTCTGTCTCAAAGACATTAAAAAAATTTTTTTTTTAAAATAAAAAAGATACCAACACTGACAGGACGGACGTCTAAAATGTACAAACTTGTCTGGGGGGTTGAAATCATGCTCCTGGATAACTCCTAGGAAAGAAAACCACAGTGGGAAATCAGGGGTGTTTAAGCAGAACAGCAGCAAAGGTGCCACACACCAAATCTGGAGAATGCCCCTAAAGCACCAATTAGAGGAAACTGATGTTTTTAAATGTAGTTATTAAAAAACAAAGATGGAAAATAAGTGAGGTGCCGGGTGCAGTGGCTCACGCCTGTAATCCCAGCACTTTGGGAGGCCAAGGCAGGCGGATCACGAGGTCAGGAGTTCGAGACCAGCCTGGCCAATGTGGTGAAACCCCATCTCTACTAAAAATACAAAAATTAGCCGGGTGTGGTGGCGCATGCCTGTAGTCCCAGCTACTCGGGAGGCTGAGGCAGAAGAATCGCTTGAACCCTGGAGGCGGAGGTTGCAGTGAGCTGAGAGCGTGCCACTGCACTCCAACCTGGGTGACAGAGCAAGAGTCCATCTCAAACAAAAAAAAAGGAAATAAGTGAGCTAAGCAGTCAGTCAAAAAGCTGGGAAAGGAACAAGAAGAAGTAGAAAGAAATAGGAGGAAATAAAGTAAAATCAGAGATTAAAGAAACAGAAACAATTGTAAAAGCCAAAAGCTGATTCTTCTCAAAAAATAATATAGAAGAACCCTTAGCAAGTTTGATTAATAAAAGTAGAAGATTGAAAAACATATTAGGGCTGAATTATAGCTCATGCCTATAATTCAGCACTTTGGGAGGCCGAGGCAGGAGGATCGCTTGAGGCCAGGAATTCAAGACCATCGTGGGCAATGTAGTGAGACCGCATCTCTACAAAAATTTTAAAAATTAGCTGAGTGTGGTAGCATGCACCTGTAGTCCCAGTTACTCAGAAGGCTGAGGTAAGAGGGTTGCTTGAGCCAGGGAGGTCGAGGCTGTAGTGAGCTGTGATTACACCGTTGCACTCCAGCCTGGCTGACAGCAAGATCCTGTGTGTGTGTTTGAATGTATGTATGTATGTATGTATGTTTGAATAACAAGACAAAAATGGAATGTAACTATGGATATAGTAGAGCATTTCTTAAAGTCCTTAGAGGAAGCCGTGAACAACTCGCACTGCATTTGACACTTAGATGCCGGGAGGGAACTGGCAGCACATGGGAAAGGTGGGAGTGGTAAGTGGAGCAGTGCCCTCAGGTCACGTGGTGAAGGAATGTTCTGGAGGCAGCTAGAGCACACTGACTCACCACTTTATGATGAATTTTGCTATCTGGCCCCATCTAGGGTCTTTTTCTTAAATACCATTTATTCTTGGGCCCATTTTCTTCCAGAATGACTTCAGCATTGGTTTAAGTTCCAGGAAACAGGAGTAGAATCTAACAGCCAATATGCAGGACCAAAGAGGGACATGGATTTCCACCCCTCCACAGTCAGTGATCAGACGTGGGCACATGACCACCCCCGCAACCTCCCCCCACCATGGGGAGTCATAAGGAGTGTAGCCTTAGCTCTGTGCAGTCATGTGCTCCTCGCCATGGGGACTCTAATGGTAGAGGAAAAGGGGAGGGGTGATGCTGGGGCCCAAGTGGTCCTAGATGATGACAGCTCCTCACTCCGCCAAGTAAGATGACCCACCAGAGGCAGATGGGCCATGCAGACCACTCGGGAAGGCACGTGGCAGGAAGGCCTAGTGCAGGGAGGAAGCTCCCCCAGTGGGAGAGAACAGGACCCTGTTGTGCTGGTATGAACATGCTTGTAGGGTCAAAGCTAGAAACACTCACTCTGCCTCTGGGGAGAGAGACAGGAAATGAAACCAAGAAGGAAAACTTGAAAGACATTGTGTTGTAACCATAATAGGTCTGTTGCCCAATGCACAGCGAGTCAGTATACCGGGATACCAGGGGTTGCCGTAGAAGAAGCGTAGTAATTGTATGGTGGACAAATGGAGATGGGAGGAAACCTCAGATCCGCCTCCCTGAGATTTGGGGAGGGGTTTTTAATTGCTCTGGACAGGTGATGGGGATTGCCGGTTGCTGGGGAAGTGAGGGGCGAAGTCATGGGACAGGGAGGTAAACCACATTTCTGCGACGAGTCAGTTCCTTGGTGCAGGTCTTCAGACCAGTTGGCAACAGCTGTCCTGCTGGAATTCAGGATCCAAAAAATACCTTAAGCAGTTCTTGGTAAAAAGGTCCAGGGTTAGAGATTCTATCGCTAGGAACAGTGGTGGAGCAGGTGGTCAGCGTGCTATGTGACTCTCAGTTAGAGCTGCAGGGAAGCGGATGGACGTGCACTGCACCTGGCCAGTGACCGGCCTCATCATTCTGCCTATAGCCTGCCTTGGAATTCTCATTAACCCTATGAGGGCAGTTGCAGTGTGATGTTTGCTGAAGGATAGGGTGTTTGTGGGGAGGGTCCTGTGTTCTCTGTTATCAATTTTTTCAAAGCGTATTTTTAAAAAATCAGATATAAACTTTCATGAGTAAGTTCATAATAATGAAAAGTTGAAAACGTGAATGTATATTTTCTATCAAAGAGCATCTAAAAGCGAATGTCATGGGCCATATCACATTGTGCTTTTGCGGAATTGTCAGTGGCAGAACAGTGCGGAGGTAGAAGGAAGCCAGGACAGCGGCCTTCCGTGTTGGTGGATAGATCTGGATTTTGCTTGCAGAGGTTTTTTGTGTTTTTGTGTGTTTGTTTTTTAATCTGGGAATCAGTATACCAAAATGGTAACAGTAGTAATTCCTAGGTTAAAAGATAATGGCAATTTTTTTCCTAGTTTTCTTTTTTTATCTTTCAAATATTCTACATTTAGTACATATTTTATAATCATGAACTTGGTGTTTAGAAAAATATATTTAGCGGTGCTTTTCCTCTGGACTCTGTTTCTCAGGGCAGCTTAGGTCTGTTGCCTGATTAGGCTCCTGAAAAGTGGATTTGTCACCTGGAAAGATCTCACTGCAGCTTCTTCAGGGTCACCTGAGTTAGAACCCTAGATGGAGTCTGTTCTTCCTCCACAAGGGGGTGACAGCACCTAAGGCAGCCCTTAGACCAGGGACCAGGAAAGGCTGCAGCAGCCGGGCAAGACCTGGCGTGGGTCCTGGTAACCTTATGCCTAGAGTGAAGACCTCTGCTCTGCCCATTCATCGAACAAAGGGTGATTCTCTGCGTGACCTTTGGACTGGCTCACAGGTTTCTTTATTCACAGCAGCTAATCTTTTCCATTGGTCCTGCATGTATTGTTGAGAGAAATCTGCAGTGATGGTGCATTCCTTTTCTGGGGACTCAGACCGCCTTGTACCCTGAGTGTCAGGTGGCTGAGTGTCACCGAGTCAATGCATGGAATTCACCAAGGGGTTATTTCTCATCCCTCTGGCAAGGCATAGACAGTCTTGTTTTTGTTGGCCAGGTGATCATTGGCTTTGTCCAGGAAATAGAACTTGTGCCAAGAGCAGTACTCCCCTTTTCTTATGGCCTTCCTGGACTATTCTTTAGTTTCCTTCACCTATTTTCCCCTTATAAATACACAGGAACAGCAAATGTCCCCTTCACCACTGCACTGCCACCAGGTTCCCTGCAGTAGTACACAGCAGCTTAGCTGCATCCTTGTATCCCCCGGGACCCATAAGCAGATAGTTGTGCGGGCCCTTGACATATTGACCCCACCCGCATGAACCAGGCAGGATCCCTGAGCCATGCCCCAGTGGCTGCACCACTATGTCACCTCCTAGCTTTAGCCCAGGGTTCTTATCACTTGTCCTAGACACTGGTGGGCTAATGCTGTGAGAAGGCAGCAGGAAGGTGAATGTCTTACGGAGACCCCAGATGTGGCCTCAAGTCAGCCAGGTATATAAGCTGGTGACTTTGGGGATTATGTACCGTTTTGTAAATCTAGACACTGGGTCAACACCAGAATCTGGTAATACATAGTTAACTTGAAGAAATGCTTGAGCCAAGTTAATAAACAGAAGTTAGTCAGAAGGACTGCCCATTAGGCACCGTGGATGGCCTTGAAGTGAGACATGTGGGTCTGTGGGTGCTGCTGAGTGACCTTGCCTGGCGTCCCTCGTGTTTGCAGGTGACCTGAGCATCTCTGCAGACCGCCTGAGTGAGAAGCGCTCTCCCAACGACTTTGCCTTATGGAAGGCCTCTAAGCCCGGAGAACCGTCCTGGCCGTGCCCTTGGGGAAAGGTGAGCGAGTGGCCTAGAAGGTGTGGGGCTTGGACAGGGGCACTGGCGCCAGCCACACTCTCAGGCCCCCAGCAGAGGGCCGCTCTGTGTGTGAAGGATGTTGTCACTGGGCCAGAGCCTGGTGCTGGTGCAGCACAGGCTGCCTGGCCCCGGGGACCTGGACATCATGGAGACTCCCTGAGTCTCTGGACAAATCACTTCCCTCCTGGGATTTCTGTTTTCTGGTCTGTAAGTGGAGATGTGATCAGAGTAGACGTCCATGGAGGCTTCTTGGTTCTTGTGTTCTGTGACTCTGAGTATTCCAGGCCCCAGGGTGTAGGATGCGTTCTGATCTTCCCGGTGACAGGAGTTGTTGACTGCAGGGTACCCTAGGAAGGGGCGTGACCATCTGCAGCTGTCAAGGGCTCAGAGGTCTGGATGTAATTCAGTAACTTCACCTAAACCTCGGCCCACATAGGACCGGTTTATGAACTTCACCAAAGAAGGCTATCCTTAGTCTTTTTTTTTTTTTTGAGACAGAGTGTCACTCTGTCACCAGGCTGGAGTGCAGTGGCGCGATCTCAGCTCACTGCAACCTCTGCCTCCTAGTCCCGGTTCAAGCAATTCTCCTGCCTCAGCCTCCTGAGTAGCTGGGATTACAGGCATACGTCACCATGCTCAGCTAATTTTTGTATTTTTTTGTATTTTTAGTAGAGACGGGGTTTCACCATGTTGGCCAGGCTGGTCTTGAACTCCTGACCTGGTGATCCGTCTGCCTCGGCATCGCAAAGTGCTGGGATTACAGGTGTGAGCCATCTCGCCCAGCCTTCCCTTAGTCTTTTCATGTGCGGGATTTAACGCTTGTTCCAATAAAGTTCAGAGGATGTAAGGGCCATCAACTTGGAGTGATAAGTGATAAAGGCCTGGACAAGCGGGTAGGCTGGTCAGTCACTGTGTGTTCGGCTTTCTCCAGGGTCGTCCGGGCTGGCATATCGAGTGCTCGGCCATGGCAGGCACCCTCCTAGGGGCTTCGATGGACATTCACGGAGGTGGGTTCGACCTCCGGTTCCCCCACCATGACAATGAGCTGGCACAGTCGGAGGTAGGTGAAAACAGAGTCCCCTTGTCAGGTGCAAGAGCACAGTGTTCATACTGCAGTGGAGGAAAAGTCAGCCCAGGCCTCAGAAGGGCCTCTCTCACTAGAACTTGACACCTTCATCGGGGCTTGTGGGTGGAATCTGAACCCTGATCATTTAGTGTGGTTTCCGCATTGACAGCCTGGCCTTTGGCAACAGACTAGCCTGGATTTGAACCAGTTGTGTTACCTGCTGGCTTATTAACCTGGGCTGTCCTTCCAAGCCCTGCCTGCACCACCTGGAAAACGCAGCTCCTGCCTGTGGACAGCACCAACAAGGCAGCAGACAGTGCAGGTGGCAGGAGGCGGCCCCAGTAACACATGACTGTTGACATCCTTTGTCTCTTTCCACGCAGGCCTACTTTGAAAACGACTGCTGGGTCAGGTACTTCCTGCACACAGGCCACCTGACCATTGCAGGCTGCAAAATGTCAAAGTCACTAAAAAACTTCATCACCATTAAAGATGCCTTGAAAAAGCACTCAGGTATACACTGGCTTCTCCCACAGACCCCCCAACCACCTTCTCATACATGTGTAATGGCTGTAGCACTCGGGAGAATAAGGGCGTTGGCTGTCTTGTGTCCCCCCACAGCACGGCAGTTGCGGCTGGCCTTCCTCATGCACTCGTGGAAGGACACCCTGGACTACTCCAGCAACACCATGGAGTCAGCGCTTCAATATGAGAAGTTCTTGAATGTGAGTCCCCAGCCCCTTCCTGGAGGTTGGTGGAGCAGCCTCCCCTGCACAGTGGGCACCTTGTGCAGTGGTGATAGGTGCACCAGCCTCCCGATGTCTCTAATGGAGACCAGCACATGGGTGGAAGCACCTCCATGCTAGTGGGTATAACAGGCTCGGGGCCACTCCTGAAATGGCTGACGGCTCAGCAGAGTGGACAGAGGCCTCGTCCTCCTAGTCACTGCAGTGCACGTCCTTCTGACTTGTACTTTCCACCAAATGAGCATCTGTAAACCTAAAGCAAGAGCATGTTTCTGTCAAAGAAATATCTTTTCCTTTCTTTCTGACCACTTGTGTAATTCTGGTCTTTCAGATTTTTACCAAAAATAAAATCACAGCAGTAGAAAGTTGTAACAGATATTTCAGGATGGAAAAGTTGCCTAAATGCTGTTAAACTGATTTTTCTAACTTCAGGAGTTTTTCTTAAATGTGAAAGATATCCTTCGCGCTCCTGTTGACATCACTGGTCAGTTTGAGAAGTGGGGAGAAGAAGAAGCAGAACTGAATAAGAAGTAAGGTGGTGCCATTTCTTTGGGGTTTTTGAGCATGCCCATGTTCTATGCCTAGCCTCGCATCTTGGCCACCATGTGTCCTGGACTGTCGAGGAAGGGCTGGGGACACTGTCGTACGTTGTGCAGAATTAATTCAGGATAGGCGGCTCTGCTAATGGGAGCTGCTCTGGGTGTTGAAGTGCATGGAGAATTTCTTTTTTGTTTTTTCTTTTTGAGACGGAGTTTCGCCCTTGTTGCCCAGGCTGGAGTGCAGTGGCGTGATCTCGGCTCACCACAACCTCCACCTCCCGGGTTCGAGCGATTCTCCTGCCTCAGCCTCCCGAGTAGCTGGGGTTACAGGCATGCGCCACCATACCTGGCTAATTTCAGATTTTTAGTAGAGGTGGGGGTCTCTCCATGTTTGTCAGGCTGGTCTCGAACTCCCGACCTCAGGTGATCCGCCCACCTCAGCCTCCCAAAGTGCTGGGATTATAGGCGTGAGCCACTGCGCCTGGCCACATGGGGAATTTCTATGGTGTGTTTTCAGGTCTGACTTCACATTCCTTCCTCTTTGTTGCTCAGCTTTTATGACAAGAAGACAGCAATTCACAAAGCCCTCTGTGACAATGTTGACACCCGCACCGTCATGGAAGAGATGCGGGCCTTGGTCAGTCAGTGCAACCTCTATATGGCAGCCCGGAAAGCCGTGAGGAAGAGGCCCAACCAGGCTCTGCTGGAGAACATCGCCCTGTACCTCACCCATATGCTGAAGGTAAGCCAGGCCCCAGGCAGGCGTATCCCTCAGCCTGTGTGGACACAGGAGCCAGGCCCCAGGACTGGGAGAACAGAGGCCTCTGGTGCCCCCCAGTGCTGTGCCTGGTGCCCAGCACCTCTGAGACGTGGAGATATGCTTCTGTCCTCTTTGGTTCCTGGTGTGCTTTTCACGCGTTAGAAATAACACCCATAAGCGGAGCACAGTGGCTCACATCTATAATCCAACACTGTGGGAGGCCAGGTGAGTGTATCACCTGAGCCCAGGAGTTCAAAACCAGCCTGGACAACATAGTGAGATCCCGGGTCTATAAAATATATTAAAAATTAGCCAGGTGTGGTGGCACACACCTGTTTTCCAGCTGCTTGGGAGGCTGAGGTGAGGGGCTCGCTTGAGCCCAGGAGGTTGAATAGTGAGGTGTGATTGCACTACTGCACTCCACTCTGGGCAATAGAGGGGAGACCCTGTCTCAAAACCAGACAAAAATAAGTAACATCCATATAGTTGTCCTTACTCAGAGCTATTTCTTTCCTTTGACTCCGTTTCCCTCTACTCCCATCTTGGAGTTTGAAAAGCAAAACCACGCCAGGCGCTGTGGCTCACGCCTGTAATCCCAGCACTTTGGGAGGCCAAGGCGGGCGGATCACAAGGTCAGGAGATGGAGACCATCCTGACTAACACGGTGAAACCCCGTCTCTACTAAAAAAAATACAAAAAACTAGCCAGGCATGGTGGCGGGTTCCTGTAGTTCCAGCTACTCGGGAGGCTGAGGCAGGAGAATGGCATGAACCCAGGAGGCAGAGCTTGCAGTGAGCCAAGATTGCGCCATTGCACTCCAGCCTGGGCGACAGAGTGAGATTCCATCTCAAAAAAAAAAAAAAAAGAGAAGCAAAACCAGGGACAAGGCCTCCTCTCTGAACACATCCTGTGCAGAGCCCTTCCCCGCAGTGCACCTTGAAAGGCCAGCAGGGCCTGGACTCAACTCCCCTCCCCTCTCCTCCTCTTTCCTTGTTGTTGGGCTCCAGTGGCTTCTGGCTGAAACAGAGCTGGAGAGGGTAGCTGTGAGTCAGGGCCATCCTGGAGCAATGAGGGCACCCTCAGGCTCGGGTTTCTGGGGCTCCTGGAGCTGCTGCTTCCATCTCTTTCCTGGTCTTGGGGCACCCCCTCCCGTGAACGAGGAACACAGCTCACAGCTGCTCGCCACATGCCGCCTTCATCTTGCCGCAGCTTCAGGTCCCATCTGTTTCTTTTCCTAGATCTTTGGGGCCGTAGAAGAGGACAGCTCCCTGGGATTCCCGGTCGGAGGGCCTGGAACCAGCCTCAGTGTGAGTAGCATGCAGGGTCCTGCCTTCTGCACCTGCTCCCTCCCCACTCCCTACCCCTCTGTGTCCCTCTGAACTGCCCCTCCTCTGTCTGCCCACCCACACCAGACCCTTCCGGACAGCGCCTCGAGCTAAATGGCAATTCTGGCTCTGAGAGTGCTAAGTGTGGTCAGCTGCCCTGCCGGTGTGGAGGGTCTGCTTTGGTTGTGACTGTTGGTTTGGGGCACTTTGCCATTGTGCTGTCCCATGAGCTTGGTCTTGGACCCCAACTACATAGGCCGCTGCTTATTTGCATTTTGCTGCGGCCACTTGGCATCATGAACACACATGACTTCGTCACATATACTGACCTGTATTCAGTAAATGCTTCATCGAAAGGCTGCAGAGCTCACAAACAGCACAGAATTTACACTGATGGGGAGATACGCCACTGTCTGCCTCGGTCCCCATGGGGCTGGGCAGATGCCCTAACAGGCCCAGTCCTGACCCTGAGCCCAGGTCGGTCCACATGGCCTGAGCCAGGACCCCCTGCCCCAGAGCTGTGGCCCACAGGTCAGGGGGAGGTCATCCTGTAGAGCCCCCTGTCTAGTGGGTCTGTGCGGTGAGAAAATCCATCCAGAACACCCTGGCAGTCTGTTGCTGGCTTCTGTTTGCAGTTGGCATGTGAGCAGACACACACTGTCAGTCCTGTCCTTCTGCTGTAGAACCCCTGTCCCGTCTGACACACCCACAGTCAGGCTTCTTAAAGATGGACTTCCACCTGCTCCCAGGTCAAGAATGCTCTTTGACTATTCGATTAGAATGCAGATCTAAATATTTAAATAGAACAACTGTAATTTTAATTAAAACAGGAGCTTAATACAAAGTCAAAATGCAAAACCTTTTTAAAATCCTGTTTCCTAATGACAAGTGGTGTGAAGAGCCCCCATGCGGATGGAGCTTACAGATGCTCCCCCAGGAACCAACTTGCAAAGAGAAAACAGTCCGTGTTGTAAGAAGTCCTGCCAGAGCACCTAGCCCATGTGCCTGGTGCCTTTTGCCAGCCTTAGCGCTAGCTAGCTTGGTTGTGGTAGTTGGTGTGGTATTTTTGAGACTTCCTGATATGAACCTTCTTTGGTGCTTTTAAGAAAACCCACATAGCTTCTTTGTTCTCTTGCGCAAATGATACTAAGATATTTATTTTCTTTAAAAACAAAAAACCAAAACACACCTCCTGGGTTAAAGTCAGCCTGCCTTTGAACTGCAGTGTTTTTCATCTTAACGGCTGCTGTGGTTGTGGGGGTGCCTTCAGCGTGCTGTGGACACGCATCCGCATCCCCCAGGCAGCCTCATTTGGCCTTTGCAGTCAGCTGATTGCGAAGAAGCAGCTGCGGCGAATGGTGAGCCTGCTGACAAAACGTCCTGTGCCCACACATCATGGCCATTTGACGTTCATGGATTAACTTCCAAATCCAAATGGTTTTAGGAGCAAGGGAGGCAGTTCCTCCATCTTGTACCACCTCAGTGTCGCCACACAGCCACCTGCTAGCATGCTCAGGTGGGGGTTGCAGCCCCAGGCGTTCTTGAGACACACCCCTGCAGCCATTCTGAGAGTTCCCCTCCAGTGCCCCTAGGGCTGGAACTGAGCCTAGCAGTGGGGTGAATGCCTCCCTTTCTGTCCTTCCCCAAGGCTTGTCTGGGCTGGCTGTGTGGTGGGTGGAGATACAGATCGAAAACCCCCAAGAAGTCCAAAGTTCAGATGCAGAATTGGGTCTCAGGGAGCTTGGCTTAGACTTAAGGGCTTGCTAGCCTGCCTGACTTTTGCACTTGCTAAATTTGTGTGTTTCTGTTTTTGAGACAGAGTCTCACTCTGTCGCCCATGCCAGTCCCTGCCCTGTGTCGTGGCCGCTGAGCTATTATTCAGTTATGGATATAGGAGTGTGAGCAGCTCTCAGCGAACAAAAACTCTTCTTTCCACAGCTGGAGTGCAGTAGCGCAATCTCCGGTCACTGCACCCTCTGCCTCCCGAGTTCAAGTGATTCTCCTGCCTCAGCCTCCTGAGTAGCTGGGACTACAGGCATGCACCACCATGCCCGGCTAATTTTTTTTTGTATTTTAGTAGAGACGGGGGTTTCACTATGTTGGCCAGGCTAGTCTTGAACTCCTGACCTCATGATCCACCCACTTCGCCCTCCCAAAGTGCTGGGATTACAGTTGTGAGTCACCGCGCCCAGCCAGCACTTGCTAATGTTTTTATTTTGGTTACTGAGCTGCTGAATCAGCTAAGGGGCAGGGAGCAACCTTGCTCAAAAGCCTAAAACCTTTTCTGTCCTATTAGAAAAAGAGAAATGCTAGCACAGCATGGTGGCTCACGCCTGTAATCCCAGCACTTTGGGAGGCTGAGGTGGGTGAATCACCTGAGGTCGGGAGTTCGAGACCAGCCTGACCAACATGGAGAAACCCTGTCTCTACTAAAAATACAAAATTAGCTGGGCGTAGTGGCGCATGCCTGTAATCCCAGCTACGCGGGAGGCTGAGGCAGGAGAATCGCTTGAACCTGGAAGGTGGAGGTTGCGGTGAGCCGAGATCGCCATTGCATGCCAGTCTGGGCAATGAGAGCAAAACTCCATCTCAAAAAAAAAAAGGGGAAATGCTTTGGGAGGCCAAGGCGGGCAGATCACAAGGTTAGGAGATTGAGACCATCCTGGCCAACAAGGTGAAACCTCATCTCTACTGAAAATACAAAAATTAGCCAGGCGTGGTGGCGCTTGCCTGTAATCCCAGCTACTCGGGAGGCTGAGGCAGGTGAATCGCTTGAACCTGGGAGGCTGAGGTTGCAGTGAGCCGAGATCACACCATTGCACTCCAGCCTGGCAACAGAGCAAGATTCCGTCTTAAAAAAAAAAAAAAAAAAAAAAAAGGGAAATATAGTAGAAAGGTTTTTCTATCCTGTGGCCACCTCCCCAGTGTTACTGTGGGTGGTGAATCTACGTGTAGCTGCTAATGTGCATGTAGATAGTAGGTGCTTAATGGAGATCATTCATCTTAAACAAGTGTATGTGTGACCACAGATCAGACGAAAGCACGGCCCGGGAGCCGCCAGCCTCAGCATAGGTAAGGCCCCAGCCTGGGGAGTGATGTCCTTGGGCTCCTTAGGAAATAGTCCCTCCCAGAGCTGGCCCCTCTGAAACCATAAAGACAAGCTGTTTCACAGCAGCGTGTCTGACCTGAGGAAAGCAGGGCCTGTCAGCAGCTGGGCAGAGCGGCGGCAGACCCACCTGCTGCAGTAGAAAGGAAGCTCACTTCATGCTCTCTGGCCTGAGAGTCTGTGTGACTCGCACACCTAGCAGGGACTGTGTGTCAGGGACGAGAGCGTCCAGGCTCTGGGATGCCGGTCACAGCTGTAGTGTGCACAGCAGCACTGCCCATGCCAGTCCCTGCCCTGTGTCGCGGCCACTGAGCTATTATTCTGTTATGAATATGGGAGTGTGAGCAGCTCTCAGTGAACCAAAACTGTTCTTTCCGCAGCTCGAGGCCACAGTCATGCCCTACCTTCAGGTGTTATCAGAATTCCGAGAAGGAGTGCGGAAGATTGCCCGAGAGCAAAAAGGTGAGGACCAGTTGCTGGAAAGAGTGTGGGAGCCACTCCCCTCACTGGGCTCCCCGGACCGGGCGTCTCCCCCGAGGCACTATGGCGTTCAGGCCGGATCATCCTCTGGGAAGGCTGCCCCGTGCACCACAGGGTGTTGAACGGCATCCCGGGCCTGGACCCACCAGGTGCATTAGTACCACACGCTCCAGTCACCACAGCCCCACATGTCCCTGCAGGGCAGAATCCTCGAGTGAGTGCAGCTGAGTGGGCAGTGGGGACCGAGGATGTGATATGATGGGCCAGGGTTGATTTGCCTCTCCTTCTCTGAGCCGAGGCAGAATGGTGGGTCCTCTGACCAGCCCAGTCACCACCTGCCATTTGGCTCACACTGGGGCTTATTTTTGTTCCTGGTGACCTGGTAGGCTGGGTGCGCTGAGGTGTGGCTCGTTCCTGCTGCCGAGTGGAGCCGAGCTGCAGCTTCCAGGGTTCCCTTTTCTGCTCAGGCATGCCAGATGAATGCTTGAACTTGGGGTTCACACAGTGGCCCCTCACTGTCCATAAGCAGCCATTCCTTCATCTTTTTGTTTGTTTGTTTGTTTGAGATGGAGTCTCACTCTGTCTCCCAGGCTGGAGTGCAGTGGCGCGATCTCGGCTCACTGCAAGCTCCGCCTCCCGGGTTCACGCCATTCTTCTGCCTCAGCCTCCTGAGTAGCTGGGACTACAGGCGCCTGCCACCGCGCCCGGCTAATTTTTTGTATTTTTTTTTTTTTTAGCAGAGATGGGGTTTCACCGTGTTGGCCAGGATGGTCTCGATCTCCTGACCTCGTGATCCACCCGCCTCGGCCTCCCAAAGTGCTGGGAGTACAGGCGTGAGCCACCGCGCCTGGCCATTCCTTCATCTTTTGAAATTTCTGAGATGTGTGTGGTTTAAGACTTAGAAAGTGCTGAATCTGAGCATTCGTTTTGACTGCCAGTTTTAAGAAAGTGTTAAACACAGCAAAAAGCAGCATCAGGCAGGCCTTTGCTTCTTCCTGTGAGTGGTTCTGAATTGGTGAGTAACAGCACAGCTGGGAACACACACTGAGGACTTAGGATGTGCTGGGCCCTGCCCACTGCTTTCTGCACATTGCCTCATTTACCACCATGATCCTCCAAAAGAGGAAAGGAGAGCCCTGGCCGGGTCACACTGACCTCGAGTGCTACTCCATCACCTGCTGTGCTAATTCTCCCTCCCCAGGGGGCCTCTGTGTGGTGGGAAGTCTGACCTAGGATCCACCTGGTCCCCATCTGTGCAGAGCCCATTATGGAGGGTCACAGTGGGGCAGCATCCAGGCAGGGCATGCTGAAGACAGAGCAGACAGAGACCCAGCAAGCCTCTAGGAGAAGCTGCACCTTGAGGAAGGATCAGGAAGCCTGGGTGGGTGGAGGGGCCGAGAGGCGGAGGAGCCGAATCTGGGCCTGTTTCGGGCAGGGGACAGTGGAGCAGGAGGCAGGAGGGCAGGAAAGAGTTTCGGGAGCTCGGGGCTCCACAGGCTGCAGGAGAGTGCAGGACACTGGGTGAGAGGAGAGGCTGGCCGGGCTGCTGGGCTGCTGGGCTGCCACAAGTGCTCTGGAGAGGGGCCTGGGCCTGACTGAGCCCCTAACAGGCAGCGGTGGGCGCACTTGCCCTGACCACATAAGCACCATCGCCCCTTTCCAACACCTGATGCCCTCAGCATTTCAAAGCACTGGAATCAAACTGAACCAAGCCTGGACCAGCCTATTCAGGACCAGCGCAGGGCTCTCCAGCAATCTTGGCAGCACTAACTTAGCGGCATCGCTGGGGTCGTGGGCTTGGGAAGACCATTCCTGGAGGTCGCCTGGGCATTTCCACCTGCCTTCTGGGGGACATCGAAGGCCGAGCCCGGGCCCCAGCTCCCTGGGGTCATACAAGACTGTGCACGTGGCCTTGGCTTCCCTGGCATGCCACAGCCCCGGGAGGGCGCTAAAGGGGGACTGGCCAGGCACAAGCTCCCGCTCGGTGGCACTGACCAGGACAGGACTTGCTCAGGCCTGGAGAGTGGCACCAGCCAGCCAGCATTGGAAGTAGTTCGGTTTTGCTTTCTGTTTGCTTTTCACTTTTGTTTTGTGGCTTGGAGCAGGTAGATGGGTGATGTGGCCCCAGGTTAAGATGGTGGTGATCCCTACCCTGTACATCATCCCATATGTGCCTTGTGAGCCAGAGACCCTGGGGATCCAGGGGCCTCAGACCTTCCGACGGGGCAGCGTGTTAGAGGTGGCTCTGGTGCAATCACCCTGTCTCCCCAGCAGCAGCAAATAGTGACTGTTTTGTTATTCACTGTTAACATCTCATGGCTGGCCAAAGAGAAAGTGAGTGTATAACAAGCTCAGGGGTGGCCCTCAGATCAGCTGGGATCTGCTTGGCCCAGGCCAGATGCTCCACAGACAGACGAAAAAGAAACTGTTTCCCCTGGAAATACCCCCATGGTCCAGTCAGCTAGAGAGCACAGGCCTGGCAAGGAGGGCAATGGGTTCAGGGTTTGACCAGGAGAGAGGCACTGAAGTGAGAAAGCCAGGGGCTGGGCCAGGGCCCTCTGCACTGGGGAGATGATGCCATTTCCCCATCGCCACGGTTTTGTTTTCATTATGTTAAAATACACAGCTCAGTGCCATTAGGGACATTTACAGTGTTGTGCAGCCGCCACCGTCCATCTCCAGAACTCTTCCCTTTTCCCAAACTGGAACTCTGTCCCCATGGAACAGCAACTCCACATCCCCTCCCTCAGCCCCTGGTGCTCACCCTCTACTTCTGTCTCTTTGGATTTTACTACTCCAGGGACCCTACATGAGTGGAGTCACACAGTGTTTGTCCTGTGTCTGGCTTATTTCGCTGATCACGGTGTCCTCAGGTCTATCCATGTTGCAGCCTGTGTCAGGACCTCCTGCCTTTTTAATGGCCAAATCATATTCCATGGATGGATGGGCCCTGATCTGTCTATTCTTCCATGGAAGAATTCTCATCACCTTTGCGTTATCTTTGTAGCCCACATTTCTCTTCAGTAAATCCCTGATGATGATGTCATTGTCTGCTCCTCTGCCCCAGCTCTGCTAACAGAAGCCACAGAGGCTTCTTCCTCAGCTCCTCAGAATCCAGACCCAGAGGTCGGTGTGGGCCTGAGGGGTACGGCGTGTGTCCCTTTCCCCCAGGGAGTGTGGCCCGGGAGGCTTTCTTGGTGCCTGCTCTGATGATCACCCATGGCGGGTGGGCTGGGGTGCTGGCCTTGTGGCCTCCCATGACACCCGTGACAGTGACCACAGGTGCTGGCTTGCCTTCCTTCTAATGAGGGTGCTATCCAGGGGTGGCTTTCAAAGAGTGAAGGGCAGGCACCTACCTCAGCTCATGCCCCAGTCAGCTGCTCCTCAGGTGGCTGAGGAGGGCCTGTTCCCAGGAATGATACTGCAGACAAATATAAAGGCCATTGTTCCCCTAGGTCTCTGCCTGGGGAGGTTGAAACTCCGGAAGCTGCCCAAAGTGGCTGTGCTTATGAGCGCGGCCTTGAAGCCCAAGGATATGCAATTTTTTTTTTTTTTTTTTGAGATGGAGTCTTGCCCTGTCGCTAGGCTGGAGTGCAGTGGTGTCATCTTGGCCCACTGCAACCTCCGACTCCCTGGTTCAAGCGATTCTTCTGCCTCAGCGTCCCAAGTAGCTGGGATTACAGGCACATGCCACCACACCCAGATAGTTTTTGTATTTTTAGTAGAGATGGGGTTTCACCATGTTGGCCAGGATGGTCTCGATCTCCTGACCTTGTGATCCACCCGCCTCAGCCTCCAAAAGTGCTGGGATTACAGTCATGAGCCACCGTGCCTGCCCGGATATGTGAATATTTTATCTAGCAGTGAATGAAGGTGTGGGGTGCCCAGCAAGGAGCTCTAGGGGTCTCAGTTATGAGGACACAGCAGGAAAAGGACAGACGAGAATGGCAGCATGTGCATGGTCAGTGCTGCCCAAAGGCAGGGCAGGCAGGAGGATGGGGTGGGATGGTGGGGGTCCCAGCAGGCTGGGGGGCAGGGCACCTGCCCGCCTAGCACAGTTGGGCGCAGCAAGCTGAGGGGCCAGAAGAAAACTAAAGGGTGTGGTGATTCCAGCAAACCCAAGGTCAGATTTCAGAGCAGAAAGTTGTCACTTGGAGAGCAGCAAGCATCTGTCCTGTTGATGTAGTCTAGGAGATGCTGTCACATCACCTGATACTCTGGAGTCTTTCTGAGATAGGTTGGCATCCCATTTACCCTGTAACACCCAAAACTTCTTATGTCCTGTTCTCTACCTGGGCGTTGTGCGTGGGCTGGGAACGGGAAAACTCGGGCAGAGCAGAGACACAGAGGGGGCGCCTGCTAGAGACTGCGTGAGGAGCCCACTAGGAGAACCGTGGGATGCCGGGCAAGTCTGCACTGCTGCGCTCTGAAGTCAGCCACAGACACATGGGTTTCCAAGCGAAGCTCCCTCCCCATGTGATGGAGGTCACAGTCGCCCTCCCTGTCATGCCTCCTTTCACCCTCCCAGCTGGGTCAGGTCCCCAGTCAGAGGCAGAGGTGAGCACAGTCTTGGGAAGCAACCTGCGGTCCACCCCCACCGCTCAGCCCCGCCTTTACAGCTGCGTGCGCTTCAGCCCTGGGAGGGCTGATTCTCACAGAGCTCGAGCTCCTTGGTGGTCCTGGGACTCAGCTCTCCTGGGTGCCGGTCAGGACCCCCATCGCAGTCCCGTGTGCATTTGGGAACCAAGTCCTTGGGGCTTGAGTGTAAATGGTCCTTCTGTAAGAAAGCTGATTCTGGCACCAACAGAGAGGCTGCCTCAGATGAAGAGTGTTAGCACCCGAAGGGACCCCCAGGCCTGTCCTGACCCTCCCACCCCTGCTGTCGGCCCAACTTGTGTCCCTTTCCTGGAAGAACTGCTTCCGGCGGCCAGTGTGCTATGCTTCCTCCTGGCTCTGCCCTGCACCCCCAGAACAGCCCCTGGGCTTACGGGAGACACTAGTCTCTGGGCTTCTGCAGCCAATCAAGCTGCTGGGCCCTCCCTCCCAAGCACTGGAGGAGGTACTCGTTCTGTGGGCCGGGGCCCCTCCCTCCTGAGCACTGGAGGAGGCACTTGTTCTGTGGGCCACGGCCCCTCCTTCCCCAGCACTGGAGGAGGCACTGGTTGTGTGGGCCCTGGCTCCTCCATGTCTGAGGGAACTGCTCTGCTTCTCCTACAGTCCCTGAGATTCTGCAGCTCAGCGATGCCCTGCGGGACAACATCCTGCCCGAGCTTGGGGTGCGGTTTGAAGACCACGAAGGTGGGTGAGCCCTTGCTGTTTGCTACAAAGTTACCAGGAGCTTGGAGAGGTGTCACAAGGAGAGCTCCCGGGGCTGGGCTGAGGCTCATGCTTCATGATTGCTGATGCAGAATCCCAAAGTGGCAGCCCCATGGGTCCCCCGGCGCCATTCCCACGCTGGCCAGCCTGGCAGGGGCAGGGGAGCACCCCGTAGCTCCTTCCCACTGCTGCGTGTGGTGGTGTCACCTCCCCTGCGCATCATCTCCCCTAGGGGCCTGGCTGCCCGCTGCCCCTGTTGCTACCGCCTTTGAAGCTCTCAGCTGAGGAACCAGCCTGTATCCTGTACACTGTCAACAGATTGCATGCTTGTTCTCCCACTTCGTGGAGGTCTTTTTGTTCCACAGAAAGTTAATTTTTTTGTTTTTTATTTTCAATTTTTATTTATTTGTTTATTGAGACAGAGTTTCGCTCTGTCGCCCAGGCCGGAGTACAGTGGCGCGATCTCGGCTCATTGCAACCTCTGCCTCCCGGGTTCAAGCGATTCTCCTGCCTCAGCCTCCCGAGTAGCTGGGATTACAGACGCCCATCACCACGCTCGGCTAATTTTTGTATCTTTAGTAGAGACGGGGTTTCACTGTGTTGACCAGGCTAGTGTCGAACTCCTGACCTCAAGTAATCTGCCCACCTCGGCCTCCTAAAGTGGCATGAGCCACATGCCCAGCCTTAGTTTCAGTTTTTATGGATACATAATAGTTGTACATATTTATGGGCTATGTGTGATATTTGGATACATGCGTATGAGGTACTATGATCAAATCTAGGTAACTGAGATGTCCATCACCTCAAGCATTTATCATTTCTTTGTGTTACGAACCCTCCAATTCCACTCTTCCACTCTGCCCCTGGTAATTTTAAATCTCAGATGTCATGTCCTATTTTCCTACTCCTGGCTGGCAAGACCTTCCTACCTTCTCGTTACAAAATGTTCTCGCCAGGTGTGGTGGCTCATACCTGTATCCTAGCACTTTGGGAGGCTGAGGTGGGTGGATTACCTGAGCTCAGGAGTTCGAGACCAGCCTAGGCAACATGGTGAAACCCCGTCTCCACTAAAATACAAAACATTAGCTGGGTGTGGGCTCCTTGGGCAGCTGAGACACGAGAATTGCTTGAACCCGATAGGCAAAGGTTGCAGTGAACTGAGATCGTGCCACTGCACTCCAGCCTGGATGACAGAGCAAGACTCTGTCTCAAAAAAAAAAAAAAAAAAATCACACACACACAAACCAAAATGTTCTCCTGTGCTTCACTGCTGCTATGGAGGTTTTTGTTTGTTTTTCTCCTGTGGGCCCTCGCTCTGACTGGGCAGCACCGCATGGTCTGGGCAGGGCAGGGCAGGGCAGGGCTGGCCCCGCAGTGGGGACGGCCCACAGAGCCCAGACTCTTCTCACACGCAGTTTATTTTGCAGGACTGCCCACAGTGGTGAAACTGGTAGACAGAAACACCTTATTAAAAGAGAGAGAAGAAAAGAGACGGGTGAGTAAAGTGAAAATGACTTAAGCGTGATATTTGTTGAAAATGTAAAAACCATTGCGATTATTACATAGTTTACTTTTTAAGCATTGATGTTTACACTTTTATTAAAATCCCAGTATTTATAAATGTCAGAAAGAAAAATTAACTAGTATCTTCTAATGAAGGACCTCTTTTAAAAAGATTATTCCCTCAGTTTAAGTGAAAACCAGTCACTTTTGGCAAACTGTGAAGCTGACTTTTTTTTTTTTTTTTTTTTTTGAGACGGAGTCTCACTCTGTTGCTCAGACTGGAGTGCAGTGGCACGATCTTGGCTCACTGCAACCTCCACTTCCCTGGTTCAAGGGATTCTCCTGCCTCAGCCTCCCAAGTAGCTGGGACTACAGGCACGCACCACTGTGCCCAGCTAATTTTTGTATTTTTTTAGTAGAGATGGGGTTTCACCATGTTGGTCAGGCTGGTCTCAATCTCCTGACCTCGTGATCCACCCACCTTGGCCTCCCAAAGTGCTGGGATTACAGGCTTGAGCCACCACGCCTGGCCCGAAGCTGACATGTTAAGATCCCAGTCCCACCGTGCCCTCACCTGAGTGGCGCGTGTCACTGATGCATCTCCACCTCCTATTCCCAGCATACTCCCCACCTGCACCCCACAACGCCCCCAGGATCAGGGATGGCCCAAGTTCCTCGGTGCCCAATAGGACAGAAGAACAGGAACAAAAACGCAATGTCAGAATCTCTGGGCACAGCGCATGGGGTACCCTGGGATGCAGGCAGCAGGATGAGAGGCACCTGGGCCCCCAGTGCACACCATGGGAGGTGGGCCATGGGGGCTGTTGCCACCAGCAGGTGGGTCCCCAAGAGGCTTAAAGCAGGAGACCACCGTGGAGGGCGAGTTTGGATGCCACAGCTCTCAGGAAGGAGGCTCTGGGAGGAACTGAGGAAGGAGAATCGACAGGGTGGTTGATTGATAGATGGGATGTACAAGGTCAGGGAAGGCATCTATGCCTAGCCCTGCACTGGCCCAAGGCACGAGGGGAGAGCTCATGCCAGATCCAAGTGTGGGTGGCTGGAGTTTGCAGTGCTTTGGAGGAATAACGAACTGGAACTCTGGGGAAAGCTCTAGACAGTGGTGAGTGGTCTGCAGGTCCATCCTGGTTGGCAGGTTGGGAAGAGCTGGGCTTGCCCTGTGAGGTTGGCTGGTGTGACTGCCTCATCAGGGCCCCTCCCCATTCCATCACAGTCACTCACCTAGCCTTGGGTCTCGCCTGCCGTGCTGTGCTGTGAGGTGGCCTGGTGCTGGCTGTGCAGACGCCCTGGCTTGCTGCACTCCCTGGCAGAGTGCTCAGAAGCAGGAAACAGACAAGAGGAGCGCCAGGGTGGCCCGGCCAGAGCCTCACAGGCCTTGCACTCTTTGTGCTGGCCTTTCCACTGGCCACCTTGGCTGTGGCCTGTGACTTCTAGTAGCTCCTGTTTCCCAACCAAGGGACTCTTACCTCACCAAGCTGCTGCAAGAAGGCATCCCCAGGCCCGAGGCACCATGGGGGAGGGGTCCTGCCTCTCCCTGTACCATTCCCACCAGCACATAAACACATACTAACTTTTAAAGGGAAAAAGCAGAAATCCTGAGCACTGTGTCTCTGGTTCCTCCAAGCTCAGTGCCCAGCTCCTCCCCCACCTCAGCCCCTTTCCCTCGGCCAGCCCTGCTCTCCCTCCATCTATCTCGAAAGAGCTCGATCCTGTTGGCCCCAGCCCCATCCTGAGTCTCTGAGACCTTTGTGCCTTCCTGGTTTCTTTTCCCTAGCTCTGTGTGTGGCGCCTCCCCAGGAGACCTTATCTGGTCCTGCGGCTTCTCCACCATCTATCTTGTAGCCGGTGGCCCAAAAACAGTTTGCCCAGCTGCCTACCTGATAGCTCCACTGGGCCAGGAAGCCTCTGATATCTAGGCTGTCCAAAGTAAATGTGATTTTCAACTCCCCAAACTTGTTCCTCCTTCCTGCCATGGAGGGCGTGCCTACCTGATAGCTCCACTGGGCTGGGAAGCATCTGAAACCTAGGCTGTCCAAAGGAAAGGTGAAAATGTGATTTTCAACTCCCCAAACTTGCTCCTTTTCCGTCAGTGGAGGGCATGTCTGTTCGTGCAATGGCTCAGGCCAGAACCTCCCAAAGCAACCGAGGGCTTCCCTCACCGGCACCCAGCCTGCTGGCTCCACTAATAAGCTCTCCCTGCAGCATCAGACTGTCCTCGCCCCTGCCCGGGTGCTGCCTGCTGGTTGGAGTGGGCTCTGGTCTCCTCACCTAGCCCCCAAGGCTGCCCTCCGCCCACCATCCCCATCCTGCCCTGGCGCTCTTGCTCCTTCCCAGGTACCCCAAGACCCACTCAGGATAACCCTCACAGTGCTGTCCTGGTCATTGCCTTACAGATCCTCTCTCCTTGGGCCAGGCTCACCATGCTGGTCCATTTCTTCATGTTAGTGGTGCCTGGATCTTTTAGCATTGGTTCTGTTTGTCTGCCTGCTGCATACCTTTGCATCTAGGGCAGGGCCAGGCACCCAGGGGTGCCGCTGAGGATCCCCAAAGGGAATGGAAGAGGGTCGGTGTGCTGCCCGGCACATGGGCTTGTCTCCCCACAGTGGGGAGGGCCTGGTCAGAGTTCAGCCCTCCATGCCAGGCCCTAGGAGAGGGGCTTGTTTGGCTAGACCTCTCACTCCGAGAGACCCAGCAGCCTGAGGCAGCCCTGTCTCATCTGGCTCTGTATTGACCCTCCAGGTTGAAGAGGAGAAGAGGAAGAAGAAAGAGGAGGCGGCCCGGAGGAAACAGGAACAAGAAGTAATGCATTTTGTTTGGGGGTGAGGGCTCTACTGGGCAGGAGTGCACCCTGACCCCATGCCCTGTGGCTCTCTGTGCCTCCGTGGACCTTAGCCAGGCCCCTGCAGACCCTCACAGAAGGAGCTCCGCTTTCTGCCTCCACCACCCAAGGCCTGCCAGGCCCTTCTCACATGGGGTGCAGGGAAGGCCTGGCCAAGGGGAAGGCTGTGCCATGTGGTCACAAGCTCCAAGACAGCGTTTATAGACTTACTACTATTAGGTTTTCTAGTAAGCTTTCCACTATTCCTGTAGAAATAACATCTGGTTTAATTTTAAATTCCTTGTATGTTCCCTCCACCTTGGCTTTCCCCTTCCCATCTTTCATAGCACTCTGAATCTGAGGGCTTGGAAGCAAGTTGAGGGCTGGAGGTATGAGCAGATGTCGTTCACAGTGCGGAGCCCCAGGTGCTGCTCGGGGGCAGTGACTGTGCCGTGTTGCGTGTTCTAGGCAGCAAAGCTGGCCAAGATGAAGATTCCCCCCAGTGAGATGTTCTTGTCAGAAACCGACAAATACTCCAAGTTTGATGAAAATGTAAGCATGTAAGCATCCTTCTCTTCTATTCAGAACTTGATCAGACCACATTAAAGTGGGAGGACAGGAATTTTCAACCTTGGACAAGCAGATTTTCTGTCTGTAGAAAATTTGGAATCAAATCTGACACCCGCTTTAGGTCCAGGGCCTCCTGGCCCAACTACTGAGCTCCTTCCACAGCCCAGGCAGCTAGGCAAGCCCGTGCCAGGGCCCCCTCCACTGGTGTGGTGAGCTCTGGTCCCTAGCCCTGGGAGTTGTGGCCCCGGGCCAAGATCCACCCAGGCCCTCACAAGCTGGCTGAAGTGCCGTGGCGCAGATAGGCCTCCTACCCCCAGTTTCTTCCTTTGTCATAGCGATTCACAGCCACTGCCTCCAAACCTCTAGGCCCCTCCCTGCTGGCATTTGGATGTGTTTGCTATGTACCTTTGGGCCAGCTGTGTCAGAACTCAGCCATGGGTAGGCTCTGAGGGGCACAGTGCCCCTCACCTTAGGCAGGAAGCACCCCCAGACTCTGGTCGCCCCTCTCCCATTCTTAGCTGCTGGAGCCAGCACTGCCAGATGAGTGTGCTGGCTCCAGAGCAGTGTGGTGACTGAATGTCCAAGCAAGAGGACATGGCTGCATCAGGGAGATAGACACTTTGAGACGGGAGGGCAAAGAAAGGGGAGTTGGGGTTACCCAGGTGCAGAGGAGACCAATAGCCGCTGTGCTCTGGGTTTTCAGGGTCTGCCCACACATGACATGGAGGGCAAAGAGCTCAGCAAAGGGCAAGCCAAGAAGCTGAAGAAGCTCTTCGAGGCTCAGGAGAAGCTCTACAAGGAATATCTGCAGATGGCCCAGAATGGAAGCTTCCAGTGAGGGGGCACAGGACTGACTTTTTAAACCATTGTGGACTAGTGGCTGCTGTCTGCCTCAGTGACAATGTCCCAGCGCTCCTATCATGTTTACAGTCACCCTTGGGTCCTAAATTAAGAGTTGTGTTCATGTAGGTTCGTGTCGTCGTTGGCTCTGAGACATTGATAATAAATTTTTCTCAACAGTGAGACCCTCTCTGTCTTGTTCTGCATGTTCAGCACTTGGCAGGAGGCCTGGTGGCCAGCCAGGGCCGCTTGGTCAGCAGGTCACAACTTAGGTGCTTGGGTCAGTTGAGCTGCTTCAGCTGGCCGAGGAATTTCTCCCCCATGCTGATGGCTATCGGCTAATCTCTGGTGTGTGGGCACATTGGGAGGTATTTGAGTAGGAAAAAGACAGGCTCAGACTGGCAGAGCCTGCTGAGCCCTAGACAAAGGCCGCTCAGTCTGCCCTCGGGTTCTGATGAATAAACACACTGCAGGTTTTCCTAGAGCCGTTCCATACTGGGCAGCAGCACAGCGAGTGGCTCAGCAGGCAGGCCCCTGGCGAGCTGCCCAGAACTGCCGCTGGAGACAGCAAGTCCAGGATCTGCATGGCTAATGAGTGAGTTGTGGGGGTGGTCTCAACACAGCAGGGGCCTTCTTGTCCCCAGTGCCCAGTGTTGTCCTTGCCACCCTGCCTCCACACCTGGTTCACCTGGACTAAGAATCACCACCCAGACGCGAAGGTGCTTACCCATCCTTGGCTGAGGAGGGCGTAAGCAGAAACCACAGCCTGCTTCATGCCTGCGGAAGCTGGTGCCAGGCCATATCCATCGGGACAAAAGACAGTCATTGGTGCTGTGGACATCCAGGGGGGGACACTCCATCCAGTGCATGTGGATGGTGGCAGCAGCCTCAGCATGGGGAGTGTGGCAGTGTTGGGTTGTGGGTGCGCCAATTCTTTGTCCTTGCCCTCCGCATGCGCATGCTGTTTACTGCAGTAGTGTGTGACACAGCAAAAGGCTGGAACCAGCCTGTCTGTGCATCAGCAGGGTGCTTGGCACAGCTTGAGAGCACCCACCCAATTATGCAGGGAGCACTAAGGTTATAAATCAATGAGGACAGTCTCTGGGTATTGATAGGCCTGACTTTGAACCTTGTCAGTATTTTATATATAAAAAAATTTAAACCAGCAAGAAAGAAAAGTCCCCCAAACAAAGTAAAACAAACATGTTCCAGTTATCTGTTGCCACTTAACAAATCACCCCAAAACTTCATGGCTGAAAACAACAATGATCATGTTAATAACTCATGGCTCTGGATTGACTGGGCTCAGTTGATTGGTTTTCAGTTGCAGGCAGATGGGGTCATCTCTAAGTTTGTGCCTGGGTCCCACACTAGGGCTGCTTGGGCACCTTTTACCTCTGTGAGACCTGTGTGTGATCTCTCCAGCTTGGCGGCTTCACGGTGGCTGATTTCTGTTGCAACAGCCTATAGCTCCAAAGGTGCGAGTCCTGAGAGAGAGAGAGACAGGAGCTATATGGCCTTTTAGGATCTAACCTCGGAGGTCATGTCCTGACTTCCACCGTCCTCCCTAGCGGAGGCCGTCACAAGGCCCACCCACGTTCGTGCGGAGGGGGAGGCATAGACACTACCCTGTGGTGGGCATTACTGGGTTCCAGAAGGGATGGGAAATACTACTGCAGCTATTTCAGAAAGTACCATCTGGCACAAAAACATAAATCAAATTGGCAACCTCAAGAAAAGAACTTCAACTTTCTGAGAATTGGCCATTTTTTGCTACACATCTTTAATGGGGTATCTTCTAAGGTCAAAGAAAGTACAGAAAAGTCAATTCAATAGTTTTGTTGTTAGTAATAACATTGGCATTATAATTTTCAAACCCTGTATGCCAACACAAATAAGATCACTGACACCCAGGCTGGAGTGCAGGGAAGCAATCTTAGCTCACTGCAACCTCCGCCTCCCGGGTTCAAGCTATTCTTCTGCCTCAGCCTCCCAAGTAGTTGGGATCACAGACACGCGCCACCATGCCCAGCTAATTTTTGTATTTTTAGTAGAGATGGGGTTTCACCATATTGGCCAGGCTGGTCTTGAACTCCTGACCTCAAGTGATCCGCCCGCCTCAGCCTCCCAAAGTGCTGGGATTACAGGTGTGAGCCACTGCGCCCAGCCTAGCAATCAAGTTTTTAATGTAAGACGATAAAATATCAAAGAAGTCAAGGAAAATCACTTTACTATTAAATACGAATTAGAAAAAACAATATGAAGTAACTTGTGATTTTAAAAAGTAGATTGTTTCCTGACTGTGTAGATGGGAAGGGTGGAGAAGCAAGGCAGCCCTGGTGGCACTGAGCAGCCCCAGCCCCGATCTGGGGCTCTAAACCCCATCCCACCCCCTGGAGAAATGGCCAGTTCCAGGTCTGCAGCAGCAGGAGTAGCTGAGCCCAGGCACTCTTGTGCCCCAAAAGGGGAGCTTTCGAACACCAAGAAGTCAGGTCAGGAGGACACTGGACAAGGTAGTGACACATAGCAGCTGGGTGGTATGTGTCAGGGGCATTCTGCTGGGTTTGGAAAAGCCACCCCTGAAAGGTTGCATGCCATGTGATTCCACGTAGATAACATTCTCAAGTAGGAATAGAGAACAGATGGTGGTAGCTGGGGTTAAAGATGGTGGGGGGGCGGGGGCAGGTGGAGGGGAGTGACTGCACAGGGACAGTAGGAGGTGGGGTTGGTGGGGAGGGCACTTCTGTGTTCTTGTTTCCATGGTGATCACACAAATCTGCATATGTGATAGCACAACGTAGAGTCACACACATTGTACCAATGTCAGTCTCCTGTGTTGATCTTGAACTCTGGCCAGGCAAGGTGTGACCATCAGGAAACAAACTGTGCAGTTTTCTGGAAACCTATAATTACTTTAAGGCTTCAGGAGCTCCTACTGGCTAAGTTTGGGACAATTTGAGCATTGAAAAGAATGATTCCAGCCAGGGCAACATAGCGAGACCCTGTCTCTACTAAAAGTCAAAAAAATTAGCCGGTGTAGTGGCGCACTTGTGATCCCAGCTACTCAGGAGGCTGAGGTTGGAGGATTGCCTGAGCATGGGAGGTGGAGGCTGCAAGTGAGCTGCGATCATACCACTGCACTCCAGTCTGGATGGCAGAGCAAGACTCTGTCTCAAAACAAAAAACAAAAACAAACAAACAAAAAAAAAACTCCAGGCATCTGTATTTATTCTCAAAACTAGAGAAAGCTAAAACATATTGTCGTTACTGGAGGTGGCCTGTGTCAGCTCCTTTCTGTAGAGTTACTCATTAGTGACAGAAGCAAGTATTTTACCTTGCATGGGAAGTATATTTCAGGGCCACCAAATGGCCCTAGCTGAAAGGGGAAAGTTGTTCTTTCCCCCAAAGATGCCAGCTAAGGGAAGAAGCACCAGGATCAGACATCTCCATTCTGCAACCCCGAATGAAGTCATTGATTCAGGCAGGGGCTGACCGCGGATGCTGAGACCCCTGGATGAAAGCTGGTAGGTGCTGGATAATTTGATGCCAAAGTGTCACCTTGTGAGTAACTTGTAGGTTTCCAGGAGGGGATACGTGTTACTTTCTGATGTTGGGCCCTGGCTGTCAGCCCCCCAACAAAAAGAAGGATTTCCTCTAAAAGTATAAGTCAGTATTGAATGCAGCTTTTAGGCTAGGGCTCCTTAACCTTGAATGTGCGTATAAACTGCCCAGGGTTGCTTGTTAACACAAATTTCAGTTCAGGTCTAGGAGGAGCCCAAGATTCTGCATTCCTGCAGTCTCCCAGCTGTGGCCTGTGCTGCCGGGCTACAGCCCCCTCAGGAGCAAGGCTGTCCAGCTCACTTCCTGTCTGCAGGAAATACTGGGAACAGAGGGAGAATGCAGGTGAGGCCATGAAGCAGCCACCACATTTGTGCAGAAGGTGGGGCATTCTGCCAGATGCCCGGCTGGCATCTTCAATACGTCTGCGTCAAAGGGAGCAGAATAGGGCAGAAGAGAAGGACTGGGAGAGACTCGAGAAACAAAACCACCAGGTTTGAGGGATAATCTTTGAAGGATTTGAACAAACCTGCTGTAAAGACATTTCAAAGGGGGTCGGGCACAGTGGCTCATGCCTGTAATCCCAGCACTTTGGGAGGCTGAGGCAGGCGGATCACCTGAGGTGGAGAGTTCAAGACTAGCTTGACCAACATGGAGAAACCCTGTCTCTACTAAAAATACAAAAAAATTAGTTGGGCATGGTGGCACATGCCAGCTACTCCGGAGGCTGAGGCGGGAGAATCGCTCGAACCCGGGAGGTGGAGGTTGCGGTGAGCCGAGATCTCGCCATTGCACTCCAGCCTGGGCAACAAGAGCGAAACTCCGTCTCAAAAAAAAAAAAAAAAAAAAAATTTCAAGAAATTTGAATGACCAGGTATTGGATGACAGTCAAGATTTTTGCTAATTTTGTTAGTGTGATAATGGCGGCTGCATGGAGAGGTGTCTTTAATGAGATACAAAGTAGCCTGAAACCTGTAACTCAGTATCCTTTAGCCAAGGAAACTGATGAAGTGCAGCCGGCACTGCAGCAGCAGCAATCCCTTCCACAGTGTATCCTCTTTACTGGCCTGTGCTGGAAACCATGTATCAAATATCCTGACAACTGGGCCATGAGGAAATACCCTTGTCTTTAGCTGCCACCACTGGGGTGAGCGGAGGTTGGCCCAAAGCCGCGGTGCCATCCAAGGAGGCAAGAAGGAGTGGCGTGTGCCCCATTTCCAGTGGTGGCTGCACAAAAACGTATCCAGATTGCCAGGGGCACGCCTGGTCCCCACAGCTGGTGAAGGCCTGGCTCCACCTGGACTGCAGTAGGGCCAGGCTGTGGCCCCTGTTTCACGCCCCCCAATTCAGAGTGATTCTGGGCCGCTTTTCTGCCTGGAGTTTCCCCGTTCTGAGGGCCCACTGCCCGGTGCGCCTTCTCTCTGCCCTTCCCTGACTTCCTCCAGTCTCCCCAGGCTGGGTCCGAGGGCCTGCAGTGACAATAGGCTGGCTGGGCCCAGGCCATTGGCTTGGCCCCCAAGAGGACCCCAGCACCTCCCTACCCTGCAATCTCTTGCTGTCAGGCTGCAGCAGATCCTTCTGGAACAACGTGGGGTGGACACTTTTCTTGTATAATATTAGTTTGCCTGTGGAAAGTGTTTCTTTTCTGTACATGAAAGCTCTGTTCAGCTGTAAGAGCCAGATTTACATCTTCCTGTTTTTCCCCAAAGAGCAATCTTTGGTGTCTTTACTATAAAAACGTCATGTATTCATTATTTAAAAATAAATAATACGGAAAACTTCCAATATAAAGTAGAAACTGAAAGACCCCGTGCCCTACCTCTCAAATCCCTACAACATTTGGGGTACAGTCTTCCAGATGCCTTCTTTCTGAGGCCGGGAAGCTTGCAAAGGCACTCCCTGTCTGCGCACCCCTCTTGTGTGGAGTACGCCATGGGTGTTTTCTGTTCTCCATATACCAGGAGAAACCAGCCACCTCTCTTGGATGTCTCCAGGGCCCCACTTTGTTAATGCCCCACAGGCTGAGCCCCCAGCCTACTGAGGGGGCTTTGGGCATTTCTGAGGCCTCGGCTCCAGCTCTTGGCGGCTGCGAGGTCTTTTGAGGAGTAGCGCCCCCACCACAGGTGAAGGGCATGGCCGCCCCCTCCAGGGCCAGAGCCACTTAGCTGGGGGCGTTAGAGGGGTTTCTCTGTTTTCTCCTCTGTTGAATGGGGCAGTGATTGCTGCCTCTACTTCCAGGCCAAGGTGTAGCCATTGTCAGTAGCGCCCAGGTAAGGGCACAGCTCGCCAAGTGCCAGGCACTTTTCCGGGTGCTGGCAATGTGAAGAAGAAACACGTGGTGTCTGTCCGGGACTGTCTCCCGGAGCCTCAGTGAGGACAAGGCAGCCAAGAGCAGAACTACAGGCAAGGTAGCCTCTGGAGGGGACTCTTGATCTCCAGGTTGGAGGAGGCTGAGGCAGCAGAGGGGTTGTAGACAGGTGGGCTCATGCCTGAGGCCTGGCAGAGGCAGCGCTGGGAAAACAGGAATGAAACTCACCAAGCGCCAGCTACCCTGGGAGTCCTGATCCCAGTGGCCCTCAGCTCTGGCTGCATGTCAGTGTCATCTGGGGACTTCTTTGTTTTGACACAGGGTCTTGGTCTTGCTCTGTCACCCAGGCTGGAGTGCAGTGGCATGATCACAGCTCACTGCAGCCTCTAAATCCCAGGCACAAGTGATCCTCCCACCTCAGCCTCTCAAGCAGCTGGGACTATAGATGCACCACCATGCCTAGCTAATTTTTAGATATTTGGTAGAGATGGGATCTCATCATGTTGCCCAGGCTGGTCTCGAACTCTTGGGCTCAAGCAATCTGCCCACTCGACCTCATTACCTAATTGCATCTGTGAAGACTCTATTTCCAAATGAGAATCTTCCAAGGAGAGAAACCACCAACCACCAAGAGAAAAACACCACCACCACAATCATTCCAGTTCCAGCAGATCTCCCAGGGAGCAGGTCCAGCTGCCCCCAGCCCCAAGGCCCAGCTCCCTCAGAGGATCCACCCACCCGGATGCCACCCCCACCAACCCCAACATCCAGGAGCAGGGGGATCCCATTACTGCAAATGGTCTTGAGACTTTATTAGATGGGAGGAAGGACCCTCCAAACTTCAAATGCCCAGGTTCTTGTGTCATTTCTATCATTGTTTATGCTTCCGCAAAGCATAAAGCATGACCTTTGTAGAAAAGTCTGAAAGTCTAAATAAGTAAAATAGGAATTGAGAGCACACACACCCTCTCCTAAAACACAGATGGCCAGACAGGACTGAGCACGCTGTGTGGGTCAGGCCTCAGCCATGCACCGGTCACCTCTGAGGGGTTTTTATGTTTTTTGTTTTAATTAGTTTTTTTTTTATTTTTTATTTTTTGAGATGGAGTCTCGCTCTGTCGCCCAGGCTGGAGTGCAGTGGTGCGATCTCGGCTCACACTGTAAGCTCCGCCTCCCGGGTTCACGCCATTCTCCTGCCTCAGCCTCCCGAGTAGCTGGGACTAGGGCGTCCGCCACAATGCACGGCTAATTTTTTTGTATTTTTAGTAGAGACGGGGTTTCACCGTGTTAGCCAGGATGGTCTCGATCTCCTGACATCGTGATCGGCCCACCTCGGCCTCCCAAAGTGCTGGGATTACAGGCTTGAGCCACCGCGCCCGGCCTTTTTTTTGTCTTTTTGAGACAATGTCCCCCTCTGGTTACCCAGGCTGGAGTGCAGTGGCCCAATCTCTGCTCACTGCAGCCTTGACCTCACGGGCTCAGGTAATTCTCCCACCTCAGCCTCCCAAGTAGCTGGTATTACAGGCCTGAGCCACCACGCCTGGGTAATTTTTTGTTGTTGTTGTTTTTGGAGCAGGGGAAGGGTGCTCTATGTTGCCCAGGCTGGACTTGTTGCCTCTGCCTCCCAGAGTGCTGGGTTTACAGGCCTGAGCCACGGCGCTCCGCATTAATTTCTTTTTAGAGATGAGGTTTCACTATGTTGCCCAGGCTGGACTTGAATTTCTGGGCTCAAGGAATCCTCCTGCCTCAGCCTCCCAGCTTACCTCTGAGGTTTATAACCGACGCTATGTTCTTAATCCCTCAACCAGGAGCCTTTAAATGGTTTCAAATTTTCCCCATTACAGGAATAACTTGCTAATAATAATAATAATTAGCAATTGTTTCAAAAGTAACGTCATCCCAAAAGAGAACGTTTCTGAAAAAAATGCACATTAGACTTGAAGACCCCCAATGGCACGGTTGAACATGGAAATGAACCAGCCTCAAAAGTCCCAGCGTAGGGGTTATTTTCCAATCAAATTGGATGCCTTTCTACAAAATGTGATGTGCACAGGCTGGGGCTGGTACCTTCACCCCAGCCCAGAGGGCACCATGAGAGGGAGAACAGGGCGGGCGAAACAGGCCAGCTCCTCCCCAGCCCTCTGCCCTGCTCTGCTTCAGGGGGCTGATCTGAGGGCCCAGTGCGCACTGCTTTTCCTCCTTGTCCGACAGGGTCTCCCGCAGGCCAGAACTAGGCTGCTGGGACACTGCGGGGCTCAGGGCGTGGGGGAAGAGATGCAGGCAGTGGCTAGTCCCGTCCTGTCCGCGGAGGTGACCCAGCCCCGACCTCTTCGCAGAGGAAGTGTTCTCCAACCTGGGACCTGGGGGATGAGCGGGGGTTAGGCTTACGTCCCAACCACTAACGGGGCTGGTTGAAAACGGCTCCCAGGCGGAGGGGCCCTCCGCGATGTTCTCAAGGAGTAGCGCGAGGGGACGACATGGGAGGTGGGGTTCTCACATCAGCGGGCGCACGGAGTGCTGGAGGCACCGACCCGCCGCGGACGGGATTGAACTAGGGAACTGGGAGGGCGCAGGAGATAAAGACGGCTGGGGCCGGGGCCCACGGAGAGGGGTGGTGCCCAGTGTCCCGCGAGGATGTGGTGCCACCCGGGGAAGGTCCCGGGAGCGGGGACCCGGGACCCCCCGGAACCACACACGCGGTCTCCACCTTGCCCCGCCCCATTTAAAGAGGCGGAGGAACGCAGGGCGCGCGCCGCGCGGAGGAATATTTGCATATGGCGCGGCGTTTCTTCGGAGGCTTGTGATTGGTTGCTGACTGCGGCGCGAAGCGCAGTTGACTTGCGCCGCGCTCGGCGAATCGCAGCCTGTCTTGCTCGCGGAGAGAGGAGCTAGGAGCCTCGGCCAATGGGAGCCGGCGTTGTTGGAGGCCACGGCGGCGCAGCCCCAAAGCGAGCGAAGCTAGGGTCGCCGCCACTGCCGCAGGAGGCGTGAGGTGCGGAGACACGGGTGCTGGGCCGGTAACGGCGCGCTGGGGAGGGCGGCCGGGCCCGGACGGGCGGGTGGGGCCGCGGGTCCGGCGCGGGCGCGGCGGCGGCCATCTCTGGAAGCCTCGGGGCGGTGGGGCAGGGGCGGGGCCGCGTTCTGGTCGGGGCAGGCAGCGGCGGCCGCGGCGGGGCCTGGGGCTTGGGGCCTGGAGCCCGGGCCTGGGGCGCTGGCGGGAGGCCCCTCCCAACTCCCGGCGCGCCTCGCCCGGCTGCCCGCCTCACTGAAGGTCAAGGCGCTTTGTTCTGCGCCGCGGGCGGCCTCCTGGGCGGCGGCCCCTTGGAGGAGGCGAAGACGGCGAGAGGCGGCGGCCGCTCAAATCTCCCGCTAGCCCAGCCCGCCCCGCGTGCGGGGGCTGTGGCGGTTACACGGCCGGGCGCGCCGGAGCGTTCAGGCTTCCCGTTTTTAAGGTGGAGACGTCCAGGACTTCTTTATTAGATGTTTAGGAATTTGAGTTTTTCCGTAGGGCGGTTGTCATCGTGAGCCTCTGTGGGGTCAGGCTGGGCTAACTGGGGTTTTGATGTCAGTTTGGTGTGGCCGAGGGCATGTCTGACGGGGAAGAAAGTCCTTGGCGTTGCTTCTTAGCTGTTGGGAGCTGTGCGGTGGGAGCGAGCTGGGCGGCGTGCGCTCCCCGAGGACTGGCCTGAGTGGCCTTAGACTAGTTACTCACGGGACTTGGTTTCCCAGCCAAGGTGGGCAGCAAGTCTGTTTACTATTTAAAACCGTCTTTCACAAGGGAAAAGCAAAATCTCCAAAAAAAAAAATTGTACATGTTATGGATGGGAAAGTGCCATGCTTTTCTTTCAGTTCAGAGATGGTGGAAGAGGTCACATTTGTATTTTTTGACCTGACCAGAGTCTTTGTTGTTTTCAATTTTCCCCTTCTGAATGCTTTCCGTTCACCCCAGCGAAGGATGGCCTGGTCATGATAAGACTTTCCACCGTCCACAGTTCTCTAAGTCTGATTGCGGGGCAGGAGGCAGACATGTTTAGGGTCCAGTAAAGGGGACTCCAGCCTTGGGACCTTTAGACCCTAACGTGTGTGTCACATCACCTGCCTGGGTGACTGTGCGCTCCTCTGGCAGGAAGGTCCGCCATTTCATTATGTTCTCGGAGGAATCGTCGGGGCACATTCGTCTGTGCTTTGGTTCGCATCCCCCAGTCTGCATTACTTTTTCCTGTAGTAACCCGTGCCTTATCCTCCTGCATTAGGTTTACGGGGTGAAAATAGACTTTTAAAAATTCTCTTACCTTAGAAATATACAAATATGTAGATTAGGTTGTTGGACCTTAAAGGTAAGTCTTTCTAAGTTACTACCTTCCTGTAATAGTAACTATACCTCTAAATGACTAATACCTGCACTGCGCACCAGGGACTCTTTCAGCCTGTTTGCGTGTGTTAACTCATTTCATAATCTAATAACCTGAGATAGATGCTATTGTTTTTCCATTTAACTACTCTGGAAGCTGAGGCCCTGGGAGGTTAGGTATAATGACTTGTCCGAGGTGACAAAGCTTAAAGACCCAGGCAGTTTTAACTGTACCCAGGGTTACTGCTTCTGTAGAGGGAATGAAAGAAGTTTTAATGAGAAATTGTTTTCATCATTGTGCTAAGCTTAACTGAACTCTAGCTTACGAGGTTTTGAGCTGGTTGATCATTTCCATCTCAAAATTCTCTTATTCCACAGAATGCCAAATGCCTCCTATAGTAGAATTTTGAGATTCAGACTGGGATGAGCAATTGCTAATGGAATAAATAATATGCAAATGTAAAATGAAGTTCAGAGAAAGCAACGTGGTGATAGAATGGGAAAGTAATCCAAAGATAAAATGAGTGACTACAGAGAGAGAGAAAATTAGTTATTTAGTAGTAGTTCACAAGTTTACTTAGAGATATTTTTACTAGAATTTCAGGGCCTTATGATGTGATTTTTATGAACCATTTTAACACGTTACTGCCGTCTTAAATAGCTGTTATTACATATCCAATTGCAGTCTTTTTTTTTTCCTGGTTGAGCAGTGTTAGCTTCAGAATGTCTGCAGTTATTTGTGCCTATATGTCATATAGGCACATATAACACTTTTGTGAATTTTGTTGTGTAAGCTTTAAATCCGGTACTGTTTTTCAAAATGAATATGGAGTAGTCATTGGAGAAATTGGTTGAATTCTTTGCAGTAGCAAATAAATTTTAATCATTTTTAAGTTTGATAACTTTGGTAAACTGAATTCTGAAAAGTTTACACATGTTTTAGGATGTCCTCAAAATGTACAGGGCATTGTGTTTTGCAAATTAGCCATTTAGCCATCAGATTCTTCTGTAGAATTTTGATCTTTTTGCCCATATGAGAGGTAGTTCTTATTTGTATGGAGGTTAAGTACCTGCGGATGGGATGTGTTCATCACCACTTTACAGTATGAATTTGAATTTGAAACTGAAATGAAAACTTCCTAACCTGTCAGAGTTTTTAGTAGCCTCTTGTTATTGACCGCATGTTAATTCCCTTTGTTAGCTATTCGCAGCTAAGTGTGGGGACTGAAATCTTTATTTTGTTTTCCTTCTTTTGAGCAGTTGATAGTCTCTAGCATCAGGAGGAGGTGACCTCAAATATGTATGTATATATAGTAGTGCTTTTCTTCCTTCCCTTTAGTTGTCTGCAGTTTAAAAATTATTGTGATAAGTTTATGTTGTACTTCCAAAAATGTTGCCAAAGAGCCTATATTTTTCAGTTTGTTTTGGAAGAAAAATACTTTGTGGGCAAGAAGGTGATTTAAATTCCTGACGGCCTAAGAGGCGTCAGCTGTGTGAAATAGGCGAGTGCTGTTACTGCTTGAAACCATGATGGTTTATATTTGAATAAGACAGCAGAGATGAGCTTGTTGGGAGTTTGGCCTGAGATTGCTAGCTAAGGAATGCTTGCTTTTTTGCTTAAAGGGAAAAGTGTTTTAGGCTTCCAGAGTAGAAATCTGATATTACTTCGTTTGATTCTTCGACCACTATGGTGATAGGAAGTAGCTGATCTCTGCAGGAAACTGCTGTTACCTGGCCTCAGCTGAATTTTTGTGGGACCTCCTGAGGTAAGCAAATTTATGCCTCCCGAAACTATAGTTGTAAGGTTTGTCTTTGAGCATATAGTAATGGAAAACCCTTATCAGTAGGTAGATAGTAAATAATTTTGTATTTGGCTGCTAATGAAATTTTTAAGAAATAGTTTGTGGTGATATAAATTAGTTTTCATCTGGCAGTCATTGGTTTTCCACCCTGCCCTCTTAAGAGAGAACAGGGTTGCTTTACTTTGTTTGCCAGAGCTTTACATTTTGCATTTAGTAACAGAGGCATTGTGTTTTTATAGTATGAAAACAACGAAAGATCACTTTGTGATCTTTACTTTTTGATTTTGACCACTTCCTGTGTAACCTTAAGTTTCTTACAAGTATCCCCTGTTAACTGTTAAAAACGAAATGTATGTTCATTTCATGTCCTTGGGACTTTTAAAAATGCGCTGTGCATTATCTGGAAAAGCCTGTTCAAAAACAAGATGAGATAATTTCTGTTTAATTTGTGGTAGAAAGAATGACTGTGCACTTTTATGTGCAAAGGTTTTAAGTATAATAATTAAAATAGTACTTGTTTACTCAGTTACCGAAAAGTAGCTTTCAGTGATTTGCATCTGTTTACTTATTCATGAGCATCTTCTATGTACTGGGCACAGTTCTAGGTACTGGGGCCTCCCGCAGAATAAAACAGAAGTCTTTGTCCTTGTTTCTGCTATGGGAGACAGACGAACAAGTTCAATGGTGGCAGGTGCTTTTGAAAAACAGTGCAGAGGAGTAGGGACTTTGGTGGTTGCAATATGAAATAGGTAGAGAGGGAAGTGCCTTATTGACAAGATGACAAGATCTTTTAATATGTACTGGATTAAGAAGTTAGCCTCATTGAGTCGTATGCTAATGAACTGCCCAGAAAAGAAGGGTGGAGGAGATGGGAGTGCAGCAGTAAAGACTGCTGCGCCCCAAGTAAAATGTAGTGTTTTGGTTAAGGAAAGGAAATCATTTTTTGCTTTCTTCTTGAAACCCCAGGGCTTGGCACCGCAGAAGTCTCTGAAGAGACAGTCTGCTGCTGTTTGGAGGCAGGTATTTCAGTAGATCTTGTAACCAAACATGAATGACTAAGGCAGTGTTTCTCCTCTGTGTCTTCAGAAACTGCTTGAGATGTGTGCATGCAGTCCCGGGCACCATGCGTGCTGGGTACTGGTAACACAGAGACAAGTTGTCATTTGGTAGCAGTGAGTTAAGCAAAGATTTCTTGGCAACCAGTCTCATCCCGAGTCTGTTGCTGGGCCTTGGGACTTCTGTATTGAGCAAGTAGACAGGGTCCCTGCCCTCGTGGAACTTGTTCTTTAGTGGGCAAACATGTATTATTCATTGCTTTTTTTTTTTTTTTTTTTTTGAGGTGGAGTCTCGCTCTGATGCCCAGGCTGGAGTGCAGTGGCGCGATCTCGGCTCACTGCAGCCTCTGCCTCCCAGGTTCAAGCAATTCTCCTGTCTCAGCCTCCCAAGTAGCTGGGATTACAGGTGCTCACCACCACGCCTGGGTAATTTTTGTATCTTTTTAGTAGAGACGGGTTTCACCATATTGGTCAGGCTGGTCTCGAACTCCTGACCTCAGGTGGTCTGCCCACCTGGGCCTCTCAAAGTGCTGGGATTACAGGCGTGAGCCACCGTGCCCAGCCTATTCATTGCTTTTAAACATTATCATGGGCCTGGCATGGTGGCTCACGCCTGTAATCACAGCACTTTGGGGGAAGCTGAGGTGGGCAGATCACCTGAGGGTCAGGAGTTTGAGACCCTCTCCCGCCTTGGGTGACAGAGCGAGACTCCACCTCAAAAAACAACAACAACAACAAAAAACCCAGAACATTATCATGGAAAGTTTAACAACATGATTAACTTCTGATCCTGGAGAGTGGTAATGATAGACTGGATCAGGAGTCTACTGGCCTGGGCAATAGAAATGAAATCTGGACTGTCTCAGGGCTTCGTATAATCACCAGCTTTTGTGGGTGGGGATGTTGGGGTGTCCTACAGGGGTATCTTGATTCCTTCTGAGAACAGATCATTTCTTTGTCCTTTCTGATGTCCTAATCTAAAACATCCAGTACTCCTGGAGGATTTGAACTTGTGCCCAATGGCTGGTCAGACTCTCTTGGATTGAGAATGTTGGATTGCCATTCCTCAGACTGAATGTGGGCCAAGCAATTGTGCTTTAGAAATTTATCTTAGAGTGCGGTGGCTCATACCTGTAATCCCAGCACTTTGGGAGGTTGAGGCAGGTGGATCACCTGAGGTTGGGAGTTCGAGACCAAGTCTGGCCAACATGGTGAAACCCTGTCTCTACTAAAAATACAAAAAAAAAAAAAAATTAGCTGGGCATGGTGGTGGGCACCTGTAACTCCAGCTACTTGGGAGGCTGAGGCAGGAGAAACTGGGAGGTGGAGGTTGCAGTGAGCCGAGATCGCGCCACTGCACGCCAGCCTGGGCAACAAGTGCGAAACTCTATCTCAAAAAAAAAAAAAAAAATTTACTACCATCCCTAATTTTGTAGGATATATAGGATTTGTAAGGAAATTATAAGGAGTCTTGTGAAAACATTAATTACATTTGAATTAATTTTAATCCTTCAGTTATCTCCCATAAAGACATTGAGGACCTTTGAGTTTATTAAGACAGAGTAAATATATAAAAGTTTTGGGGAGTACGACTACACTCTCTAGCTTTGTCTCTCAAACGTGGCCCAATTTTTTTTTCCTTTCTTTTTCTTTTTTTTTTTTTTGAGACAGGGTCTGGCTCTGTCGCCCAGACTGGAGTCTAGTGGGGCAATCTTGGCTCACTACAACCTCCGCCCCCCAGGTTCAAGCAGTTCTCCTGCCTCAGCCTCCTGAGTAGCTGGGACCTCAGGCGTGTGCCACCATGCCCAGCTGATTTTTGTATTTTTAATGGAGATGGAATTTCACCACGTTGGCCAGGCTGACCTCGAACTCCCGACCTCATGTGATCCGCCCGCCTTGGTCTCCCAAAGTGCTGGGATTACAGGCGTGAGCCACCGTGCCTGGCCATGGCCCAATTTTATAGTTACTCTAGCTATGGAGTAGATGTTTTCAGTTCAAAATTAGGAATTTAAGGTTATATTTTGTTACAAAAATCTTTAAAAATTTCATAAGAAAACAGTTGTTTGGGGTACAAAGAAATTAATCCATAAATAGGATTGTTACAGTGACTAATATAAATAAAAGAACATTTGTGTAATCATGGGAATTATTTTATTTTATTTTTCCTCGACCCAATTAACTGGGTGAAAATTTGCTTGCCAGTTCAGATTTAGAATTGTAGACACAGTTAAAGTTTTTGACCTTGGGAGGGAACCTGAACTTTAGAAAACTTACAACATTCTTTTGCCTGGTATCCCTTTCATAATTTAACTTGATTGTCTTTTATTTATTTTTAGTTATTATTTATTAACACAAAATTATATTTATGATGTATAATGCGATGTTTTGAAGTACTATACATTGTGGAATGGCTAAGTCAAGTTAATTCACATTAGGTGGTATACTGATTCTGACAAGAACACTTAACATCTACTCTCAGCAATTTTTCAATTATGTGATACATTGTTGTTAACTATAGTCACCAGGTTGTATAGATCCCTTGATTGCCTTTTAAAAGTGAGAGAACCTTCTGGATGAGTCTTCGGGCTGTGGTTTTATAAGACTAGTATTAAACTGAACATAACATTTAAAACAAACAGATATTTATTTTCCTCAAACCTGTATATTTGATAGTTCCTTATAACTTTCTGTTTTAAGGGTGATAGGGATTGATAAACAAAAATAATTTGTGGTGCTGAAACTTGACTGAACTCTAGCTTGTTTATAATACCACCTCTCTACATTGTCTTTCCTTATTCAGGTTGAGCACTCCTGATCCCAAAATCAAAAATCCAAATGCTCCAAATTCTGAAACTCCGTTAGTGTTGACATTAATGTTACAAGTGGAAAATTTCACACCTGACTTCACGTGATGGATCACAGTTAAAACTTTGTTTCATGCACAAAATTATTTAAAATATTGTATAAAATTACCTTCAGTCTATGTGAATAAGATGTGTGGGAAACGTGAATGAATTTCATGTTTAGATTTGGGTCCCATCCCCAAGATACCTGATCATGTTTATACAAATATTCTAAAATCTGAAACACTTCTGGTCCCAAGCATTTCAGATAAGAGATACTCAACCTGTATAAAGGGTGCAGTGTTTAAAGTAACTTGATTTGTTGGTTTCATATCAAGGAATAGATGTAGTCTATATGCATGGCAGTTACAAAAGTGAAAAGAGACCTGGCCTGCTGTTATGTACTAGGAAATTTGTCTCCATTAACAGTTTCTCAGGTAGCCACTGTCTTCTAGTTTGTGGATGATGAAACTGAGGTCCAGAGGAAGGTTATGCAGAAGAGCATGAGTGGGAATGAGTATGGGGAAGTAGACAGGGCCTGAATTGGTAGGAATGTGTATTCTGCAGAAGGTGACGGGGGACCATTGAAGTGTGTTTGTTAGTTTTTTGTTTGTTTGTTTTTTGAGACAGAGTTTCGCTCTTGTTGCCCAGGCTGGAGTGCAATGGCGAGATCTCGGCTCACTGCAACTTCCGCCTCCTGGGTTCAAGAGATTCTCCTGCCTCAGCCTCCTGAGTAGCTGAGATTACAGGCATGCGCCACCATGCCCGGCTAATTTTGTATTCTTAGTAGAGACGGGTTTCTCCGTGTTGGTCAGGCTGGTCTCGAACTCCTGACCTCAGATGATCCGCTCGCCTCGGCCTCCCAAAGTACTGGGATTACAGGTGGGAGCCACCACACCTGGCCTTTGTTAAAGGGTTTTTAAATCTTCACTGACTAGGGCTGGGTTTGGGTTGCTGCTGTGGTCGTGGTGGTGAGCATAGCCAGCCATTGTAGGGTTTGTTGCCTTTTTTTTTTTTTTTTTTTTTTTGAGGCAGGGTCTTGCTCTGTTGTCCAGGCTGGAGTTCAGTGGCGCAGTGATAGCTCACTGCAGCCGCCAGGCCTCCAACTCCTGGGCTTGAGTGTTGCTTCTGTCTCAGCCACTCAAGTAGCTGGGACCAGAGGCATCAACCACTGTGTCCAGCCTCATTTTTTTTTTTTTTCTTTTTGTTTTGAGACAGTCTCACTCTGTCTCCCAGGCGGGAGTGCAGTGGTGTTATTTCAGCTTACTGCAACCTCTGCCTCCTGTGCTCAAGCGATTCTCCTGCCTCAGCCTCCTGAATTGGGACTACAGGTTCACACCACCATGCCTGGCTAATTTTGTTTTTTTTGTTGTTTTTGTAGAGACGAGGTTTCCCCATGTTGCCCAGGCTGGTCTGAAACTCCTGAGCTTCAGGTGATCTGTGATAGGGGTAGGATTTGAAACCAGGCTGTTCAGTGTGTGTCTGTCTTGTTCTAGGCATTGAGTTCTGGGTTGGTTGGTTCTTTAGTCAAAATTATTTTCTTTTTTATTGTGTAAATTCATTATTTTTTTTCTATCCTTGATTTAGCACTTTTTTTTTTTTCCAGAATACCGTGTTGGGTTTAACTTAACTGCCTTGTCATCTTGTTAACAAAAATTGTATTAAACAGCACATGCCGGGCTGGGCATGGTGCCTCTGTCCTATAATCCCAGCACTTTGAGAGGCTAAGGTGGGAGGATCACTTGAGGCTAGGAGTTTGAGACTGCAGTGAGCTATGATCCTGCCACTGCACTCTAGCCTGGGTAACAGAGTGAGACTGTGTGTCTCTTTAAAAAAGCACAGCCTTCACTTAAATGAAAATTGAGTGAATCATTTTATCAATGGACTCTGTTAAGTTGGAACAGGTACCATTCCATGGGAAGGTGAACCTCTTTGGCTCATGTCCTAACACAGGTGGTTTATGCTTTCAACAGATATTTATTATGCCAGGAACTGTTAGGGGCTCTGGGGCTGCATAGTGAACAGCATCAAAAGGGAGTATTGTCACACTCCATTTGTAGACAAAATGGATTTCTTGGAGATGCTGCTGAACAGTAGGATTTCAACCCTGACTAAGCTGTTGCTTGTCACTTGTTCCAATAGCAGCAACAGGTTTTTTGTTTTTTGTTTTTTTTTGAGATGGAGTCTTGCTGTGTTGCCCAGGCTGGAGTGCAGTGGTGCAATCTTTGCTCACTGCAAACTCCGCCTCCTGGGTTCAAGCAGTTCTCCTGCTTCAGCCTCCCAGTTGCTGGGATTACAGGCGAGTGCCACCATGCCCAGCTAATTTTTGTATTTTTAGTAGAGACGGGGTTTTACCATGTTGGCCAGGCTGGTCTTGAACTCCTCACGTCGTGATCTGCCCGCCTTGGCCTCCCAAAGTGCTGGGATTACAGGTGTTAGCCCCCAGGCCCAGCCTAGCAGCAACAGAATCTTTAATGAGCAAGTAGAAACAGCCAGAAGTGAAGTGGTGTTGGTACTAGGGAAAGGTTAGAAGGAGTCAGATTTGAAACACGAATGCATGTTTTACTAGCCGTGTGACTTTCAATTTGGCACCTCACCTTTCCAAGCCTCAGCTTCTTTTCGTGTAAACTGAGGATAGTCCCTCCCTAGTGGAGTTTCTCTTGGTATTAAATGTATGAAGTGCCTGACATGTAGGTCCCTTGCTAGTATAGGAGGTGCTGGAAATGAAGTATGTGTCTTTACGAGGTGTTACTGATAGGGTGATGACAACAAGAATCTGTCCATTAAACTGACAGTGTTAGATGTTTCCAGGTTAGTAGGCTTCTTTCAGCAATTAGTGTGTATGTGTGGGGTAAGGAAGGTGCTATGAGATACATTTCTTAGGCAATAGAGAGCTTCAATTAAGTAGCCAAATTACAGTTGATGTTATTGTGTAACTGTTTTGGCAGTATGTATCAGAATCCATTCATGCTCTTTGACCCAGAAATGCTACTGTAGCGGTCCTGCTATTGCCATATCAATTAAGGATAACTGGGAGTGGGAAGCCATATAAGCCAAGATGTTCATAGAGACATTATCAAAGGTATATAACAGAAAAAAACACCTCATTCTTTAACAGCTGGTAAGTGGTGTTTTAGCTCTTAGAATGTTGTCCTTAAACAATTGTTATGAAGTCTGACTGTCTCACACCTTGCATTTAGAATATGTGAGAAGGGAACTAACCTCAGGAATACTGTGATTGCAGCAAACATGGTGGAGGAGCGTGAGTGGGAATGAGTGTGGGGAGGTAGACAGGGCCTGAATCAGTAGGAATGTGTATTCTGCAGAAGGTGACGGGGGACCATTGAAGGGTGTTTTGTTTGTTTTTGAGACGGAGTTTTGCTCTTGTTGCCCAGGCTGGAGTGCAGTGGCTTGATCTTGGCTCACGGCAACCTCTGCCTCCTGTATTCAAGCGATTCTCCTGCCTCAGCCTCCCGAGTAGCTGGGATTACAGGCGTGTGCCACCATGCCCGGCTAATTTTGTATTTTTAGTAGAGACGGGTTTCTCCATGTTGGTCAGGCTGGTCTCGAACTCCCCACTTCAGGTGATCCGCCCACCTCAGCCTCCGAAAGTGCTGGGATTACAGGTGTGAGCTACCACACCTGGCCTCCGTTAAAGGGTTTTTAAATCTTCACTGACTAGGGCTGGGTTTGGGTTGCTGCTGTGGTCATGGTGGTGAGCATAGCCAGCCATTGTAGGGTTTATTGCCTTTTTTTTTTTTTTTTTTTTTTTTTTTGAGACAGGGTACTTGCTCTGTTGTCCAGGCTGGAGTTCAGTGGCGCAGTCATAGGTCACTGCAGCCGCCAGGCCTCCAACTCCTGGGCTCGAGTGTTGCTTCTGTCTCAGCCTCTCAAGTAGCTGCGACCAGAGGTATCAGCCGCTGTGTCCAGCCTCATTTTTTTTTTTTTCTTTTTGTTTTGAGACAGTCTGACTGTGTCTTCCAGGCGGGAGTGCAGTGGTGTTATTTCAGCTTACTGCAACCTCTGCCTCCTGTGCTCGAGCGATTCTCCTGCCTCAGCCTCCTGAGTAGCTGGGACTACAGGTTCACACCAGCACGCCTGGCTAATTTTGTTTGTTTGTTTGTTTTTGTAGAGACGAGGTTTCCCCATGTTGCCCAGGCTGGTCTGAAACTCCTGAGCTTCAACTAATCTGCCCACTTTGGCCTCCCAAAGTGCTGGGATTATAGGCATGAACCACTGTGCCTGCTGCATTTTTTTTTTCTTTTTGGTTTTCATCTTCTTCATTAAAACATAATTTATTTTTTTTGAAAAAGACAATGTGTAATATTTGTTGTATTTTGAATCTTAAAAATAGCACGTTTTATTTCTAAACAATAAAAATTTTAAAAAAGTAGTTGAGTTAAATACAGGACAGTCATAGATCATAATTAGAACTGTTTTTGTTAAATATAGAGGGGTTTTTTTGTTGTTGGTTTTACCCTAAAGCTATGTGATTCAGTGGTTTGGGCTTTGCTCAGGTACTGAAGAATGAACATTGGCCAGTTTTCAGCTGGAACAACCGTTTAGCGAGGCCCTCAGGTGTATTTCCCACATCTGAGTTTAAGGAACTTCGTAACCACACCTGTATTATTTTACATTTAAGGACCTTTTTAAGCTGTGCATTTAGCTGTTACTTTAAATGCATTTAGATTAGATTTTGAAATTGTATAGGCCAGGCGTGTTGACTCACACCTGTAATCCCAACACTTTGGTAGGCTGAGGTGGGAGGATCTCTTGAGGCCAGGAGTTTGGGACTCAGCCTGGGCAACTTAGCCAGACCCTATCTCTACAAAAAATAAAATTAGCTGGGCATGGTGGCCTGCGCCTGTTGTCCCAGCTACTCAGGAGGCTGAGATGGGAGGATTGCTTGAGCCCAGTAAGTTGAGGCTGCAGTGAGCCAGGATTGCATCACTACACTGCAGCCTTGGTGACTGAGATCCTGTCTCAAAAAAAATGATAACTTTTTTTTAGTTTTATTAATATCAAGTTCTTCTATTTAAGAAGTAAATGCCCTAGAACACACCCTTAATATTCAGTTACAATGTCATCTAATTCTACCAATATAGAAATAATCATCTTTAAAAGTGGAATAATACTGAGTATATTACACAAGGTTTTTACACAAGCAATACATCCTCAGTGTAGAAGTAATGGAAGATACGGAATAAACAAATGCAATTAGAAAATAATCCCATAAGTTAATTTGAAAGTGTAAACACCAGTAAATGCTTTGACTTACTCTAAAATGGTTGGGCTATCATTAATGTATGTTTGTGTTGCCGAATGTATTATAAAAAATAAGGCAAATTAGAATTAATGTTATTCTGAAGTCTGGTTATTTTAGTGCCAATAAGATAATTTTATTTTATTTTATTTTTTTTTTTAGATGGAGTTTCACTCTTGTTGCCCAGGCTGGAGTGCAGTGGCATGATCTCCGCTCGCTGCAACCTCCGCCTCCTGGGTTCAAGTGATTCTTCTGCCTCAGCCTCCTGAGTAGCGGGGATTACAGGCGTGCACCACCACGCTCAGCTAATTTTGTATTTTTAGTAGAGATGGGGTTTCACCATGTTGGTCAGGCCGGTCTCGAACTCCTGAGCTCAAGTGACCCACCCACCTCGGCCTCCCAAAGTGCTTGGATTACAGGCGTGAACCACCGCGCCAGGCCGAGAAATTTTTTTATGAGTAAAGTTTGTGTGTGATGAAATGCACAGATCTGAAGTGTATAGTTTAATAAGCTTTAACAAGTGTATATACTCAGGTAACCTCAGTCAAGATCTAGAACATTTTCATCACTCTAGAAAGTTCCCTCCTGTCCCTTCTAGTGGACTCCATCCCACAGATAACCGTTGTTTAAAAAGTATATTGAACAAACATTTTTGCTTATGAATATAATTATTACAACTCTTTTTAATTTATAGGGGATAAAAACATTCAGATGGCAGATCACAGGTAAGCCAAAGTGGACTTTGTTTATTGGAGTTTAAAATTCAGTTGGTGAGCAACAGCCAAGCCATTTTTCAATAAATAATTAGAATCAAAGTTAAATGCATTTCAGCGTCTAGCTGATGGCTCATTTCTTGTGTATGTATTTGAGCACGTAAAGAAATTACTTCCGACATGAACAGTGCCTCAGACATTGACACTACAGATCTTTTATGGAAAGCAATCGTTTTGCTCTCCATGCTTTAACACCCCTGGGGTGAAGTTAGGTAATTTTGACACTCTCCTAACAGTCTGTAGTTGTCAGTGATCAAGTGGAAGATTTTGTTTTGTGGATTGAGGGTTACTTTTAGTTGTGTATATTATTTGATGTTTATTTTTTGTGAGGGAGGTGTGTCCAGGCATCTTTAAAAACTGTTTCATGGCTCATTTTACACTTGTTGTGGCTAATTTTACAAAGCCACTTTGGGCACTGTCTTAACTTGGTAAGACTGCCTTGCTCTGATCACATGAGCAGCTGACCAAACAGTAACATGTTCGTTGGTTGATGGGTTTGGTTTGAGGGCTGGGAGCAGATTTTTTGAGGAAAGAAGCTGTAGAAATGAGAGCTAAGAAGCTTTGGCTAAGGTTGGAAATAAGAACTTTGTAGGGCTTTATGTTTGGGAGAGGAGAGGGGATGTTACGTAGTAGAATATTTTTATAGCAGAGAGGACAGCCTCTGAGATAACATGCACATTGGTAGTTTTCTTCTGCCCAAATCTGACGTCACTGTACAGATACCTCTTAATATATTGAATAAGAAACATGTCCATTTGTGCTATGTCTTTGGAACTTTCTTTACAGTAATACTTTTTAAACATACTGTTGTTTTAGTTTTTCAGATGGGGTTCCTTCAGATTCCGTGGAAGCTGCTAAAAATGCAAGTAACACAGGTCAGTCCACTGCACATGGAGAGTTTGCATCCAGTATGGGGAACGTTCCTCTCTCTGGAAACATTTATTAATGCAAGTAAAGGATTCCTGTACTGCAGTGGTTTTAGGAAAGCTAGAGTAATTAAAATGAAAAATCAGTATCTCATTAACAAAAGATGTATTTATTATAGGAATTCAGACTCTACAGTAGTAAAGAGAGTAATAGTACAGTCTACCTTCTTGTAGCTACCATCAGTGAGCTTTAGTATTGATTAACAAATGACCAGTCTTTTTTCTTATTTTTGAGATGGAGCCTTGCTGTGTTACCCAGGCTGGTCTTGGACTCCTGGGCTCAAGCAGTTTCCTGCCGCAGCCTCCCAGGTAGTTGGGGCTACAGGCACAGACCACTGCTCCTGGCCATTTTTTTTTTTTTTTTTTAAGTCTATACCCTTTACTTTCCTTCCTTTGGAAAGCAAATCCTAAGAATGTCATTTTGTTCATAAATTCACAGATGTGATATTTTTCCACCATTAAAAAAAACTATATCTGTACTCCCCACTCCCTCCAAACTGTTTGAAAGCAAGTGGTGGATATCTATTTTCCTAAAACAATTCTACAATGTCATTACCAAGAAACTTAACACTGGAGCAATACCATTCTCTAATAGACAGTCATGCTCCTGTTTCCCTGGTTTTCTCAGCAATTTTTACCCCACGCCCGAATCTAGCACCTATTCAAGGATCATGCGTTTTGTTTTGTTCTAGAGTCATCTCCCTACCTTTTGCATCTTTTATTAATACATCAACATATCAGCGCTCTGGGCCACTGTTGTCTTATAGAATGCTCACAGTCTGGATTTGCCCAGTCGTTTCTTCCTGATGAGATTCAGGGTAAACATTTTGGCAAGAAGGGCACACAGGTAACATGATGCAGTGGTCGTTGGTTCCGGAGGCACAGGGTGTTGGCTCGGCACCTGCCCAAGGACACTGAGATTGATGATTAAGACAGTGCCTGCCAGACTTCTCTGTTACCAAGGTCCTTTCACCTTGGAAGCAATCTGTCAGGCACGTGTAGATATCCTCTTCCTCTTCAGCAAACTTTCACACGGAGGTTTTAGCACCCATTCATATGTGTTTGTATATGCATGTAGTATTTATATACTACACATGTGTACACAGTTTTATATATACAAATTACGTACCTTAAATACACTTCATGTGCTTCATGTTAGTGGTTGTGTTTGCAGTTCTATTATGAATGTTTAAAATTGAGTGCCTGCTTGGTGTGTTTGACTTACCCACATCATGGGAGAATACTCGGGATGGGAGAATACTCGGGATGGGAGAATACTCGGGTATGTACTGGCTCTAAGCAAGGGAAGGGCGCTGGGTTTGGATTTCTGTATTGTGTCATTAAGAGGGAGATTGTTAAGAGTCTGTGTCATGAGCCAGATGTCTGCCACTTCATAGTCACAACTGGGTAAAAGGACAGTCACTACCTTGTCAGGATCTCATTCATTGGTTTATTGGGAAATGGGCTTATAAATACAAACAGCTTGGTATTGTGAGCTCACTACACATGTAGGTTAGCCCTAAGTGGGGTGGAATGGTCAGAAGTGCTTCCTGGAGGGAGGTGGGTTTGGGCAGAAGGACATTCAAGGCAGAGGCGAGTAGCACATGCAAAGAAAACTTAGGGAACAGTGCTGGCAGAGAGCTAGTGAGCCTTGGGCTCTCCTGGACTGTGAAGTCTATGGCACCACAGTGAGCAAGGGAGCTAGTGGATGCTCTTTTACTTTGAGGAACTGATCTCATCTCTGTTCGTGGCTTCTGGACACCACCATGGGACTTGGGGGTAGACCATGTGAACTTACATTAATGATGTCCTCAGTTGTTTAAGTCTGGTGCTTAAACAGCCACAGTCCTGGTGAGAGCCAGGACTCTCTAGGTGTTTATTCAGTAAATTTGTAACTACCCATCAGGTGATTAACCCAGAGTGTTAAATGCTCTTAAAATAAATTTTAATTATTTTCAAAACATGTTTAAGAAGTCACTGGTGTATGTATTTAGAAATTAGTAGATGTAAATCTAGGCAAAGCTAAGTAGATATGTTACTAATTTTTGACTCTTGGCTATTGTGTGTGGTGGGCATATTTTAAATATGTTTGGTCTTAACTCTTCATAGAAAAGCTCACAGATCAGGTGATGCAGAATCCTCGAGTTCTGGCAGCTTTACAGGAGCGACTTGACAATGTCCCTCACACCCCTTCCAGCTACATCGAAACGTAAGTGTGCTGTGAATAGGGTCTCATGCAATTTGGAGAAACAAAAGGAAAATAAAGGAAAAACCACTTTTCAGTTCCCCAGAACAGGATTAAATGTTTTTTTCGTTCCAAGACATTGTCTATGAGAGACAGGCACTGGGATATGAGAGGAGTGACCCTACCCGGTGCCTAGGCTGAGAGTTTGCCTGGTGGATGGAGTAGCGTGACCTGTCAGTTCTGATAGGAAGTGCACAGTGCCATCCTGTGGAGGGCTAGAGGACTTCACAGATCATCTGAGTTGGAGAGGACAGCTGGTGGCTCCTAAGTTAAACTAAGAGAACCACTCCTTCCTGACTTACCCACATGAGCCTGTGACACCAACACCTTAAAAAAAAAAAACTGGGCATAGTGCCGCATGCCTATGAGTTTTCACTACCCTCCAGCCTGGGTGACAGTGAGACTGTCTTTAAGAAAAAAAAAAAGATGGGGTCTCACTGTATTTCCTAGGCTGGTTTTGAACTCATGGCCTCAATTGGTTCTCCCGCCTCAGCCTCTCAAAATGCTGGGATAACGGGTGAGCTACCGTGCCTGGCTGACACCTTTGCTTTCTTAAGAGAGGCCTATGTGCTAGATGTATTGCACTATGAAAATGATAAGGGTGGTGATCCTAGAATCCTAGGATGGCTCTTGTCAGGACCTCTCTTACTTCTGGAAGGAATTTTTGGTTTTTGAGTTGGAGTCTCACTGTTGTTCAGGCTGGAGTGCAGTGGCATGTAATAGTTCATTGTAACCTTGAACTCCTGAGCTCAAGTAATCCTTCTACCTCAGCCTCCAGAGTAGTTGGAACTATAGGCATGCACCACCATGCATGGCAATTTTTTTTTTTTTTTTTAAAGGGATGAGCTGTTACTGGGCTTCCATCTATAATTGGGTCAGGGCTTGGTCTCCCAGGAGGCCCCACCTTCCAGCTGGTTTCCCCAGTCAGGACTGCCAGGGCTATTACGACAAGAAGGGGACATTTATTTTTTATTTTTATTTTTTGAGACAGACTCTTGCTCTGTCATCCAGGCTGGAGTGCAACTTCCGCCTCCCGGGTTCAAGTGATTCTCCTGCCTCAGCCTCCTGAGTAGCTGGAATTGCAGGTGCACGCCACCACTCCCAGCTAGTTTTTTGTAGTTTTATTTATTTCACTGTACGTTCTGGAGTAGATGTGCTGAGTGTTCAGGTTTGTTACATAGGTATACATGTGCCATGGTGATTTGCTGCACGTGTTTTTTTGTTTGTTTTGTTTTGTTTTGTTTTTGTATTTTTAGTAGAGACAGGGATTTGCCATGTTGGCCAGGCTGATCTCCAGCTCCTGACCTCAGGTGATCTGCCCACCTTGGCCTCCCAAAGTGCTGGGATTATAGGCATGAGCCACTGCGCCTGGCCTAGAAGGTGACATTCAGAGTTTGCTTTGCCCATTTAGAAGCTTCTCAGAGATTACTTAGTGGGCAAGGTGTTTTGATGTTATTTTTTTTGCAGACTAGATTGATGGGATGGGGTGATACTGAGTGGGAGTGGCAAGAATGAGAATGAGTAATGGTTTCTAGTTTTCTCGCTTTAGAAACTGGGTTGGTGGGGTGGCATTCTGTGAGAGGAACTGCTTGAGTGGGATCAGGTTTATGTGGGACTAGAAGTGGTTCCATATTAGCCATATTGCAGGAAAAGTGCCGGCAGAGGGCTGGGTGTAGTTGGTGTGAATGATTGAAGGACTGTTGGGGGCACACTAGGGTCCAGTTTGTTTAACATCCTTTGTCTAAATGACGAGTTAATGGGTGCAGCACACCAACATGGCACATGCATACGTATGTAACAAACCTGCACGTTGTGCATTTGTACCCTAAAACTTAAAGTATAATTAAAAAAAAAAATCCTTTGTCATTTTACTTCAGTTGGAAAGCTTCAAAAATTAAACTAATTTAAAATTGTATAATTAGCCAGGCATGGTAGCTCACACCTGTAATCCTAGCACTTTGGGAGGCCGAGGCAGGCAGATTGCTTGAGCTCAGGAGTTCGAGACCAGCCTGGGCAACATGGTCAAACCCCTACTCTACAGGATGCAAAAAAATTAGCTGGGCATGGTGATGTGCCCCTGTAGTCCAACTATTCAGGATGCTGAGGTGGGAGTATCATTTGAGCCCAGAAAGTTGAGGCTACAGTGAGCCGAGATCGCACCAGTGCACTGCAGCCTGGGCAACAGAGTGAGATCCTGTCACAATAAATGAATGAATGAATGACCAGTGCAGAAAAGGGGTAAAAATGGCAGTGGGAGTCTACCATTTTGTTAAATTCTTTCTGCTTTTCCCTTTTTTTCATCTACTACTAGCAGTAGTTCTAGAATGTTAAGCATTATTTGAGAGTCTTTGCTTAAACTAAGGACCTTTAGCTTGAGGTAGCTGTGGTTGTATTTCACCCAGGAGAGTGGTCCTTTGGGATGCAAGGCAGTTGTTCTAATACCTCCCAGACCAGTGATATGTGTGTGTGACTTGCCTACTGCTCTGTGCTGTCTGTTGTTGGAGGGTAAGTCAAGTGCTTAGACTTGAAGACTCTGATTGTGTGAATGAGTATTCAAGATGCAGGACCCAGGGCCCTGCCCCAGGTAGATTATTTGGGTCTATGATGAGGCCAGGAATCTGCTGTTCAGTCCACATGATTGTGACCAGGGGCTTCGTTTTGAACAAATAGTTTTGATGGGTTAAACAAGGATTTTTCTTCTGATTTATAAAAGTTATACATAACAACTATTTTTTAAAACATAGAACAGAATTGAAAGGCAAACTCATAGTTGACCTGACTCTCCAGGACAAAGTTGTGTTGCCTGTGGTCTGTGTTTCTCAGATTTTTTCCTCCAGTGTGTTAACAAGTGTGGATTCCCACGTGGCACTAAATATTCCTGGACAGTGTGATTATGAATAGGCCATATTTGAATGCTGTTGCACTTGCATTGTCCAGTTTTTCACTTGTACAGATCTATCGACGGACACTCCAGCATAAATACTTGATTAGGATAAATTTTTTTTTTTCCTTTTGGTAAGATAGGGTCTTGCTCTGTTTCCCAGGCTGGAGTGCAGTAGCGCAATCATAGCTCCCTGCTGCCTTGACCTCACAGACTCAAGTGATCCTCCCACCTCAGCCTCCTGAGTAGCTGGGACTACAGGCGCACACCATCATGCCTTGCTAATTTTTTAAAATTTTTTTGTAGAGAGAGGTCTTGCTGTATTGCTCAGGCTGGTCTTGGAGTCCTGCCCTCAAGCAATCCTACCTTGGCCTCCCAGAGTGGTGGGATTACAGGCATGAGCCACTGCGCCCAGCCTTAAGGATAAATTCTTAGAAATAGAATTACTGGGTCCAAAGAACATTTTCAATATTTCTGCCCTTCAGAAAGATGAGTCAGTTAGAGGGCTTCTTGGCCCTTAGCCTCGTAAAACCTGGGTGTTTTGTTTTGGTTTTTAATTGCCAATTTGGTAAGGAAAAGCTGAGTGTTCTTAAATGTTTGCATTCTTTTGGATATTTTATGAAATTGAATCTTTCTTCATGTTTGACAATTTGTGTTTTTTCTTTTGTGAATTATTTTTTCTGCTTCCTCCTGTATCCTTTTTTTCCTGTTGGGGTATTGTCCTTTTCTTAATTTTTAAGAGGTCTTGTTCATAGTAAGGATGTTGATTCCATGTTAACCTAAATTTATTTTAATAAAATTGAAAAGCATGCTGCTTTATTTTGCAGGCATGAGGATGTTGTATTTCTTACTCCCTTTTTTAGTTTACCTAAAGCAGTAAAAAGAAGAATTAATGCATTGAAACAACTTCAGGTGAGATGTGCTCACATAGAAGCCAAGTTCTATGAAGAGGTACATGACTTGGAAAGAAAGTATGCAGCGCTATACCAGCCTCTCTTTGACAAGGTAGGGAGCTCTGTTAATTTAATATACAGATAGTTTTCAGCTTACGAAGGTGTTAGGTTCCGATAAACCCATTATAAGTTGACAACATCTAGGGTAAGAACGCATCTAACCTGCCAAACATAGCTTAGTCTAGACTACCTTAAACAAGCTCAGAACGCTAACATTAGCCTGCAGTCAGGCAAAATCATCTTCCACAAAGCCTATTTTATAATAAAGTGCTGAGTATCTCGCGTAATGTATTGAACCCTACACAGAGAGAGGAACACAGTGTGGCTGTATTGGTGCCCAAAGTGTGATGGCTTCTGCACCATCAGGAAGTTGAAAATCTTTAGCTGAACCATTGGAAATCGGGGACTGTCTTTATTTTACATCTTTAGGTGAAACATCCAGGTTTACCCAGGGAATCATTTAATATTTTTCTTTGAACCCTAAAATTTAGAATCTTAAAATAAGTTATAAAAATATCCAGTTTTCAAAGTCTTTTAGTAGACATTATTTATAAATTTAACTCTTGAGTTCCTAAGTAAGCTAATAACATAATTCTAATAAGGTCTCATTTTTATGTAGAGAAGAGAATTTATCACCGGCGATGTTGAACCAACAGATGCGGAATCGGAATGGCACAGTGAAAATGAAGAGGAAGAGAAATTGGCTGTAAGTCTTTAGAAACATGTGACTCATGTTCTGTTTTAATACTGTTAAAAATAAGCATTTTTTAATGATTTTTAATGACTAGTAAACTTATGTGCTTCTAACAGTAGGTGCTGCTGCATCATTAGGTTGGGTTTAGATTCCTTTCTGATATGGATCTAGCATCTGACACAGTACTGTCAGTTAATAGGAGTAAGATGTAGTGCCACCTCAGTTATCTGTGGACAGGAGCATATTGAAATAAGGGATCAGACCAACAAAGATTAAAACATCAGAGAAAGCAAAGATGAAGAAGAGATGCCCCTGTGTTCTCAGTCACTGGAAGATTGGGGGAGTTGTGAGGGGAGTGCCTTCCTGCTCAGTGGCATGGACTAGCTTGCCCCCTGAGAGGTGCTCCGCCAGTGGATTGGTTGCAGATGGTGGTTGTGGTGTGGCCATCAGTCACCTGCTCACAGCCTTTTTCTAGTGACTGGTCCCATTCCAGTGCTGTGAAAACTCCCAGTGTACCATGGATTAACTTTGTCAGCCTGATTTTATGTTTGGGAGACAAGTAACTTTTATCCTATAACTAACTTTTTGCAGTTTTTTTTTTGGGGGGGGGGTGGTATATGATGATTTTGGTAGCCATATGTGTTTTTGATGCTTTAAAAATATATAGAACCTGGCCTAATTGAAGCCATGGCTGTGGATTAATACAGTTGTGAATCAGTTTCTAACAGCTCAAGGGAAATCTGCCTTTGCTGATTTAAAAGGCCTTTCATTTCAAGATCATTTCATCATAACAATCCCGTTTGGCAAGGCATTCAGAATTTCCCATAGTTGCATCTGGTGTTGCGTTTCACCTCCCTTGGTCTACCTTTTCCCTGGGGCCTGACTCCCCTTCCTTTTGCCATGTGGCCTTTCTGGTCACTTTCTGATGCTTGCGTGGTGTCTGAGCTGGCATTTATAGCCACTTCCTTACAAGCTGGATAAGTTGCTGAGCACTTTCTTGCTGCAGATACTGCTGCGGCAATTTTTTTTTTTTTTATTTCAACTTAGCACCCCACAAATTTTAACAAGAGGTCAGATTATTAGTCCAAGTGAACTTCTTTATCCTTGCACTGGACTTTTTTTGCCCAGTGCTAGATGTTCTGCATATTTGCATTGCATCTCCTTAAGGTTGATGTACAGTCTTTGCATCTGCATTTGTGATGATGATTGTCTCAGGATGGCACCTCACAGAGCTAGCACTGGATGGCCTTTCCCAGCGTCGGTGGCACTTTGTCATCTCTTTAGTTTCTTCGCCTTTGATGTGAAATGGTACGGAATTCCGTGTGGATGTAATGACTTGAATGCTTTTTCCTCAGAAGCATCTGAAAAGTGTCGCGTGGCCCAGTGAGTGGTTTGGAGGTGCAGACTTAGAAAGCAAGGTGTTTGATGGGAGATAGTAGAGGATTCGGCAACGATATTCTACGTGAAGCCGCTGCATTGTTTGTAAACTTTTATTTTCGTTACCTATGTTGCATCTTTTTTTTAGGGAGACATGAAAAGTAAAGTAGTCGTCACAGAAAAAGCAGCGGCAACGGCTGAAGAGCCAGATCCCAAAGGAATTCCAGAGTTCTGGTTTACCATCTTCAGAAATGTGGACATGCTGAGTGAATTAGTCCAGGTAAGCACACTTCTGTCTTGTAGAGAGATTATGTGCTAGTCTTCTAACATTACTTATCTATGGCATTTTTTAAGCACTACACTGGGCATTGAAAGATTGTTCATAGTGGGCGGAAGGGCACTTTCTCTGACCAGGACCTCAGATGAGCAGTCCTGATCTCACAGTGAATGGTTTATTCACAGTGGGGCTTCCATGCTGTCTTTTGCAGTTCTTGGTGGAAAGCTGGGCGCTTCAGCCTGATCCAAAACTTTCAAATCAGTTCCTTTTACCTCTTGTAAAGCTCTGTTGTCTTGCCTGTGGGAAAGCCTATGAATAGATTCCAGAGCCCATCTCTGTCTTCCTGTGGTGTGAGTGTGCAGGAAAGGGTGAGGGCAGGAGACCAGAGCAGAATGAATTTTGAAGGGATGAGCTGTGTGTTTGTTTGTGTGTGTGTGTGTACACACACATCTCAGTGAATTTTTGAACAAGTTGCTAATATTTTCTGATCATTTCTCTTGAAAAAGTGTCTATTTTTTTTAAAAAAAGAGGCCAGGCATGGTGGCTCATGTCTGTAGTCCCAGCACTTTGGGAGGTCAAGGTAGGCAGATCGTTTGAGACCAGCCTGGGCAGCATCGCGAAATCCCATCTCTACAAAAAATAGAAAAGTTAGCTGGGCGTTGTGGTGTGCGCCTGTGGTCCCAGGTACTTGGGAGGCTGAGGCAGGAGGATCACCTGAGCCGAGGAGGTTGAGGCTGTGGTGAGCTGTGATCACGGTGCTGCACTCCATCCTGGTGGGTGACGAGACCCTGTCTCCAAAAAAAAAAAAAAAAAAAAACAACACAACAACAAAACCCAACCACCATTTCTGATTTTGTCTTGCCTTGACATTTCACTTTCTGTAGTGAAATGGTGAACAAATTAAAAGGTAACAAATTTGGTTTTCCCTGAAATGAGTTATAATAGAAGTTTCTAGAACAGAGAAACAAATCTTGCCTTAAGTCTCACTGACTGACTTGCCGTCAGTTTTTATTGCTCCAGCGTCCCCAGAAACAGCACGTCTGCATTCAGACTTGCTCAGGACAGCTGCAGGCTCTGCTTGTGTGGGCAGAGTGCTTCTCCCATCACAGAGCATAGGCACTGTGCGTTGCAAACTGCTACATTGTAATTTGCACAGGATTTTACAGCTACGGTTTTTAATGGTTTTCACAAATGTATCACATTGCTGCCTCTGCTACCTCCCTTGTTTAATGCTTGTCCTGTGTCCTAAGCCAAAACTTGAGAAAAGATGGAAAGAATGATGTATTTCTTATTCTCCTTCCAGACCAGAAAGCATCTAAAATAGAACAGCCTTGGTTTTTCCTGATCTGAGCTTCCTTTTCATATGAAAAGGTGGAATTTAAGAAGACTAGACCATACTTTTAAAAGAATGCCATGCACCAGAATTTCATTGGAAAAATTAAGTAATGTCTACCAGAGCCGTAGTCTCACCCTGTGTATTACAATCACCTGAGCAGCTTTGAAAACTAAATAGCAAAAACTAAATGCCTCATCTGTCACCATGGCACTGAGAGTTTTGAGTTGGTTTTAGGAACTCTAATGTGCACCCTGAGAGTTGAAAATCTCCATGGCAGGGAGCAGGTGGAAAGACTAGCTCTTAGTTCGTTCTTCTCAGACTTCGGGGGGCATGGGGAGTGGCCATGGCAGTGCGGATTCTGGTTCTGTGGGGCTGTCTGGCTCATGGGCCCTGGGGTGATTCTTGCACTGCAGGGTTGGAGCATCTTCACGTGGGATTGGGGGTGCAGTGATAACAGGGTTTGGGAGCTAGAGTTAGGTGACTTGAGTGAGTTTTGGTGTCCCCTTCTGTGCGTGTGGCCACCTGGTTATGGCATTGGGGTCACTGGCCATGGATAGTGCTGCCTTGGGTTTTGAGAGCACAGTGAGGCATTTGGCCACATTTTAAATGGGGTGTCCCTTCTCATTCTCCCAGCACCTCTGTAGTAGTGTCAGTGCTTCAGCATTTCAGCCATGAAGTGTCTTTTGTTGCTTTTTGTTTTAACAGCTTTAAAAAGATATGCAGGGGTTGATAGAGTACTCATTTAATATGCAGAGAATGAGGAAATGTTATTTGTACTGTTTGTAACCTCATAGCAGGTAATGGTAGCATATTCTATTTTGATTTTTTTTTTTAACAATATTTTCTTTTTTTTTTTTTTTTAACGGAGTCTCGCTCTGTCGCCCAGGCTGGAGTGCAGTGGCGTGATCTTGGCTCACTGTAAGCTCCACCTCCTGGGTTCACGCCATTCTCCTGCCTCAGCCTCCCGAGTAGCTGGGACTACAGGCATCCGCCACCACGCCTGGCTAATTTTTTTATTTTTAGTAGAGACGGGGTTTCACTGTGTTAGCCAGGATGGTCTCGATCTGCTGACCTCATCATCCGCCTGCCTTGGCCTCCCAAAGTGCTGGGATTACAGGCGTGAGCCACCGTGCCCGGCCAACAGTTGTTTTTTAATGTCTGGTTTTGAAGTCTGCCATTTCTGAGAGAAGCCCTTTCATTTTTAAGGGACATGGTCTTGCTATGATGCCCAGCCTAGAGGTCAGTGGCTTTTCATAGGCACAGTCAGGACACTGCTGTCTCAGTCTCCTGGCCTCAAGGGGTCCTCTCGAGTAGCTGGGACTGTAGATATGCGCCACTATGCCCAGCTCATTTTGGTCAAATATTAAATTCCAAAGGCGGATTAACTCTGAGTCCCTTTGTTCTAAATTTGGGGATAGTTGAAATATATTTCTGCAAGGAGAGTGGAAAATTTGAGATGGTGGCTTTACGATCTGAGTGCGATGCCTCCAGTGTTGTGCCTTTGCTTCCTGAGTCTGAGCGTCTGCCAGTGTGGGGCATTACCTTAATATTTGCCCTGGACATTTAAAGTTTTGACCCACAGGGTACATGGCTGCTTGAGGAAATTAGAACATAATGGTTATTTTATGAAGTTTGGGAAAACATGAGTGGGCACTGCGTCTTTGAGTGGGATGAGTTTGAAGTCCCAGTGCCATCTCTGGAAAGCATGCTGGTGGAAGTGCTCATCTTGGTGATCTAGAGCCAGCGCATGCTTCTGTGGGTGGCACGCGCAGCATTGGAGACTGAACATCGCATGCAGGTGTGGCCCATTTCACAACTGCCTTTGGGTTACTTTTTGTCTAGATACTTGCAGGTATCTTTTTGTTGCTGTTTTTGTTTTGTTTTATGTCAGAAGAGTTGAAAATTAGGACTCAACGGAAAATCAGGCACAGAAAGGGGGGAAATACCTCACGTTCACACTCATGTGGGAGCTACAAAAACAGCTCACCGAAGCAGAGAATTGTTGATAAAGGCTAAGAGGGAGAGAGAGGGGAGGATAAATAGGGAGAGGTCTGTTATCAGATACAGAGTGACTGCTAGATTGGAGGAGTAAGTTCTGGTGTGTTGTAGCACTGTAGGGTGAATGTGGCTAACGATAATTTAGTGCGTGTTTTCAGAAAGCTAGAGGACGGGTTTTGAATGTTCAAAAATAAATGTTTGAGGTGATGGTCCTGATTTATTACACATTGTGTACGTGCATCAAAATGTCACTGTGTCCCATAAATAGTACAATTATTACATACAACTAAAAAAGAGAAAAAATGATTTAAGAAAAACTTAATGCAACTTCAAGACATTTTGAGATTCAGTGCCCAGACTTTGGGGGTAAAGAAGTGACTGCCATGTTACAAATGAAGTGCCTGCTGCCAGTGCGTGTTTCTGAGGATTCAGGTCTTCCCACTCCTCTTCTGACTTTCCTCACTGGGACTTTCTAAGCTGACAGGTATTGGCAAAATGAGTTTAAAGAAATATCACTTGTAAAATGATACAGACACAGATAAGAATTGTACGCTCTTCCATGATGCCCACTCTTCCATGGTGCCCGCAAGTTGGATCTCAGACACGCTCTGTGTAAGTGTTCTTAAAGAAGTAACCGTGTGTGGCCGGGCGCGGTGGCTCACGCCTGTAATCCCAGCACTTTGGGAGGCCGAGGTGGGTGGATCACAAGGTCAGGAGATCGAGACCATCCTGGCTAACACGGTGAAACCCCGTCTCTACTAAAAATACAAAAAATTAGCCGGGCATGGTTGGCGGGTGCCTGTAGTCCCAGCTGCTCGGGAGGCTGAATCCGGGAGGCGGAGCTTGCAGTGACCAAGATCACACCATTGCACTCCAGTCTGGGCAACAGAGCCAGACTCCGTCTCAAAAAAAATAAAGAAGTGACTGTGTGTATTGTGAGTTTTGGATACAGTCATGAGCCACATAACACATTTTGGTCACAACAGACTGCATATAGGATGGCGGTCCTGTAAGATTATGATACCATATTCTTACTGTACCTTCTCTGTGTTTAGATACACAAATAAGTACCATCACCAGCTGCTTCCAGTATTCAGTACAGTCCCATGCTGTTCAGGTTTGCAGCGTAGGAGCAATAGTGGATAGTAGGCTGCACTATCGAGGTTTGTGTAAATATGCTCTGATGAACACACGCCGAATTGCCTAACAATGTGTTTCTCAGGAGGTGCCCCCATTGTTAAGCCATGCACAACTTTATTGCCACAGGTGGGGAAGCTGGCTGCCAAGGCCGTAGCCGATCTAGCCTTCTCTTCTGACTTCCAGGCTTCTGCTCTTTCTCCTCAGAGAGGCTGAGGACCAACAGTCTTGGTTGGTAGCATTTCTGATCTCTGTGTGCAGTGGCAGCTGGTGGCAGGAAAGCAGTGAAGGCCCTTGCCCCAGTATTGCAGGCAGGCGGGTGTCAGTGGCACTGCCCTTTGCTGGCAGTGGCAGCCACCGTTGCTCCACACTAGGGAAAGGGGACACCTTGGTGCTGCTTCTCTATGACAGGGAGTTGGTGAATAAGTCTGGGTTTCTTCCTGGTAGTTATTACTTTGACAAGGACAGAATTCCAATAGGGCTAGTTATGCAACATCTGGGAGCCTCTGCAACCATGACTCTTCGGGAGAGATGTGTTGTTTTTTTAAAAGCCTGTTGGAATTTTTTTTCTCTTTTTGATTAGGAATATGATGAACCAATCTTGAAACACCTGCAGGATATTAAAGTGAAATTTTCTGACCCTGGACAGCCTATGGTGAGTACTGACTTGACCTTCTGGTTGGCATCAGACAGGGTCAGTCCACAAAGATGGAAGAACTTGGAGCCAGGGGCAAGAAACCCACAAAACCCACACCCAGCCACTCATCTGCTGGGCAGCCCTGGGCGAGACTGCTCTCCAAGAGTTAGACTGAGTACCGCATTGTGTGTTTGCTCCCTGAGTTCGATGGGGATCCCATTGCCTTTCTGTGTCATGCTTGGCACTGTAGTCGTGAGTCTGTGCTGGATGATTTGACAGTGATGCAGACCATGTGATGCCCCAGACCCTGCAGCCAGGTGGGCACCAATGCAGGAGTCAGGCTGCAACTCCTGGGCTGTAGTGGTGCTGTCCACTGTGCCAGGCCTTGGTCTTGTAGTTTGTTTGTTTACTCTGTTGGGTGGAGATGATACCATTCTTTTCCCAAGTGTCTCTGAAGTTTGCATGCATCTAATGTATATGTTTAACGTTTAAAAAGATGGGAGCTATGTACACATAATGATCAGCACTTATTCAGAAATCTGAACCTACTAGGTTTTACCCTAAAAAAAAAAGCGCAAATAAGACTGAAAAATGTTTTCCTGCTCTTTGATTTGTCCTGAAACACGTCTTTACAATATGCTTGCCATGGCATATCATTGCATTAGTAATGTTAGTGGCATGGATCAGCCTACCAGTTGGTAAGATAAGCTTGACTAGGTCAGCCCTTACTTTTATCTGAGGAACCATATGCTCATCTTCAAATGGCCTTGCCAGACTGTCTCATCCCAGCCTGGTTCTCCCAGGGAGCACTGTTCGTAACCCGTTAGCCTGGCTGTAGCTAATGGGTTCCATTCCGGTGCAATAGCATTTCCAGCGACACATGACTGACTGACTGGTGGCTTTCAGTTTCAGGTCTTGGAGACAAATGCTGCATGACGGGCTGTGGGTTAGGGATCTTGGGTGTGGGTGATGGTGGTAGGGGCCTGGGGCCAGTCACCAGTATCTTCCTTCCTCCCCATCTCAGCACTGGGGCCTGGGCTAATGGATGAGGGCCACTAGGAGTGGGATTTCTTCACTGCAAGTGCTGCAAGTAATGCCTGGGGCAGCAGCAGGGGTGGGCAGTGGATGTACCTGTATCTGTCTCTTCTACTTTTTCCTGTCTGTTTTCCACTATGGAAGGTGACATTCAGGTGTCCCTCTCTAGGTGGGGCCCTGGGAGCTGGGAGTGATGCCTGCTCACCAGCTGGGGGCTGCCCTCCAGAGGGGATACCCCATCTTCCTTGCCCCATGTGGGTTATAGCAGGTCCTTCTTCCTGGGCTTGCATCACTTCTGTTTAGACTTTATCACAGGGCCCCCAGGAGCCGCCTGGGCACGTCTGCCTAGTTTGCCCTCGTTGGTGTGCATTCTCTTCCCCATGGTGTGAGCGTGCGGTGCTTTAAGTTTCTGTGCGTTTTTTCTTTGTACTTCTTTCTTACCTGTGATTCATCCAGACGCAATTAACTTTTTTTCCCTTTTGGGTCAGTTCCTTTTTTTTTCCTTTCTTTTTTCTCCTTTTCTTTTCTTCCTTTTTTTTCTTTTTTCTTTTTTTTTTTTTTTTTGAGACCGAGTCTCACTGTGTCACCAGGCTGGAGTGCAGTGATATGATCTCGGCTCACTGCAACCTCTGCCTCCTGGATTCAAGCGATTCTCCTGCCTCAGCCTCCCGAGTAGCTGGGACTACAGGCACGCACCACCACGCCCAGCTAATTTTTGTATTTTTAGTAGAGACGTGGTTTCACCATGTTGGCCAGGATGGTCTCAATCTCTTGACCTCGTGATCCACCCGCCTCAGCCTTCCAAAGTGCTGGGATTACAGGCATGAGCCACCACACCCGGCCTCTTTTTTTCTTATTGGACACCTGTTTGATGATTTCCTAGGTCAATTTTCTTTCTTTCTTAGCCTGTCATCTTATTTTTCTCCATCTCATTGTGACTCATAGACTAGAGCTCTGGTTATGGTAGACTGTGGACCAGTAATTTTTTTTTTTCTTTTTACTTCCCTATTATAAAAGTCATATGTAGAAAATACAGGCAAGTGTAAAGAACACTATACAAATCTGTCTTCTAAAAGTAAATCTCAGCAGCTTAGTGAATTTCCCCATACTCTTTTTCCTTTGTAAAATTATTATGAAGCGTCTAATGCATTTTAAGTTATAAAGATAAATGAAACTTCAAAATGAGTCTTGACTGGTGTTTTTGCAGCATGCCTCATTCCCTTCCCTTGAGCGCTTGCCTACCTGGATACACAGTGCACACGTGTGCCACACGGCTCCTGCCACACCACATGGTGTGTGCACAGTGTCACCCTGCTGCCACATCACACAGGCTTGGCTGGGGGAATAGTTGTTACTGCAGCCATTGGCTATAAAACAGTTTAACATTCCCCTACATGCCCCACCTCCCCCATTGTAAATTGTTGCATTATGATCAGCATACTTGAACCCAAATTTGTGTTAAATTAAATGTTTGATGGTTTCCTTAGTTTAGGTTCCTTTCAGTGTACTTACCAGTCAAAGAAGATGAAGCTTTAGAAGGCCCAAAGGTCGTTCAGTTGGGATTACAGACATGAGCCACTCAGGCCCTGCCTAATTTTGCATTTCTTTAGTTGCTTGTAAGATTGAGCATGGTTAGCATATTTATGGCTTACCTGGCTGTAGTGCGTGTGTGAATGAAGCAGTCTTATTTTCAAGCCACTTTTCATTTGGGCAGCTAAACAGTTTCTTGAATCATCTTCAGTTGTCTTTGGGTTACTCTTGACTGAACAAAGGCAGAGGGGAGAGAAAAAAGGAAAATAGGAAGAAACATGAATCTATCTATAGAAAAGTAGGCTGGGTGTGGTAGCTCATGCCTGTAATCCCAGCACTTTAGGAGGCCAAGGTGGGAGGATTGCTTGACCCCAGGAGTTCAAGACCAGCCTGGGCAACATAGGGAGAACTGGTCTTTAAAAGAGAAAGTAAAAAGGAGGGGAAAAAATGAGTAGGACATGGTGAAGGACCACAAGTCTAATAGTACTATTTGTTTTATTGGGGCCACCCCATGCCCTGGGTTGGTTGTCCACACTGTGGTCACAGCCTTAAACAGTTCTGGAATCATAGCAGTCTCTCCATTGGTTGGCTACTTGTCTTCCCTCTTTATGTTGGTTTTTTTTTTTTTTTTAAGCCGTGGAGGGTTGGGAGAGAAATAGGCATTTTATTTGATGCTGATTCCCTGTAGCTGCCTCTTCCTTTCCTTGTGATTTTTGCCAGGCAGGTGACTGGCCTTTCGTTTGTGTGGTTCATCTGCAGTGCCCTACCCGCTTCCTTTGCTCTTGCCAAGGCCAGTGGAGAGCTCCTAGCCAGATCCTGCTGTCATCCCTTCTAGAAACCGACTAGACTGTCTCCCTGATCCTGACTTCCTAAGCCCTCATGCCCCGCCTCCTCCTCCACCTTTCTTTGAAAGTTGTTTTTTCACTTCTCCTTTGTGCAAGTGGTTTGTTTGAATGTATAAACTTTTTTTGCTGTATATTTTTTTTAGTCCTCTTAATTTCCCCCCCGTTGATGGTTTTACCATTACAATGAAAATGGAAACAGCTGACATTTAGCCAGCCTTGCCTATAAACGCGGCTCTAAGTGATACAGATTAACCACCAAGGCAGCTCCTAGAGAGGGAGAGAGTTATTTCCAGTGTAGAGATGAGGAAACTAAAGCACGGAGACATTGAGTAGCTTCCGCGAGTTGCCTAGCAGTGTAGGCAGAGATGGGATTTGAATCCAGGCTGTCTGAGCGTAGAACTGGTCTTGTAAACTGTCTATAAATTACTCAACCAAGCGCATCTTCCATGTTTTTCTTCTATAAATAGGGATGAGGTCAATGTCTTTGCACATATCGATGCATCCATCCAGGTATTTTTCTCAAATAGAACAAATTCCTCAAAATAGAATTACTGAGTCAGGGAATATGCCTTTTAATTTAATTTTTTTTGATATTGCCAAATTGTCCTTCATAAAATCTGTCGACAGTACATGAGTGTGCTCAGTACCCCAAAATCCTGGCCGGGTCTACATATTTTTGTACATTTTGCCCCAAAGAAAGGCATCTCATTTTGGTGTTCATGTGTTTTGTTACTCGTGAGCATGAATGCCTTGTTGCTGCTGTTGGTTGTTCTATGCCTGCGTTCATGTTTGCATCCTTTTTCCCGGTGTGCTCACGTCTCTTCCAGGTCTGTAGCGTGCTTTGTAAGTGAGGGATGAGCTTTCTGTCCTTGTAGAGATTTGTCCTTTTCTCCCACCCACCTCCCGGGAGAAAAGCTGTGGGTCACTGCTTTCACTGCACAGCACAGAGTAGAGACCCTGGCTTCCCCCAGCAGGGTGGGGGCTGGGGCTTAGGCTGAGCGGAAAAGGACAGGAGGAGGATGGACTGCTGGTCCCCTTACTTTCCCCTAGTCACCTTCCCTCCTTCCAGGAAGCAAGGGCTGGGAGCAGCTAAGAGAAGCTAGGATTTCTTAGGAGAGCTTGACGCCTATTGGTGAGGAGGCATTGGAGGGGGAACATGCCCCTTACTCATGAACTGAACAGATATTTCCCGCCAGTCCATCGTTGGTTTTTTTAACCTCACGCTAGTCTTTTTTGCGGTGGAGAAGTTTTTCTTGTTCATGGCCCTATCTGTTGAGCTTTCCCAAAATAGCTTCTAGTAAGTGTTGTGTACTCCAAGCAATCTGTCCTCGTTATTTTTCTATTTTAACTGGTGCTTACTCTGAATTTCTACTTTTAGTCTTTTGTGTTAGAGTTCCACTTTGAACCCAACGACTACTTTACCAACTCAGTCCTGACAAAAACCTACAAGATGAAATCAGAACCAGATAAGGCTGATCCCTTTTCCTTTGAAGGTCCTGAGATTGTGGACTGTGACGGGTAAGAAAATGTCATTCTACCTTGTTTTTCTGAAACAAAATCAAAAGATAATTTTGTAACTTGATGGGTAAGATAGAAGTAAGGAATAAAGTACAGTCTTGAGTCTGCTTAAAAGCCTAAAAGCCTGGTAGATGTATATTTCAATAGTCTTTCAGTTTGGGAATGCTCATAGTGCAGAACTTGGAGATGGCGGCTGAACCTGGGAAATGAGTCACGTGGTTGCACATGCAAGCCTTTGGGATAGTGCCCTGTTTCTTCATTTTAATGAAAGTAGTGGATTCTCTAGACATCGTGAATTGAAGTTCTTAAAATTGAATCCATGGATTACCCTCAGCAAATAAATACTTATTGAATGAATGAGTCTGAGTCCAGGGCTATATTGATCAGCTGATTGCTTTGGAAATAGGTGGGGGCAGCATAGCTGTTGTTTGACTCACTGATTTCAGTCTTTATAAATCACTAAAGAGAGAATTTGGTTTAGAATTAATTTCTCCAGGTTGGGTTGACTGAGAAATGGTTTTAGTCTTGACTTGAAACAATTACGTTTATTTACCAGAAGTAAATAGTAATTGTTAATTCAGGACTTTATTAAAATCCTGCTAGAGTAATTTAGAAAGATGATTTTCCAGGGCCAGGACATCATGTGAGAAAAAGGCCTGGCCTTACCAAGCATGTTCTTAAGCGGGCAGTATTGAGATCTGCCAGGTGTTGCCTGGGTCTGTGGTGATTGTGTGTTAGAGAGAGCGTGCTGTGCTCAGCCCTCGCCAGCATCCCTGGGGCTGGAGTGGTCTGCACTGGCCATCAGTATTCCCGGTGGCCACCTCTTTCCTTTTTTCAGCTTGTCGTGCTCAGTTGGCTGCTTTGAACAGCAGCAACTCCTCCTTCCTTGGGAAACCGCGGACAAGTTCTTGTGCATCATGCAGACTTGACGGGGCTTTGCCACAGAATATACATTTCAGAGTCCTGATGAAATGTCTTGGGAAAATAATACCATTGTTCCAGAAGTCTGAAGTTCCAGTGGTCACACCCAAGTTGAAAGAGGACCAGGCTGTTTCTCTTTTTGCCAACCTCCAGATGAACTTCATGGGCCATTGTATTTGGTTTGCAGATTGGTTTTATTTCGTTTTCCAGGTTTGGCATAGAGCTGTGGTTTGCTTCCTGCATGCATTTGTAATGGATTTTTCTCATGGATTGTGTGTTCCTGACAGCTGTCTTGTCCTGGTAGGTGTACTATTGACTGGAAGAAAGGAAAGAATGTTACTGTCAAAACCATCAAGAAAAAGCAGAAGCATAAGGGTCGAGGCACTGTTAGAACAATTACGAAACAAGTACCCAATGAGTCCTTTTTCAACTTCTTCAATCCATTGAAAGGCAAGTCTGTTGGTTGTTAATATTCATTATGTTCTTATATAAAATAATTTTGGTCACCTGATAGATTCCTAACACCCAGAGACTTTAGTCCTCTTTTTTCAGGCAAGTGTGGTCAGTAGGGGCACATTGCTGTGTCCCAGGCTGTTCTGTTGGTGCGCTGGCAAGTTTATCGCGGGGGGCAGAGGTAGCTAGGACAGTAAGAGTAGGATTGTCATCTTCTGCAGGAAAGGGAAGAGCTTTACTCTGCTTGGCTGTAGCCCAGGCAAAAACTTGCAGTTCTGTTTTAAGAAAACTGAATCGAGTATTTGCACCTGGGCTGCTTCCTCACTTGGACACCTGGAGCACCCTTCTCCACCAGCTGGCATTTCTGCCCCGCTGTTGTGTCTGGTTCGCACCCCCCGGGGACCACTCCCAGCCTCGGAGAGCTGCTGGGTTTGCTCTGCAGGTACCCGTTACTGCTGTACGCTGGTTCTAGTTGTGCTGCTTTTGGATCATCTGCTTAGTCCCCCTTTTCTTGTAATTTTTTATGCATAATTTGATAGAATTTTTTGGAATTTATATATTGTAAGAAACACAAGTAGTTGGGACTTTCATTTTTGAAAAACATCGGCAGAATCACAGCTTGGAAGCTGCTTCTTTTTGTTTATTTATTTATTTTTTAAATTTTCCTAAGTGGTAAAATAAAGATGAGACCTTTGAGCTAGTAAAGGTTGACCAATTGATTTTAAGAGTAAATTTCTTGGGATTTTTCATATAATTTCCTAATCGCGAGAAAATGTGAAGGTCAAGCAACTTGTCAGTGTTAAAATATCCATATTCTCTTTAGTTTCCATGAACTAAAACATAATTTGAAGTGAAGAGATGCCAGCCCCTGCTGCAGATAATCAGTGAGTGTTTGTTTGTATGTGGGGCCACAGGGCGGATCTCTTCTCCAGTCTGAGTGATTGATTTTTTGATTTTGTCTCTGAGCTTAGCACCCTTATTTATCAAGCTGCCCTTCAGAGTTCAGTCCATTATTTTAATTGTGGTGCCTATTTTCTGCAATTAGACTTTGAACCTAGAAGATGCAAATACATACGGTTTGGGGAATGAGAGCAGTCATAAATTTAGATATTACATTTCCTTTTTTTGGAAGATTCCTTTTAGACACTTGGGTTGGGCATACTGGAGATTGTCTGTGAATTCAGCGTGAAGAAGGGAGGCTTTAATTTCTGGAATCACTTTGTGTAGGAAGTTCTCTTAAAACTGATTTAAAAATAATTTTTAGGATAAAAATGGAGTTGATAATGGACTCAAGGGAATTTTTAAGTGTTTTTTTTTTTAGATTCTAAAACTTTTAGGGTATGATGGTTGCACAACTCTAAAATTAACGTACTGAAAGTCATAAAGTTGTACATTTAGAGTGTATGCCTTTTAATGGTATGTAAATCCCATCAGTAAAGCCACTTTTAAAGTAATCAAACACATAATACCAAATGGTAAGTGCTTTGAAAAAAATTGAGGATGGCTGCGGAATAGGTAATGGGGTAGTGAAGGAACAGACAAAATGGACTCCTGTGGTGTGAAGTGAAGGAGGCATTAGCTAGTGAGTCCAGCTCCTTTGTCCTTAAAACTGCAAAGCCAGTCCAGAAGTATGAGTGTTCAGAGTCCTTGTACTATTCATGACTTGGGCCAGAGTGCCCTGGGGAGCATGCTGCTCCAGCATTTAGACACCCAGCCATGCTCCTAACCCATGTCTAAAACCCCTGGGTGATGCTGGCACACCGAGGCTTGGGAACTCTGCCTCACTCATGGGTGGTGTTTACGCACCCAACATTCATGTCTCAGCAGCAAACAGCAAGTGCTGCCAGGGTTGTGGTCGCTTAATGGGAAGGGAGACTCAGAGAGGAGAGCCCAGTGAAGATTGAAAAGGCAGGTATGAGACTAAGCAGAGTAAACATTCAACTCCTGATGAAGCTCAGGGTCTTGTAGTAAATGTTTCTAAAATCAGGGGGTTGGATCTTCTACCAGTTGAACGTTGCACAGCTTCATTGAGTGTGGTTAGAAGTCCCTATCTGTCTTGGTGGGCTTAGCTCGTCTGAGCATCAGCTTTCGCTGAGGAATTGCGCCACTCTACAGGGGCCCCTGGTGGGCATTCCAGCACTCTCCAAACAAACAGAAATGCAGTTTCTGTCTCGCTGATTTGCAGTGCCTTAGTAACACTCACAGCTTATAAGGCTTAAGGACTTTCTCTTTCCTGCACCATCATGTATAGTTCTGCGGGACATGAGTTAAGTTTCCCCATAAAGCACAAATGCACTGAATGGCCACAGCCTGGGGGCTGTTTGCCATTCCTCCTGTTAATATATTAACTCTCTCAAAATGATCTTCTCAAGCTTGAGTGCCAGCCCATGGCACATGATGGAGGAGGAGAAGGGAGGGGGGCATAGAGGCACTCAGGCCAGCTTCAGAAGTGGTGGATGGAGCTTGCAAAGATGTCTGTGAGGAGATGCAAGGCTTTGGGGATTTCTGTTAAACCTCGAGGTGAGAAATGTTACATTTTATCTACCAGCACAGCTTCCTCCTGTGTGGGCTTTAAAATTCTGGGAGTTGTCACTGTAATTTAAATATGTTTTGTCTTTTCTTTTTCTAGCATCCGGGGATGGAGAATCACTGGTAAGATTTGTTGTTAATAGTCTTATTTTCCTGTTGAAGTCTCTCCTGAGTGAATGTCTACTTGTCTACTTGTTAAAAAAAGTCCAGTCCTGGCTGTGTGTGGACTGGGTATGCCAGTGATCTTAATGCTTTGGGAGGCTGAGGTGGGAGGACTGCACGAGTCCAGGAGTTTGAGACCAGCCTGGGCAACATAGCACAACCCCATCTCCACAAAAAATTAAAACCAAATAAATTAGCCAGCCGAACATGGTGGTTCACGCCCGTAATACCAGCACTGTGGGAGGCCAAGGTGGGTGGATCACCAGAGGTCAGGAGTTCAAGACCAGTCTGGTCAACATGGTGAAACCCCGTTTCTGCTTAAAATACCAAAAAAAAAAAAAATTAGTTGGACACGGTGGCAGCGCCTGTAATCTCAGCTACTCAGGAGGCTCAAGCAGGAGAATCACTTGAACCCGAGAGGAGGAGGTTGCAGTGAGCTGAGATTGCACCACCGTATTCCATTGGGCGACAGAGCAAGACTCCGTCTCAAAAGATAAAATAATAAATTAGCTGGACATGGTGGTGCACTGTGTAGTTCCAGGGTCGCTGGGGCCCAGGAGCTTGAGGCTGGAGTGAGCTGTGATTGCACCACTGCCCTCCAACCTGGGTGATAGAATAAGACCCTGTCTCTTAAAAAAAAAAAATCCATTTCTGTTTCCTAAAACTCTGGGATTAATTTGAAATCATTACACATCTAAGTAAAAGTATGTGTTTCATATGTTGATTTCAGTAGCAAATGTGCAGTGCTTTAATACTGCCTGTTTCCCATATGTGAGACTGATACCGCCTACTCTGGGTGAGACCTTTGGACAAGTTGTGGAGCTGTAGGGCCCTCACTTCCCACTTTCTCTGCCATTTTGCTTCAGTAGCTCTTTAAAGCTACTTAAAGTTGTTTTAAAGGGGCTTTGAGTGTCTAGTGGCTGTCCCCCAGCAGTGCAGGAGTTTGGTGTTTTAAGTTAAGTAAATCAAAAGTGAGGGGCTGAGGTTTGGCTGAGGGTGGTGAAGTGAATGTTTTTATCCCATTAAAATGAGTTAACACGTAGGTTTTTCCTCCTCAGGATGAAGATTCTGAATTCACATTAGCCTCTGATTTTGAAATTGGACACTTTTTCCGTGAGCGGATAGTCCCGCGGGCTGTGCTGTACTTCACTGGGGAGGCCATAGAAGATGATGACAATGTATGAGGCTCGGGGAAGGGGGGCTTCCACCTGGGTGCTTATCTCTGTTGGTGCAGAGTGGCCCTGAATTGTGGCTTAGGAAACCCCCATGCCTAATCTTTTTATTACATCATCAGCCAGATATGTAGTCCAAGCTGCTGTCCTTGTTGTGGGGGGAATACGCTTGAAGAGGAGAAGTCTGAGGAACAGAGCAGGAAAAGCAGGTGTCTGTGAAGCAGTTTCAGAGGTGATTGCCAGTTTCCTATGTGAGCCCTGCCTAGTGACTCAACAATATTCTCTCAAAACCTAAGCTTCAGGGAACTTGTGAACACAGGGAATATCTCTTTTATGGAGGTCTGGCCACAACAAACATTTATTGACAGTGGACTTATGCTAGCCTGTGGTTCATCAACCCAAAAGAAATAGAAATTCCTGAACTTCTATCTAATTAGGTAAAAAGGAAAAAAAAGAAACCCGTGCTCCCGAAGAAAACAACAAGATTGCATGTCACTTTCCTTTCTGGGCTTGAGGGAAGCCAGCTCTTCCACAGTCAGAACTTGCGGGTGCACAGCCCAAGTACCGCTTAGAAACTCCCATCCTCACCAAGGCTCAAGCAGCTTCAAGTCTTCTTGATCTGTGGAAAATAAAGTTTTGTTTTATAGACTGTTACTGGAAGTATGTTCTAGATGATACTCTCTTTCTTGTGGAGCTCTTAGGTTTCTTTTCTTAGAAGGTCTGGTCTGTTGGGGCTTCAGACAGGGCGGCAAGAGCTTAGGTGGGTTCAAGGGCCTTAGCCCCCTGTGGCAGTAAAGGCCAACATCTCCTCACACCTCTCCCATTGTACTGAGTTCCACCAGTGGGGAGAATAGGCCAGCGTGCTCTTTATCAGCTGTTAGGTCTTAGACTGTTCATTTAACTTCTAAAACTCAACTTGCTGGCTCATCCCTAGGTTGGGAGGTGATTGCAGGTCAGGGAACATGGACAGTCAGGTAGCTGCCAAGACATAGTTTTACAAATTCTAGACCAGCACTTTCCAGTAGAACTTTCTCTGTTGATGGAACTGTCCTCTGCCTGCTTGGTCCAGTGCAGTAGGACTGACCACTTGAGGACTTGAAATATGGCTGCTGAGACTGAAGAACTGAACATTTCATTTACCTTAGTTTAAATTTAAATAGTGAGCTAAGGGCTAGTGGCTACACATTGGAAAGCTTATCTGAAACTGTTTTGATCATACACCCGTCAGTTTAAAGGACTTGAATATGCATGTGTGCTATTTGCTTACTTATATGCGGTATCTGTACTGCTGGTGAGCACTGTGCCACATTTGCTTATAGTACATGTGCGTTTCATTCACAATACGTTCAGCACAGGTACTACTGATGAGCAGTGTCAGTTAGAGGCTAGAAGTGCCAGCTCAGATTAGACTGCTCAGACTCGCATCCCCATTCTCCCTTTAGTAGCTCCACCACCTCCTTGAGCTTCAGTTTCCTCAGCTGTAAGTAGAGCTCATGGTAAAGACTCTGGTTACTTGTTAAGCCCTTAACATAGCACCTGGCACAGAGCAATGACTCAGTAAGTGTTGGCATAAAGTGTTTTACTAATGTTACTTTCTAGACCGTACCCCAACACTAGAAAGTTGTTGGAGGAGGAGGTGAATGTGGGAACCCTGGTCTTGTCTTCTCTGCACGTGGCAGCTCCTGCTCTGCCCAGGTGGGTGATGCATCTGGAGCAGCCCCTGTGCACAGCCCCTTAAGGGCAAAATGCTGTCCTTAGAGCCTTGGAATAGGCCCTGGAGCCTGCTGGAGGCTCGTTGGATCTGACGTGAAATGGAAGAATATTGAGAAGCCTTTCCCTGCCTGATGCCAGTTAGGGTCCTTAGAGCGGAAGGGCGCTGCACCGTGGCCACATCTCATCCTGGCTGCTGCGTGGCGCCAGGAGGCTGTGCACACTGTGTGAACTCCACACCAGCACAGTAGGGCCCTTCTAAGTTCCACCGAAGTTGGCTCTAAGCAAATACATGGTGTGAGCTCAACAAAATGGGAAATGTTGATAAATGAAGCTGCATTTTCATGCACTACCCTTGTTATGCAACCAGTAGTGATAAGGTGGTTTTGCTTTTGGTGTAAGTCTCATGTTTGAAACTTGATTTTTAGTCTGACCAATGATGTATTTGGATGTAGGAGAAACTGATTCAAGACAATTGACTAATGGTGGAGGTTCACCTTTGAGCACCTTATTGATCACTTTAAAGATTAAACACCAAAGTTTTAATATATTTCTACTAAGGTTTCTTTTCCCTTTGTATGAGATGTAAAATGATACCCAGATTCCTGTATCCAATAACATTATGCTGCTGGTTCGATCAGCCTTGTAGAAAATTTAAGGAAAACAAATTCATCGGTTTACAAAAATCTTTTCCTGTGTGCCTGCTCCTCGGTGTGAGAACAGCCAGGGCAGAGCTGTGGTGCCAGGTTCCCAGCTGTGTCCAGGGTACACCCTGGCTGACCAGCTTCCTATCCTATTCCTTGTTTTGCGTGACTTTCAATTTCCTGGCATGCTTTTAAAATGCGCTGCACACAAGCAAATGGCTCCTCAGGCAAGCGAGGCCCAGCAGGCAGCGTGGCTGGACTTTCTGCTCCTCTTAGGCTTGGTCAGTGAGTCACTTGATGGGACTGGTGTCTTGGGCAGGCTGCTGTCATGTTTTGTAAACCTAAAAATGTTTTTCTGTGTTTCTCCAGTTTGAAGAAGGTGAAGAAGGAGAAGAGGAGGTAAGAGACAGGTTTATGCAGTGCCACTTACCTCCCTGAAGTTGTTTCTTTGGCTTTCTCTGCTTGAAGGTTATGGACTCACAGGGCTGTGTTAAACCCATTTTTTGTGACGCTGTCTTTGATTCTAAGAATGTTCTTAAAACACTAAGCAGAAATGCATAGCAAATGCTGTGACAGTTTCCATCGTTTTTGACCCTGCAGTTGGTTCATGAAAATGTATCTTAGAAAATAATCATTTAACAAAATCTACTTTTTCAGAATTTTGTTTCTTTCAGGGCTCTCTGTGAGAACAAAAAGATACCTAGAAATAATTCTAAGTGTCCAAAGGAAGTGATGAGTCACTTGTGGGTAGCAGTAATTGATTTCCATCTAAGGCAGTGTTTTGCTCCTTGTGTTTGTGGATTGTGAATGCCACAAGAGTTTAAATCTTGTCATTCCAGCTAATTCTCACTTTTTAAATACAGGAATTAGAAGGTGACGAGGAGGGAGAAGACGAGGATGATGCGGAAATTAACCCCAAGGTTGGTAACTTTGGGGCCACCCAGACCTACTTATTATGCTGCACTCTTAGACTTTTAAAAATGTTCCCCACTTTGAGGCAGTAGTGTTAACAATATTCATTATTCCCTAATTAGAAAGTTTAAAATGTGTCAGAAAAATAGTGGAATGATTATTCAGACACTGTGTCTATAATTTGAGTGTTGAGTGTACATACTCAGTAGAAGCTTTTCCAGCTGTCTCAAGCTGTGTCTTATTTACATAGACTCCTCAGTAGAGCAACTTGACTTTCCAAGTGTTTCATTCTTTTAAGGTAAGGTAATGATTTAACTGACAACATAAATAAACTTTTCTTTGTGCGTGTTTGGAAAAGGTGCAAAGAAGGGACTTTGGGGCTCTTTTTGTTAAGGAACAGAATAATGGGATTGTGGGCATCATTTGACCCAGTTGCACTTGAGCTGAGCATGCCCAGATGATGTGTCTAGATATCTCATATGTCTCAGATAATTTAAAATAAATTGGAAAGGTTTACTAAAGAAAACTGAGTTGAAAATGAGTGGGCAACCCCATTAATTTTACCTGCAAATTTAGATTTTTATTTGTGGTCTCAGAGTAACTTAAATCAAGGTACTTTGACCATTTGGCACATTTTAAAATCAGAAGTGCTTAAATGTCATCCTACAGCATCATAAGAGTTTCTTCTTGTAAAACATGAAATGTGTAGTTCACTTGCCTCTTAAAATTAAGTATATTATGGGCTGTCAGAATACTAACGTTACCTGGTGTTTTTGTAATGTGTCTCTGTCCGACTAGACGTTTTTTGCTTGTTTTTACCCTTGTTTTTTGGAGTGTGCACTAAAAGCTGTCAGTGTGATATTCTGGCTCTGTCATCAGTTGGTTTAAACTGGCTGTTTCCATGAATGCATGTTCACAGTTGTGGTTCCTTCAAGGAAGGGATGGGAGAAGAGCTTTTAAAACTTTTTTGAGAATGTGTCTTATAAAGACTACTCTGGGAATAATCTGCTCATGGAAATGTTCATCTTCTAAAGTTTGGCCTGTTGATGTGGGAGGACTCTGCTGAAAGCGTACCTGTGCGCAGCACCGTGGTGGTGGGCGGTGAGGGCTGTAGGAGACCAAGGCCTGGGTCTGCCTTGCGTGCATCACAGTGTGCGGACAGGGAAGGTGAGGGCTGTCAGTCAGCCAGTGAACAACGTTGGGTGAATAAATGCTGCCCATCACTGCTGTGCGGGGTGTCTGATGGACCCAAGGGCCACGTGTGTTTATTGGGCTGTGTTTCCGCCTTGTGGGCGCTGAATGGACACTTTTAAGGTTGCAGTTGTAAAGCAAGGACTGGGGTCAATTGGCAGGGCCACCTCCTCAGACTCCGCGCACAGCTGCCTCTGTCCTTGTTGCACTTGTATCTCCCCCTCCCTGTATTCTGTGCCTCAGCTTCTCTTTTCCTCCCCTCTGTTGTTTGTTCTGCTTTCTCTGTCACCTTGGAGAACCTTGAGTCTCCTTTCACGTCCCAGGTTTCTAAAAGAGCATTCTCACCAGCCATTACAGAGAACATGATGTGGTGGATTACACATGCTAACACCCCATGAAACCTTTGATAAACGGTTATGTTGGTTGGGGGAGAAGGGACTAAAAACATGTTCCGGCTAATGGTGTGAATGAAGTTCAGAGACGGCCCGGCATGTGTGGCCAGGATAAGGCCAAGCCTGCTGTCCCTGTCACATGCACCTTCCAGAGAGATGGGCAGTGTTAGAGTCTGTGCAAGCAAAAGAAAACAAGGAAGGAAGGGAGGTTTTAGTATTGGGAGCAGTCTGATAGAAGTGAAAATCATGCTTCTGCCCATTTTGAAAGTATGATCTAGTGTTGAAGTTGTTCACCCCGAGTTCAGTATCTTGCAGCCCTTTTGTATCATGAGAAATTGTGGCCGTTTCCTCCTGTATAATTTTGTGCATTTCATTTTCTTTCATGCTGACAGTTCCTTTCAATTTTTTTCCCCATTTAGGTGTAATTTTTGTCTGTTAATCATTCATACGTTTCTAGGTAAGGTGGAATTCCATTCATACCTAACTTCCAAACTTCTGATCTATACTTTATACAATGCATTGTTTTGACTTTGAATAAAGAGGGAGTTGCTGTCCAGGTACACTCACTGTGTCACAGGTTTGACATAGGTGTCTGTTACATGTACTTTTAAAATCAACGAACCAAACCTAGATTTGGTCCCTGCTTTCTGAGCCCAGTGTTTCTTGCTAACCAAGTAGCAAAGATGTAACTTGGGTGTAATTTTCATTGCTGATGGTACTGCTTTCCAGTAAGAGGGCCCTGGATGGTCAGCAGTCTGCACGGTGGCACACACGGGCCACCATAAGCAAGCAGTCCTTGCAGAGAGCATAACACACTGGGCTGTCCCAGCTGTGCTCAGAACACACACTGGCAGTTGAAATTGGCCCACTGTCATTACCAACACGTGTCTGTTGAATATCTATACTTTTTGAATTCATGTTTTGTGCAGACCAATAGGTACACAGAGGGGTAACAGCTTTTACTGTGCCAGCATTTTTTATCTGAAACATGAACTGGCATCTGTTTTGGTGTCAGCAGTAAAAAGTACTGTTGTGAGGTTGGTGCTAGTTGAATGAAGCAAGAACCAGTTGTAGATGAAAGTGAGTGTCAGTAAGCCTGGAAGCTGTTTCCCACTCCACTTTCTTCAGTCCCTGTAGCTCTGCCCTGTCCTGGAATGCTGACAGGAGGCCGTAAGTAGACAGAGGCTCTTGCCCGTGACGAGACCTGTTCACTCGTGGCACTCGGGATGTAGTGGGAGAAAGCAGAGAGGTGGGGACAAGAGGTGCCATGAGGAACCCCACAACCATAGCAGGGCCTCTGCATGCCAGGATAAGTAGGCACTCCGTTTTTAAGGGTCTCGTCACAGAACATCAGCATGATCCTGGCAGCCCATAGACCAGACGTCCTTGAGGTCTTAGCGCCACCGCCTCCCTGTCTTCCTCATGTAGGCTGCTTTCATGGGAAACTGATGGTACATAGGGCGGATGCAGCTCTTGGAACGATTTTGTTTTCCAGGGCCAGGTTTCAGAATATGGCTGTATGTTTAAAATTATGTCTAGCTGCCATTAATTCCTGTTGTCCCCGCATGTCTGAAGAACTTAGCCACTCTTATTCCACCTGTACCCTCACCCACTCTCCCACGCCACCCCTCCCATGCCACCAGCTCTTTTGAAGAGAATCCTCGATGCGTGCCACCTATCCGTATTTCAGTATGCCTCCCTGGAAGAGAAGGGCAGGGTGCAACAGCAGCAACCCCCGAGGAGTGTCCCACTGAGGCTGCTGCCTCTTCAGCCATAGGGCTCTGGGCACTTGGGGCTTCTTCGCCAGCGCAGCTATGGTCGAGTGTGTTTCAGCGGCATGTCTTTGTTGCCTTTCTCAGGTCGAGTGTTATCTGTTCAAACCCCACCTTTTAAATGGTCCCATGAGAGATGAGATTTTTTTCCTATTAGTTGGTACCTTTTAAAATGCCAACTCCTCCTCCCTTGATAATCTTAGCATTGATTAATGACTCAACCATCATTAAAATTTGTGACATGAGATAAAGGACGCTTCAGTTTGGGAGTTTAGGTGTAGTTTTTTTTTTTTCGGCATGTGTCACAAGCTAAAAACAATTGGTGTCTCTCATATGTAAAATTCACTTCTAAAACTCCTGTCAGTCACTTGCAGAAGCTCCAGTGTGCTGTGTGAGCACCAAAGCCTGGCAGGGGTGGGCCACATGCTGCCTTCCTTCCCAGAGGGGGCTGTGCCCTCAAGGCACGGGGGAGGCAGCTCTTCCCAGAGTCAGGTGCATGGCCTACTCCCCTCCAGCAAGGCACTGGGTCATGACACCGGTCTTGAGAGAGTGTTCTATGCGGACTCTATTCCCTCTAGCAGTCTTCACCCAGGATATTGGTTTTATTTAGGACAGATGAATACTACATTCTCGTGGTTGAAAATACCTATTACATCATTTCTGCAACTTAGGATAATTTAGATTTATTTCTGGTTGAGCATTCCAAATCTGGAATCCTCCCGTGAGCATTTTCTTTGTCTTGGGTTCCAGATTTTGGAGTATCTCAGATTTGGGATTTGGGATGCTCAATCTGTGGTAGGATAAATTATAAAGTCCTGTGTATGACATGACATAGTATTTGCGTAATTTAAATGTACATAAAGATGGAGTCTGTCACCTTGTCACCAGCCCCAGTCTTCCCCGTCCCTGCACAGCTCCTTTACTGACATCCCATTTTCTAGGCGAGTCCCTTGGTGGAGGCACACTGCTTGTCCCACTCCTCCCCTCACTGCTCCTGCTCGGGGCGCCCTGCATCCCCCACACTCCTAAGGCCAGTGGCTCAGTGTTCTTGGCCACTACACTGGGCCACCTTCAGTCTACCCTTGAATGTCAGATTGACATGGCGAGGGTTTTTGGTCAGCCTCGTTTTGTCTTGGCCAGGCTCTTTGGGCAGCCTCTGGGGTGGCTGAGATTGGGAGCTTAGACACCAGGGTTCAAGGTTATTGATTTTGTTTTTTGCATATTTTACACATATTTTTTCGGCCATCCCTTAAATGTGATTTCCAAAAGAATGAACTGTAGCCTCAGCTTATACTGTGGAAGATATCATTTATGGTAACCCAGGGATCTTTTTGCCCCATACAGTACAAGTTCTTAGGTTCCATAGGCACGCTGGATTAAGGGCAATTTGTAATCTTAGCCAGAAATCATAGGTTACAGGTTCGTAAAGTTACTAGCGCAGAAGCATTAGCAAGATCGTGATGTATTTCTTAGGCTATTGTTGGCCTCCACACAAATTCATGGAGTTGCTGGATGTGGTTTAAAGGGTACAAGATCTCTGTGTTAGATAATATTGGAGTTAATCCATTCCTCTGGGAGGGGAATTTTGTGTCCCGGATGCCGTTACTGGAAGGATAGCATTGCCCCTTGGTGAGACTGTTAGGAGAGTGAAGGAGAGTGAGTGACAGATGGAGCTCTTGGGAGTGGCAGCTCATCATTTGTTGGTGCAGTACAGGCCACCAGAAGAGGATGGATCTGCCGGGGCGCTCCCTGGTAGTACAAAGAGCAGGAACCCGCTAGAGGAGAGATGTGCTTTCCATGAGCGCCAAGGGCCCAGCCTACCCCCAGACAGATGTGCCCTTGAGAAGTGGGGACTGTTGGCACCAAGAGGGGTTGCCTCCGCGGTGGCCTTCCTGGATGGAGCTGCCCGTGTTGAGCGCACTGTGCTCTGTGTGGGCAGGGGTTCCAGCTGCTTCCCAGCCCTTTCATGGGCAGGCCCCTGGAGCTCCACCACCCCAAGGAGCCCCAAAACCCTCCTGCTGAACATGCCATGAATTTGAATGCTTGAAGGCATAGCTTTAAAAACAAAAAAAAACCCTGCTTTGACTGCAGGGTGGTAGGGGGAGTTAGCTTTGTTTTTGTCACTATTTTTAAAAGTATATTTGCAGTAACCATTTTTTTCAATGAGAATGAACTCATTCAGTCTTGGCTTTCATTGTTGATTGGAGCTAATTGGTGAATGGAGCTGGCTTTGCTCTCTACAAGCCTTGTCTTTTTCATTGACAGAAGGAACCCAGCCAGCCGGCGGAATGCAAGCAGCAGTAGGAAGCGGAGGCGGGTGCCTGGCAGACCGGCTGTCGGGACTCCAGGCCTGTGGGCGGGGCCTCGGTCCTTGCCGCAGCACAATCCCGTGGACAGAGCTTACTCCATCTAACTCGTTTTCAAGTGCATGATTTTCACTTTCACTTTTCCTTTTTCCTTATTATTTTGCTTAACTTGTACAGTGGCAACTGAAATGCATTTCAGAAATAGGAGGTTTCGTCCAGCACCCTCTGCAGCCTTGGTGCCTGTAGCTCTGGACTTCCCTGGGCCTTTCCCTGTGGGAGGGCCCTGTAGACCACATCAGGGTGGGGTGGGGGTCACTTGGCAAAAAGGGCCGAGGTCTGGTGATGTGGTTCCCAGGATCTGGAACCTCTCCCACCCCTCCTGCAGTTGGACTGAATTCTTCCCTTTCATCCGAAGAAACCCACTTGCTGTTTCCAGCCGCTGAATCTGCTGAGTGTGCAGCCTGCATCACCTGCTGTATGCCGATCATCTCAGAAAGGGCTGTGTAGAGTAGGGCCCTGTTCTCCTTAGGATGTTGCTTCTTGATTTTTTTTTTTTTTTAGGGGTGGGTCAGGGTTGTGACACACCAGCCCAGGTGAGAGCTGCTGCGGGTCACCTCATATTTATTTATCCCTTCTTGCCTGTGAGGACTGCGGCTTTTCGCTGTGGCTCGTCCTTAACGTTTCTGAACCACCTTGGTGCCCTGAGCAGGAAGATGTGCCACTTCCTAGCAGGCGCAAGGCCTGTGCGGAAGAAACGCCGCTCCCTGCCACCAGGGCTGAAGATGCGAGCCCGTCCTCATGACGCAGGCGCCACCCTGCTGCCGGAGCCGGGCTTCGGCAGTCTTCTCCACTGAGGGACTGGGCTGGGAAGTCCTGCGTTTCAGTGGAGCGTATGAGCGTCAAGTCCTGCTTTCTCAGTAGCCCCATTGCGGGGCCCCACCATTCATCCTGTCTGAAGGTCCTGGGTTTGGTGTGACCGCTTGGCGGCTGGTGGGTGGGGTTTTCAAGTGGGTGACGGCGCTCTCCGGCAGCCGGGGATGGCCGTGTCCGCACTGACCAGGCCTGTGGAGAGTGCTCGGCCTAACCTTAGAACACATTTGTAACTGAATACAGTGTTTTCAATTTGTACAGAATAGTTAGAATATTCTATTAAAGTGGTGAAACATTGAGTCAGCACTGTGCCATGTGGGTCTTTGCAGGGGAATGTGGTGGGGAAGGCTCAGATGTGCTGCACACCTGTTGGGCTCTGTTGAGCCCTGGGTATTGGTGGCTCCAAGACCGGTTGTACAGTTTACTTCTGAGGCCTTGAAAGCTCAGTTTGAGGCAGAGGCTGCTGTAGCCCCCCCACTACACCTAAGTTGCTGCTGTATGCAGGCAGCTTCACTGCGGGCCCAGGGGAAGACTGTTCCTGCCCCCAGGAGGGGATCATTTCTCAGAGTTAGTGGGACTGTGCTTTGTAGATCCAGAAGGCTCCAAGAGGAGAACTTCCTGATAAAGCCCATGTTAGGTGTGTTTGCTCTCTGAAGCTTTTCCCCGTGTCTCTTCCATCCACAATGAGAGGAGGCACTCAACACCTGCTGCACAGGCACTTCCTGACCTGACCGTGGGAATCCCAGCCTTGGCAGCGCCGCCTGGTGAATGAAACGCTGTCATGAGAAGGCAGCCGTGGAGCTGGCTCATTGCTCCCCACGTGGCTGGCCCCGCCCTGCTGCCTCCAGCTCACCCGTGGGCTGCCTTCTCTCTGGGAGCAGCAGGAAGGGCAGGTGCAGGCTGGGAAGTGAATGCTTGCAGCATACCCCCAAGGGCCGGGGAGCCTGATGTCTGTGCTTCCTGCACCCGTTCCTCCGTCCCCATCCTGTGAAGTACCTGGGGGAGCTTGGTCTCAGGCTCCCCAGCCTCAGGGTGGCCCCATGGGTGAGCAGCACCCTGGCCTTACTTGGTCTGCCCAGGGTCAGACCCCATAATCCAAGGGGCATATGCTGTTTTGCAGTGACCCGCCCTTCAGCTGCGGAGACAGCCCTGCACACTGCCCTGTCCACTGGGTGCCCAGAGTGCCTTTTTAGGAAGGGCTCCACAGGCTTGGGGAGTGCCCCTCACTACCTAGCTGGGTGGTTTTAGATCAGATTTGCACTTTTCGATCAGATTTGCACAAGCAGGGGAAAGGGCTTAACATTGTGGCTTCTGGGGGTGGGGGTATCTGGATTTTCCCTTTTGAGTAAGAAGTGTGTGAGAACCCTGCACCCACCTGCGTGCATCCTTCACTGAGCTGGGTTCCTGTGTCCGCCAGTGAGTCTGACCTTGGGAGTGCATGGTTCGTGGATGCTGCCCAGTTCCAAGGACATCTGGGTGCAGGACCTCAACGTGAAGCCTGGGGAGCTGTGGAGGCCCGAGGGTGCAGGCAACCTGGTCTCCCCCAGGACCTCAGCACCTCCGGCCTCTGTCACCCCTGCATGGCCGCCGTGTCCTGCCTGCACCCCAGGGTCTCAGAAAAGGGAAGGTCATTCTCCAGTGGCCAAGGAGCCCAGGAACCATCCCAGGCCCAGGCCATTGTCAGCTCAGGAACCTCAGCCATCAGTGGTCACCGAAAGTCGCTGAGTGGTTGAGAGGTTTGCCCAGAGCCACCATCTGGAAGGCAGCTGGGAAGTGGGGGCTTGTGGCGGCCGCCCAGCCTGGCCTGGGTGAAGGGTGGCTGCTTCCCTTCTGGTCCTGGAGGCCAGGGGGTCTGCCACAGAACCTCAGCTCTGCTAGCCCAGGCCCTCCTTTTTCCCGACTCAGCCCCTGGCTGGGGAGGCAGACATTCACCGTCCAGCCCCGCCCCACCCACCCCACCCCGCTTGGGGCTCCCCCAGCCCCTGCCCTTCCTGTGACTGTTCACCCTGTGCGGGAACTGAGACTCAAAACCAGTGGCGCTGGGGTCAGGGCAGGAGTTTGGGGAGCAGCCCGGGAGATGGGAGGTGGGGCCTGGGGCACCCCCACCCCCTGCACAGGTGGCTCAGACGCTTCTGTCAGCTGCCATCACACGGGTGCTCCTGGGCAAGGAGGGAAAGAACCCGCACGGCAAGCAGCCAGGCACAGAAGACCTGGAGGGCCCTGTTTCTGTCCGGTTCTAGAGCCTGCAAAGCTATAGTGCCGGTGACTGCCTGGGAGGGATCTGGGGTGGGGGGACTGACCAAGGAACGCTTTAGAGGGATGGAAGTGGTTACACAGGTGTATACGTCTGTCAGAATTCATTGAGTTACATCAAAAATGGGTATATTTGGTTGTATATAAGTTAGTCCTCAATGAAGCTCAGCGTTGTTTTTTTTTTTGAGACGGAGACTCGCTCCATTGCCCAGCCTGGAGTGCAGTGACACCATCTCGGCTCACTGCAATCTCCACCTCCCAGGTTCAAGCGATTCTCCTGCCCAGTCTCCCAAGTAGTTGGGATGACAGGCATGCACCACTGCACCTGGCTAATTTTTGTATTTTTAGTAGAGATGGGGTTTCACCATGTTGGCCAGGCTGGTCTCGAACTCCTGACCTCAGGTGAACTACCCACCTTGGCCTCCCAAAGTGCTGGGATTACACGTGTGAGCCACCGTGCCTGGCCTGAAGCTCAGTTTTCAGAAGTCCCCAAAACAGGGTGATTCCACTTAAAATTCTGTTTTTTCCCTTGAGTCAGGAGCTATGGCTCCCTAGAACCTGATGGCTGCTGCTTTCCCCAGCAGGGTCACCTGGGACCCTTGTCCACAGCTGCCTGGCGTGTGGGTCCGCGGGTGGTGTGTACCCCAGGTCAGCCTACCTGGCCAGTCTGCTCTCTAGGCTCATGACTCCCGTTTATGTGGAGCTGGGACCAAGCCGACATCCCACTCTGCTCCTGTCCTGCTGCCCAGCAAACCTCCCCAGGCCCAAGGGCCACCCATGGGGCCAGAGCCCCCTTCCCCAAGTCCCAGGTCCAGGGCTTCCTGCCACCCCACCCATCTTGTCCCACTCTCAAAATGCCCTAGGCTGCCCCCAGCCCCATCGCTGGGCAGGCTGAGTCAGCATGAGCTGCCAGGATCCAAGCTTGCCCCTGAGGTGGGAGGCAGGGGTGGGGTGGGTAGGGGGCAGCCAGCTGGCTCCACCAGCCAGCCAGGTGGGTAGGTGGAGCCCCTGGCCTCTGCCTGGCTCATCCAGGCACACCTTGATATTACTGACCTCTGACCTGCCCCTGCTGGGTCCTTGGCTTGCCTGGCTCTGAGTCAGGGCTCAGGGCTGGGCAACTGGTGAGCAACAGAGGAACAGCCAGGGGCAGCGGTGGGAGAAGTGACCGTCCCAGACTCAGCCAACTCCAGCTGCAGTGCCCTGAGGGAGCCCTGGGCCTGCAGAAGGGGTTGCTGTGTGCAGAAGCCTGTGGTTCCCTGCCAGCCAGGCCAGCCTGGCCACAGCCTGGCATGGACTTCGGCCTCTGCCCCAAAACCCTCAGAACAGGTGCCTTCCCAGGTTCCTTCTGCTGGAGCAGGCACCTCCTCCCCAGCCCGCCCCAGGGAGCATCCCCATGTGGAGTGGGGGGCCCAAGGGACCCCAGGCCCAGCTGTTTGGACCCCACCCACCAGGAGACACTGGCAAGCAGTGGCCCCCAACAGCAGGGCCTCCTGGAAGGACGCCTCCTCGGGCTGGCCCTGGCTGAGCTTCTGATGCGCTGAATTTGGTGTGGGTTTCCAGGCACCTCATGCGCCTGGGACATTCCCCATTTAAGAGATGCAGACCCGAGTCTCAGGACAGAAGCCAGGGCCCAGCTCTTGCAGGGTGAGGCCTGGACGCCTCTTGCCGAGGCCAGGTCACCTTGGTGTGCCTGAGGGAGGCCCCGCCTGCTAGGCTGTCCCCAAGGTGCCAATCACTAGCCCATCCTGGCCATGCTGACTCATGGCTCTCTGAGGGTGGCAGCCGGATGTTACTTACCATGACAACCCAACAGCCTGGCCCAGCCCAGCCCAGCCCAGGAGAAACGGGGCAGCTACAGCTGTGTCCAGGACCCCACTCAGGGCGGACCCACACAGATCACCCTTGTCGAGCTCCTCAAGAAGTCTGTGGTGTCCACCAAGTTTCCAAATCTCCCTAGGTCTCAGTTTCTGTATCTGGGACATGGGGAGAAGCTTCACCTCCTCAGAACCCAGACCCTGGGCATGGCAGGGCTGCCCACACCGGCCCTCACCAGTGCCTGCCTGGCTGGAAGCCAGTCCGAGGAGGGAGGACAGTGCCTCACTGAGCAAGGCGGGTGCAGGGCTGGGAGGACAAGAGGGAACGCCTGGAGATGGGGCCTCAGGTGCAGGCACTGGCCAGAGTTGCTAGAGTCTGCTGCCCCCAGCCTGGGGGCCGCCAGCGAGGGCCTGAAGTGGTCCCTGGGTCTCAACCTGCCCCTTTTCAGCAGGGGCTGCCCTCCCCAAGGACCAGAACACCAGACCTTATGTGGGGACCCTTCCTCGTCATCTGGGGGCTCCAGGCATTCCTTGGCTTGCAGCCACTTCCTTCCGATTTCTGCCTCTGTCTCACGTGGCCTCCTACCCCTATGCCTGCTTCTCCATAGTTCTCCCTTGTGAGGCCCACCTGGGTAGTCCAGGGGAAGCTCCTGCTCTCAGGGGCCTTTCCTATATCACACCCTAGCCACTAAGGTCATGTTCACCCATTTGCCATCAAAGGTAACATTCGTGGGTTTCAGGGAGTAGAACATGGATATGTCTTATTGGGGGCCACCATTCAGTCCATGAAAGGGGTCTTTCAAACAGACCAAAGCACATGAAGAGGGGAAAAGACAGCCACGCCAAAGGCCACAGACACCCAGAGAGATGGCTGCCCCCACCCCAGGGATAGAGAAATGTGTGTGAAGACCTCAGTTTTTGACCACCAGATTGTGGGGTTTTGTTGTTGTTGTTGTTGTTGTTTTGTTCGTTTGTTTGGTTGTTTGGTTTTTCCTGAGACAGGGTCTCACTCTATGGCCCAGGCTGGAGTGCAGTGACACTTTCTCAGCTCACTGCAACCTCTACCTCCCAGGGTGAAGCAATTCTTCTGCCCCAGCCTCCCGAGTAGCTGGGATTACAGGTGCATGCCACTGCACTAGGGTAATTTTTTCTATTCTTAGTAGAGACAGGGTTTCACCATGTGGGCCAGGCTGGTCTCAAACTCCTGAACCCAAGTGATCCACTCACCTTGACCTCCCAAAGTGTTGGATTACAGGCGTGAGCTATTGCCCAGATTGACTTTTTTTTTTAAGTACAGAGTGCCCACCATTGGCCTAGCCATGGGGAGATTGGCATTGCAGCCCTTGGGGGAAAGGGTGAATAGGAACAGCCCCACTGGCAGGCCATTTTGGCAGTTACCACACATCTGAGGGCCTTGCTAGCCCAGCAGTGCCATGTCTGGTGTGCAGGAAGGCAGTGCCATGTAAGATGACAGCAACAGGGACCCAGCCCAAGCCCAACCATCACAAGGGGTGGCTGAGACATGGAGGATTCCAGATAATGAGGGCTGGGGTGGGGGGTTCCTGGAAGATGGCCCAGACAGAGGAAGAGACACAAGCTCATACCCCCGCCTGCATGGATATTCATATGTAAATGCATTTTTAAAACTGGTAAAGGGTACATCACAAGTTACATTCTTAACCATTTTTTAAAGTGCACAGTTCAGTGCCACTAAGCATAGTTACACTAAGCATATTCACACAGCATATTCACACTAAGCGTATTCACAGCGTATTCACACTAAGCATATTCACACCGAGCATATTCACACCGAGCATATTCACACTAAGCGTATTCACACTAAGCATTTTCACACTGAGCATATTCACACAAAGCATATTCACACAAAGCATATTCACACCGAGCATATTACAAGCATATTCACACCAAGCATATTCACACCGAGCATATTCACACCAAGCATATTCACACTAAGCGTATTCACACTAAGCATTTTCACACTGAGCATATTTACACCGAGCATATTACAAGCATATTCACACCACACCGAGCATATTCACACCGAGCATATTCACACCGAGCATATTCACACTAAGCGTATTCACAGCGTATTCACACTAAGCATATTCACACCGAGCATATTCACACTAAGCGTATTCACACTAAGCATATTCACACTAAGCGTATTCACACTAAGCGTATTCACACTAAGCATTTTCACACTGAGCATATTCACAGCATATTCACACAAAGCATATTCACACCGAGCATATTACAAGCATATTCACACCAAGCATATTCACACCGAGCATATTCACACCAAGCATATTCACACTAAGCGTATTCACACTAAGCATTTTCACACTGAGCATATTCACACCGAGCATATTACAAGCATATTCACACCACACCGAGCATATTCACACCGAGCATATTCACACCGAGCGTATTCACACTAAGCGTATTCACACCGAGCATATTCACACCGAGCATATTCACACCGAGCGTATTCACACTAAGCGTATTCACACTAAGCATTTTCACACAAAGCATATTCACACAAAGCATATTCACACCGAGCATATTACAAGCATATTCACACCACACCGAGCATATTCACACCGAGCATATTCACACCGAGCGTATTCACACTGAGCGTATTCACACTAAGCATTTTCACACAAAGCATATTCACACAAAGCATATTCACACCGAGCATATTACAAGCGTATTCACACCAAGCGTATTCACACCGAGCATTTTCACACAGCATATTCACACCGAGCGTATTCACACCGAGCGTATTCACACCGAGCATATTCACACTGAGCATATTCACACTGAGCATATTCACACCGAGCATACTCAGCATATTCACACTGAGCGTATTCACACTGAGTATATTCACACTAAGCATATTCACACTGTCATGCAGCCGCCATCAGCATCTGCCTCCATGATTTCTCATCTCCCCAAATGGAAACTGTGTCCCTATTAAACTCCCCATTGTCCTCTCCAGCTCCTGGCACCTGCCCTCCTACCTTCTGTCTCTGAATCTGACGACTCTTGGGACCTGGTACATGTGGAATCATTCAGTACTTGTCTTTTTGTGTCTGGCTTATTTCACTCAGCATAGTGTCCTCAGAGTCCATCCGTGCTGTAGCTTGTGTTAGAATTCCCTTCCTTTTTTTTTTTTTTTTTTTTGAGATGGAGTTTCACTCTTGTTGCCCAGGCTGGTGTGCAATGGTGCAATCTTGGCTCACCGCAACCTCCGCCTCCTGGGTTCAAGCGATTCTCCTGCCTCAGCCTTCCAAGTAGCTGGGATTACAGGCAGGCATCACCACGCCTGGCCAATTTTTCAGGTGATCCACCTGCCTTGGCCTCCCAAAGTGCTGGGATTACAGGTGTGAGCCACGTGCCCGACCAGATTTCCCTTCCATTTTAAGGCAGTGACTATTCAGTGTGTGTGTGGACCACATCGTGTGTGCCCATTGTCAGTGGATACTTGGTGGCTTCTACCTTTTGGCATGCTGCTGGGAATATGGGTGTGCATGGATCTCTAGGAGAGACTCTAACTTTTAGTTCTTGTGAGCATGTGAATGAGAAGTGGAATTGTTGGATCACAGGGCAATCCTATATTTAATTATTAAAGGAGGTTGGGTGCTGTGGCTCACTCCTGTAATCCCACCACTTTGGGAGGCCAAGGCAAGTGGATCACCTGAGGGCAGGAGTTCAAGACCAGCCTGGACAACATGGTGAAACCCCATCTTTACTAAAAATACAAAAAAATTAGCCGGGCGTGGTGCCACATGCCTGTAGTCCCAGCTACTCAGGGGGCTGAGGCAGGAGAATCACTTGAACCCAGGAGGCGGAGGTTGCAGAGAGCCAAGAACGTGCCACTGCACTCTAGCCTGGATGACAGAGTGGGACTCCGTCTCAAAAACAAACAAACAAAAATCAATTGTTAAAGGAAATGTAAATGCTTTTTTAAAAAGGATGAGGCCAGGCACAGTGGCTCACACCTGTAATTCCAATACTTTGGGAGGATGAGGCAGGCGGATTGCCTGAGCCCAGGAGTTCAAGACCAGCTTGGGAAACACAGTGAGACCCCATCTCTACAAAAAATATACAAAGTAGCCAGGCATGGTGGCATGTGCCTTGTAGTCCCAGCTACTCAGAAGGCTGAGGTGGGAGGATCACAACCTCAGGAGGTCAAGGCTGCAGTGAGCCATTATTGCACCACTGCACTCCAGTCTGGGTGACAGAGCAAGACCCTGTCTCAAAAATTTATAATAATAATAAAACAAAAAGAGGCCAGGCTCAGTGGCTCATGTCTGTAATCTCAGCACTTTGGGAGGCTGACATGGGTGGATTGCTTGAGCTCAGGAGTTCAGGACCAGCATGGGCAACACGGTGAAACCCTGTCTCTACAAAAATACAAAAAATTAGCTGGGTATGGAGGTACACACCTGTGGTCCCAGCTACTCAGGAGGCTGAGGCGAGAGGATTGCTTGAGCCTGGGAGGCGGAGGTTGCAGTGAGCCAAGATCACGCCACTGCACTCAGTCTGGGCAACAGAGCAAGACCCCATCTCAAACAAACAAACAAAAAAGGATGAGAGTGGCCCTAGGTGGGGACATGAGAGATGAACACTCAATTTTGTTTTTATTATTTTTTTTTTTTTTTCATTTTTTCTTGCTCTGTTGCCCAGGCTGGAGTGCAATGGTGCAATCTCAGGTCACTGCAACCTCCACCTCCCAGGTTCAAGCAATTCTCCTGCCTCAGCCTGCTGAGTAGCTGGGATTACAGGTGTGCACCACCATGCCCGGCTAATTTTTTTTTTTTTTTTTTTTTTTTTGCATTTTTAGTAAAGACGGGGTTTCACCATGTTGGCCAGGCTGGTCTCCAACTCCTGACTGCAAGTGATCTGCCTGCCTTGGCCTCCCAAAGTGCTGGGATTACAGGCGCGAGCCACTGTGCCCAGCATCAATTCTGAAATAATTCGAGCCTCTTTTTTACTTTTTATATCAACAATTGGTTAATATTTTTGGTAGGCGTGTTTTTTTTTTTTTGAGATGGAGTCTCGCTCTGTCACCCAGGCTGGAGTGCAGTGGCACGATCTCGGTTCACTGCAAGCTCTGCCTCCCGGGTTCACGCCATTCTCCTGTCTCAGCCTCCCGAGTAGCTGGGACTACAGGTGCTGGCCACCACACCCGGCTAATTTTTTGTATTTTTAGTAGAGACGGGGTTTCACTGCGGTGTTGATCTCCTGACCTTGTGATCCACCCGCCTCGGCCTCCCAAAGTGCTGGGATTACAAGCGTGAGCCACCGCGCCTGGACTTTTTTTTTTTTTTTTTAAGAGATGGAGTCTTGCTGTCTTGCCCAGGCTGGTCTTGAACTCCTGTTTTCAAGTAATCCTCCCACTTGGTCCTCCCAAAGCAGCCCTGGATTACTGGCACAAGTCACAGCACCTGGCCTATCTTTGGTAATTTTTTAACGTTGGAAATAATTAATGACAATACACCTGCCAGGGCTCCCCCAGACCGGCGGAATGAGAAGTTCAGGCCAGGAGGGTGAGCATCTGCGCTGTGAGAAGGCTGCCCCAGCGATTCTGCAATCTGAGCCCTGTGCAGGGCATGGGGCCACCTCAGTCCTCCCTCTCTCCCTTCCTGTATTTTGTTTGTTCCTTTGTTCATTGGTTCACTCCTTCAAGCTTCTGGAGACATCCCCACAAGCCAGGTGCAGGGCGGTCATGTTGGCTGCTCTTGTTTTCCATCTGCGAGTGACTGCTGGGAGGGCCCTTTCCTGAGCTCCCTGTGTCCTGGCCCCATCTCCCAACCTCTGGAGGCTCCATAACCACCCACAAGCAGCCCTGTGGAGGTGACACCAGCCTGATGGAGCCCGACGGAGGCCCCACTCTGCCCCACGGGGCCCCCTCATCTTGGCACGCCTGACTGCCAGTCTCACCCGAGGCAGCAAGGGGCTGTCTGGTCTCATACACACGCCAACAGTCTGCACGTTCAGTAGTCAGTGCAGAGGGGGTCTTTTGGACAATGACGTGGATGCCTTTATTTTTTGAGACAGGGTCTTGCTCTGTCACCCAGGCTGCAGTGCAGTGGAGTAATCACGGCTCACTGCAGCCTCGACCGCCTGGGCTGAAGTGATCCTCCCAACTCAGCCTCCCAAGTAGTTGGGACTATAGTGCACATGCCACCATGCCTGGCTAATTTTTATTTTTTTTTTTGTAGAGATGGGGGGGTCTTGCTGTGTTGTCCAGGCTGGTCTCAAACTTCTGGGCTCAAGCAATCTGCTCACCTCGGCCTCCCAACTTGCTGGGATCATAGGCGTCAGCCACCGAGCCCGGCCTCAGGATGCTTTTTTAGCCATTTCCTGAGTGCCTGGGCTGATCCCTGGGGCTCCCAAAGAATAAAACATTATCACTGCATTTAAGGAGCTGATAATAGCTTCTGAGCAGGGTACTGAGGGATAAACAGGAGCTCATCAGGGGCCAAGGAGAAGGGTGTTCCTGGTTTCTCAATCAATCCCCAACATCTTGTGAGGTAGGACCTGCCTGTCAGGCTCCAGTGGAAGAGCTCAGGAAGAGACACAGCAACAGAGAACACAGCCCTCCAAGGCCAAGATCAGGCTGACAGCAAGTGTCTGAAAACCAGGTGGGTCATGCCACGGGGCCTCTCACTTTCCTCAGGCTGCAGCTGGGAGGAGACAGATAGAGGGCAAGCCTGAGTCACAGGCCCTGGCACATGGGCCATGTTGGGCTCAGGTGAGGTGGCACCAGTGCACTGCTCAGGTGCTGCAGCTCCAGGCAGCTTAGGTCTTCCCCCAGCCTCCCCAGGCTCAGGTGGGCGGAGGCTTGGAGACCCATGGCCTAGCAGTATGTGGTTGGCAGGAGGCAGGCCTTAGAGTGCGCCCTGGCAATCTGAGAGGGCTTCCTGGAGGGGGTGAGAGGAGCTAGGGGTGGGCCTTCCTGACTGAGGAGCAGTGGGCCTTTCTGCAGGGCTCTCTCTGAGCAACCCCTCCCACAAGAGGGTGGTGTCAAGCCCCAGGCACTGGGCCGGGCCCTGTGACACGCAGCTTCCTCACAGGCTGGCAGGATGGCCAGGCTCGTTGGGCAAGTGCCTGGAGGGCCCGGCCTCGTCACCGTAAGGAAGTGACCTCACTCAGGGAGTTTCGGAGAGGTGCCCGCATCCTACTCCAGCTGCTGACAGCCTCACACAGCTGGGCTCCGGTGCCAAGGGTCCAGGCAGCTGGACAGGGCAGCCAGTGTCCCAGGCCAGATGTTTGGGCACCCAGACTGTACAATGCCTGCCCAGGGGTGGGGGCCCTTGGCTCAGGCTCTGCATGAATCCTGGATGTGGCCCCTCAGATAAATATCAGTAAACCCGGTTTGGACTGATGCTGCCTGACACCACCAACTCGAGGCAGAGCCCCCTCCCCATCCTGAGAAGCAGTCACAGAACATCAGGGCTGTTTCCTGCCCCGAGCCACAGGGTGCCACAGAATCGGGGAAGCTGTGGATGTGGCCGCACTGGCCACTGTGTAACCTGGGTGAGTCACCACCTCTCTGAAACCCCCACCCAGTGTTCCCTGCAAACCCAAGAAAGCAGTCTCAACAGGGAGAAATGACCGCACAGAACTAGCACGGGGCAGGGCCACACGGACTCTCCTGCCGGTGCCTGGCCCTGGCATCTCTCCGGCAGGTGGTTCCTCCGCCTCCAGCACGTGAGTGGTCCAGAACCCTCGTAGAAGCAGGTCCCATGGGGTGTGGCCGAATCCACGCCGGGTTCCAATCTCTGTGCTGTGCTGGAGAAGCTCCCAGGCTCTTGGCTATCAAATGGCTCTAGGAGGGGCATTCCTCAAAAGACCCTCATGTGGGGTCCCTGTGTCAGCACTCTTCTGCCTCAACATCCCTCCCCCACATCCCAGGAAGTGAGTGTCACAGCCCTCATCCTCCAGAGGGGACCCTCAGGCAGGCCTGCTCTGGGGGATAGAGATAGGGTCCCTCCTTGGAAAGGTGACCTTGACAAGTCACTGCACCTCTCTGAGCCACCCTTTCTGCATCTGCAGCTTGGGGCCAGTGCTTCTCCTGGGGGCACCGCTCAGCCCCAGGTGGGACCAGGTGAGGCGGTGAGGCTCAGGCCTCAGGCAAGGGAGGCCGAGCGGGGGCTGGCAGAGGGCGGGTGGCTCAGAGGGGCAGACGGCAGTGTGAGTTAGTGGTGGTGGTAAAGCCCCTCGGGTGGATGGTGGACGCAGAGAGGATGGGGCAGCCCCTGTGTGCAAGTACCTGCCAAGTTGGCATGGTGTCCTCCAAGCCCCTCTCACCTCCTAAGGCCGTGGTTTATTTTTGCCCATGTCCATAAAGACACCCTGGGGGCTCCTGAAGTCACCTGCTGGTCCAGGGCTGGTAAGGCTTGGGAGTCGGCTCCCTCCAGCCCCCACATTGGCAACCAGGTTCAGGCTGGTTTGGCCGAGCAGGGGCCCAGGGTGTCTAGCAGCTGCTGGGGAGGCCAGGGCCACTACAACTGAGCCCCTGGGGCAGGGACTGTGGGCAGAGAAGCTGCCTGGGGAGGCCTGGCCTCCAGGGCTCAGACCTGATTTCCAGCAGCCCCTAAAGGGCCATCCACCCCCATACCCCCCAGGTCTTCACAGTGTCCATGAGGGGAATAGCAGAGAGGGGCTGAGTGGGCAGGAAATCCCCTAGGGAGGGCAGGGCCTCTGAATCTCGGCTGCACACCCTGCCCCCTGGCCTCCCAGCTCCTGCCCCACCTGTCAGAGCATCACCCCTGGGTTGTAAGTCCTGCCCCCAGGGGAGTGAGTTTCCCAGCCTCCCTTGAGAGGGCCACTGGGGTACAGGCAAAGAGAGGAGCTGGGCGGGGCTGGGGGAGCACACCTCACCTGGCCTCACCTGGTTTCCAAACCCTCTTCCTCCCCCTCATTTCTCTCAGCCCCTTATCTGCTCCTGCCTGTTCTCTGTCCCTTCCCCAAGGCCCTCTCCATCCTGAACCAGTTTCCTCTTCTGTGGAACAGGGGCTGGAGTGCCCACTTTGGGGAGTTCTCTGGGTTAGGTGGAGGCTGGGCACAGTGGTGGCATACGGGCACCACTGGCCCTTCAAGGTCTCCTTGGAATCTTCGAGGGCACGCCCTCCCCACAGAGTCCTCCAAGCTGTCCTCCTGGCCTCCAGTACCCCCGACCCCTATCCCCATCCTCATGTACCTGCTGTGCCCCTGGGGTTTAGAGGGATTCCTCTCCCCTCCTCTGGGGTCCCAGCACCAGCCAGGCCTGCAGGCACACAGTAGGTGCTTAAGCAACCACGAGTGTCGGGGGATTTGCCTGGAGCCGAAGTTCCACTGGCTGGCCCCTCAATGGGGTAGGCAGGCTGGTGGGCCTGGAGGTGTTCCAGGCACCTGTGGGCTGGCGCAGTGACAGAGCGCTCTGCCCCCGGCCGCTTCTCCTGGTCTCCCACTGCCCAGAGGTGCCTCTTGCCCAGGTCCCACTGTCCGGCAGCCCAGGGCCCTCTGGAAGCAAAAGAAGGGACACCAGAGTCCGAATCCTTCCTGCAGCCTCTCCGGAACAATGCTCGAATCCCCTCTCCCCGCCAAAGGCTGACCTCCCCTCACCCACCCACCCTACCTGCTGCTCCCTCACCACAGGATCCCAGCCCTGCTGCAAGGACAGGTGTCAGGTAGGGGGCAGTGTTGACCCGCCGGCCCCAGGCAGGTGTCTCACTCCCAGGCCAGAACCCTGGCACAGCCCAACCCTGCCCTCTGCCGGCACTGCCCCTCCACACCACATCCCTGCCCACTGCCAGGTCCTCTGGCCACACCGGTGGGACCACCGGGCAGCTGCTACCTGCATGCCATTCACAGAACCGGGTCTGGGGCGCTCCTCTGAGCCGGACGTCTCTTTATCCTTTACAGTGACCCTGAAGGGCAGGTGGAGGTAGGGCTGGTCCCAGGTCTGGGTTTTACGCTCTGCTGCCACTGTCTTGACATTTTAAATACATTTTGAATCAGGGGACTCTCGTTTTCATTTTGCGTGAGCCCCGTCATTGAGGCCAATTCTGACCCCAGAGTTGGGACTTCCTGCTGTAACCACCCCAGGGCGCAGCTAGGGGGCAGGGGTGCGGGAAGGTGGGAGACGTGGAGTAGTAGCCGGGGTCTCTGGGGTCCTCTCGGCCGGCTCCACCCCCACCCCTGGGAACCCGGGAAGAGCCGGCTTTCGCTTCCTGTCTATTAAACCCTTTAAAGGAAGAGGGTAAATAAAACCGCCCGTCTGCCCAGCTGGAAAGCGATGACTCAGCCGCCCCCGCCGACCCTCGCCCCCAGGCTGATCCCAGAGAGCGGGCGTCGCGGCCCAGCCCGAACCCCTCAGCTCCTGGGACCTCTCTCCGGTCCGGGTCGTGGGGGCGCGGTCGGAGCAGTCCGTACCCCAGTTCGGGACACTACGAGGGCGCAGGGAGGAGAACGGGCTTCCTCTTCCCCTTCCATTTTCTGAGCTCTATGGGTTGCTGGTCTAGCCCTTTCCACGTGTTCCCTAATCCAGCAAAGGTTACTGTTCCCATTTCACAGAAGCGAAAACCGAGGCTAAGAGAGGTGGTCGTTCTTGGCGCAGCCCGTGGGTGGCAAGATAGGAGCTCGGTCCGCTAGGGCAGGGCCACTTTCGGAGAGGGTCTCTGGGCGGCCCTGGGAAAGGCCCCCGAACAGGACGGAACGGCCAGGGCTCGGGAGTAAGGAAGGGGGCCTCGACCCTCCTTCTGCCCCGGGAGCCCGAGAGCGGCAGGGCTGGACTTGGGGCGCCTGGAGGGTGAAGGTCTGGTCCCGGCTGTCTCCCCACGGTGGGCCGGCCCCGGGCCCGCGGGTGCTTCCCGGGGCTCCCCGGCGTGAGTCATCGCGGGCAGGGCTGGCTGCAGCGCATTCTTCCGCGGGGCCGGCCTGCGAGACGGTGCGGGCGAGCGCCCGGGCGGGGCGGGACCTCGAGTCACCCCACGGGGCCGGACAGCTGGGGCACGGGGGGCAAGAGGAGCGCGGGCTTCTGAGATGGGAGGGGACGGCCGGGGACCGACCAGAGCGCGGACGCGACGGTGCGGGCCCGGACGGCTGGGCTTGGGGAGGGTATGGCCCGGGGCGCGCGGGGCTCAGGCGGGCGGGGTGGCCCGAGGGCCGGGGCGGGGCGGGGAGGGGCGGGGCGGGGAGGGGCAGCTATAAAGGCCGCGCCGGGGCCACGAGGAGCAGAGCCGGCGCCGTCACCGCCCGCATTGCCGCTCCCAGTCCCGCGCTCGGCACGACATGAAATCCCCCGACGAGGTGCTACGCGAGGGCGAGTTGGAGAAGCGCAGCGACAGCCTCTTCCAGCTATGGAAGAAGAAGCGCGGGGTGCTCACCTCCGACCGCCTGAGCCTGTTCCCCGCCAGCCCCCGCGCGCGCCCCAAGGAGCTGCGCTTCCACTCCATCCTCAAGGTGGACTGCGTGGAGCGCACGGGCAAGTACGTGTACTTCACCATCGTCACCACCGACCACAAGGAGATCGACTTCCGCTGCGCGGGCGAGAGCTGCTGGAACGCGGCCATCGCGCTGGCGCTCATCGATTTCCAGAACCGCCGCGCCCTGCAGGACTTTCGCAGCCGCCAGGAACGCACCGCACCCGCCGCACCCGCCGAGGACGCCGTGGCTGCCGCGGCCGCCGCACCCTCCGAGCCCTCGGAGCCCTCCAGGCCATCCCCGCAGCCCAAACCCCGCACGCCATGAGCCCGCCGCGGTGAGTGACTGCCCGCGTCCCGGCGAGCCCTGCGCCCTAACAGCCGGGACCGGGGCCTTTGGGAAAAACCACTTCAACCCCAGACGGCGGGGCGGGGGCGCTGCACCTCCTTGGGGGACCCGGCGCCCCGCAATCGCGCTGGCCCCCTCGCGTCAGGGTCTCGGGGCCCCTCAGGCTGGACCCGGACCGGCCCTGGCACAGCTCTCTGACCCAGTCCTTTCCCCACAGGGCCATACGCTGGACGAGTCGGACCGAGGCTAGGACGTGGCCGGCGCTCTCCAGCCCTGCAGCAGAAGAACTTCCCGTGCGCGCGGATCCTCGCTCCGTTGCACGGGCGCCTTAAGTTATTGGACTATCTAATATCTATGTATTTATTTCGCTGGTTCTTTGTAGTCACATATTTTATAGTCTTAATATCTTGTTTTTGCATCACTGTGCCCATTGCAAATAAATCACTTGGCCAGTTTGCTTTTCTACCATCCGGCTGTGGCTCAGTGAGACTCCTGCTGGGAGGGTGGAGGCCCAGGAATGGGCGGGCAGGACACCCTCATCCAGTCCTGCGGGGCTGGTGTGAAAGGCGCTGGGAACCGGCTTTGAATGAATAAATGAATCGTGTCATCTGCTGGGCCTGGTCCACACCCTCTTTTCCAAGCAGCCTCCCCAGAGGCCAGGAAGTGCCCTGGGGCTTGACCCTGGCTACCTTCTGCTCCTTGGTGTGTCCTGAGGAATTGAACCTGGGGAGGACAAGGGCCCTGGGTCCGAGCTGCTGCTGCCTGTGGTGGGGGAACCTTCCCCAGCAGCACTTCCTGCCCACAAACCACCCGCGCAGTCAGACCAGAAGGAATCCCTCAGCCCTCTGGCTGCCCGCCGCCAGCCGCTCCTTGCCAGTGCCCGCAGTGTGGGGCGGGCAGGGTCGCCTTTGCTTCTGGGGGAACAGGAGAGAGTTCTGGGCTGTCTCCGATGGTGGGGCAGGAGGCAGAGGTCCCTGCACCTCCAGGTACTGGCCCAGGACATTGGGGTGGAGAGGCCTGAGTGCAGCAAATCCCTGCCCCTCTTTCTGAGATAGCTGACCACGGCTTTCTGCCCTCCGGTCTGGCTGTGCTCTTTGAAAGACAGGGATGGTCTGAGACAGTTAGGGTTCAGGAAGTGTGTCCCCCACCCAGAAGGGCTCCTGGTGATGAACAAGCTGAGGAGGTGATAAGGGGTACAGGCATGACTCCTCACCCCACAATGGGGCCTTCATTTCTGGAACCTTCGTGGTTGGAGGGATGCCAGTAGGGGAGGCAGAGAAGTACCAGAATTGGACCCTAATCTCTGTTGCTAGGAGGCCGACGAAGCCTGGTAGCTGGTCTGGGCTCAGGGCGGGGAGGGTGCTATCCCTTCGCTGCATGGCCCGCAGGAGTCTTGGTGCTAGGTCCAGAAGAAACTATTGCCTGCAAGGAAGTTTCTCCCGAACGCAATTTGTGAAGCCCCTGTGCAGATCGGGGAGGGGCTCCTGCAAAAAGCAGAAAACAGCAGCCAAGGACGCTGCCTGGCTGGGCTCCTGGGCCTCCTGGCTGGCCCACCAGAGCCTCACCTGGATGGATATCCAAGGTCAAGAGGAGAGCCCTTGCCCCTGGGTGCTTCAAGCATAGGCATGATCCGGCCTGAGCTTTAGGCGAAGAGGGTGGATGGCCCTTGGCTCACTGAGGCCACTTCTTGTTTGAGGAATTTTGGAATTCCTCAAATTCTGAGGACAGTGGAATTCTAAGGTTTGGGGAGTCCATGTTTCAACAGCTTCTTTTAAAAGCAGCCCGAGGAGAGGAGGGGCGGCCTTCATGGTCTCAGGGGCAGCTGCAGACCCTCGCTGAGGCTGTGGAAAGCCTGTCCTCTCCAGATGGGTCAATCGGTCACAGCGGCTGGGCTGGCCTCCTCATGCCCAGTTCTCCTCCCCAGAGCCCAGGACCAGGGGGTGGGGGTGAGGGGTCGGGAAGTGCTGTGGTCAGGAGGCTGGGAAGGCAACGGTACATGGCCTGGCCAGCAAATCAGCTATAGAAGGGACCCCCAGTTCCCAGGCCATGGATGGGTACTGGTCCATAGCCTGTTAGTAGCTGGGCCGCACAGCAGGAGGTGAGCAGCGGGGCAAGCATGACCGCCTGAATTCCACCTCTCGCCAGATCAGCGGCAGCAGTAGATTCTCACAGGGACGAGAACCTTGTTGTGAACTGTGCACAAGAGGGATCAAGGTTGAGCACTCCCCATGAGAATCTAATACCAGATGATCTGGGGTGAAACAGTTTCATCTGGCCCACCCACATCCGTGGAAAAATTGCCTTCCATAAAACTGGTCCCTGGTGCGGAAAATGTTGGGGGCCACTGAGCTGTAGGATGAAGAGGCTGAGATAAGGGGACACCAGAGGAGTTCTGGGGTTCATGTGGCTGGCAGTGTCTGGTGCGGTTCTGGGGTTCGGGTGGCTGGCAGTGTCTGGTGCAGTTCTGGGATTCGGGTGGCTGGCAGTGTCTGGTACGGTTCTGGGGTTCGGGTGGCTGGCAGTGTCTGGTACGGTTCTGGGGTTCGGGTGGCTGGCAGTGTCTGGTACGGTTCTGGGGTTCGGGTGGCTGGCAGTGTCTGGTGCGGTTCTGGGGTTCGGGTGGCTGGCAGTGTCTGGTGCGGTTCTGGGGTTCGGGTGGCTGGCAGTGTCTGGTGCGGTTCTGGGGTTCGGGTGGCTGGCACTGTCTGGTGCGGTTCTGGGGTTCGGGTGGCTGGCAGTGTCTGGTGCGGTTCTGGGGTTCGGGTGGCTGGCACTGTCTGGTGCGGTTCTGGGGTTCGGGTGGCTGGCAGTGTCTGGTGCGGTTCTGGGGTTCGGGTGGCTGGCAGTGTCTGGTGCGGTTCTGGGGTTCGGGTGGCTGGCAGTGTCTGGTGCGGTTCTGGGGTTCGGGTGGCTGGCAGCCTCCTTGGTACAGTTCTGCGACCAGGGTTTGGGTCTGTGTGCTGGACTGTTCAGCAGAATGAGGGCATTTTTCCTTCCATCTAGGAAGGCCTCAGTTCCCTGATCTTTTTTTTTTTTTTGAGATGGAGTCTCGCTCTGTTGCCAGGCTGGAATGCAATGATGGGATCTTGGCTCACTGCAACCTCCGCCTCCCGGGTTCAAGCGATTCTCCTGCCTCAGCCTCCCGAGTAGCTGGGACTATAGGCGTGCACCACCTCACCCAGCTAATTTTTTAAAAAATATTTTTAGAAGAGCCGGGGTTTCACCATGTTGGCCAGGATGGTCTCGATCTCTTGACCTCATGATCCTCCCGCCTCGGCCTCCCAAAGTACTGGGATTACAGGCGTGAGCCACTGCGCCCAGCCAGGTTCCCTGATCTTTTAAAGCAACCTGTTTCTGCTCTTGGGCAGGCACACTGTGGGCGGGAGTTGGGCAGTGAGCTCGCCATTGCTTGGGATGTGAGCAAGAGCTGTTTGTGTGGCAGCAGGGGGACCTCCTCCATGGGCGGACTCAGGGCTGTACTAATAACAGTGAACCAATTTGGGTGGTTCTGTCCTCCCCAGAGCTTTGCCCAGCTGTAGGCGCCCTCCTTGAGGAAGCCCTCCAGCCCGAGGCCCCATCCCTCACTGAAGGACGCAGGCAGACCATGCGTGAGCCTGCAGAAACCAGGCCGGAAGAGGTCGGAGGGATTTAGTAGGAGTTTATTGCCAGTCTGTGTCTGGGCAGCGGTCACCGGACTTTGTCCTTCCTCTGGGGCATAGGTTTCCTCCAGAGGACCAGGAGGACAAGGGTATTGATAGCAACCTGCACGTGGCCGAAGACGGGGACGCCAAAGCTGCGGTACAGGAGGCCGCCGACCGTGGGTCCCAGAGTTCGGAGCAGTGGTTGTACAGAGGCGCAGAGGCCCAGCATGGTCCCTGGGGGGTGCATGGGGGTAGTCAGGCCCTGGGCAGCTCCCTGGGCCAACTGCCCACTTCCTGAACACAGCCATGGCCTCCCATCTCTCCTGACCCACCCTGACCTCACGGCGCAGTCCGCACCTTGCATAGTCTGGTGAAATACTCCCCTGAACACCCATCCTTTCCACCTGCCAGCTTCTAACCTCCAGTCCCCCACCCCCTGCCACCCGCCCAGCCTTTGGAGCAAACACAGCTCTCTCTACCCACTGGTCTGTTCCCCGAGGACCTCTCAGCCATGCAGGGTGCTTCCCAGGGCATTGGGCTGAGTCTCTTCCCTGCTCCAGAAAGTTTCCAAGCACAGGAGGAGCCTGGGAATGGGACCACAGGTCACCGCAGAAGGCCCCGCCCTGCCAGGCCTGCCAAGGGAGATGGCATCTGTGCCTGGGGCCCGGAACCTCCCGCCCAGGCTGTCAGGGAGCTGGCTCTCACGGCTCTTTCCCAGGGTGCCTGCCACCACCGAGGGCTGGTGATGCAGTGGGGAGGCTAAGCCTGGCCTGTGAGACACCGTTGGGGCTTGAGTTCAGAGTGGGCATGACACCCCCATCCCACGGCCCCTCCTGGCCATCAGCCCTTCCTCCAGCCGCCCCACCCTGCGGAGCTCCTACTACTCCATGGAACTCCCCCTCACAGGGCTGGGAGGGGCTTTGGAAGCCCATGCAGGGCCCCTCCACCTGCCCCTCCTGTCCCCAGAGCAAGACCGAGCGGCTTCCGAGGCTCCCCAGACAGCCCCGACCTGCGCAGCAGCCTGCTCTGTCCCTGACACCGCATCTCCACGCCCCTGTGGCCAGCTACCCGCAGCATGGACGGGCACGTGGGCACTATCTGTGGCTGTTGTCAACACTCGGGCAACAAGGGGGGCAGCACTCGCCAAGCGGGAGGACCCCCCAGGACTCCAGGTGGGAGGACACTGCCTCTGGTCCCGTGCCCAGAGGGTCTCTGGCTCCAGGGACTTCAGAGCCCAGGTCTCCTGGAGTTGGAACTCCCAGGGCTGGTCAGCTGTGATGAGGAGCTGGCCAGGCCCCACCTGGGCTCAGGGCCCAGCATGGAGGACCATTAAGAGCAGCCTCTTCTGCAGACTCAGGGTGCAGTTCCTGCCCCTTCTGTCGCTGGGTTTCCAAGCTGCTGCTGGGAACCAGATGCTGGCTCCTACCAGGCCAGGGGTGGTGTCTGCGCATGACGTGGCCCAATGGCCTGGGCCTGGTCTCCCTCAGCCTCCAGGGGCCTCTTCCCAGCCAGGCCGGGTCCTCATCTCCCCAGGCCTTCCTCTCCTGTGCCATCCTCCTGGCCTCTCCAAAGTGCTGCCCAACCTCCTCCAGGAAGCCCTCCTGGCTCAGCCTGCATCAGCCCATGCACCATGGAGTCACAGTCCCCGAAGGCCTTGGAGGTTCCCAGGCAGCCCTGAGAATAGGCCTGCCCTTTGCAGCCCGGCCACATCCGGGCCTCTAGACCTTGGTCTGCTGCCTCCCAGACAGGCAGGTGGATGGAGTGTCAGATGTGTGCCCTGAGTTTCTGGATCTGCTGCCTCCCAGACAGGCAGGTGGATGGAGTGTCAGATGTGTGCCCTGAGTTTCTGGATCTGCTGCCTCCCAGACAGGCAGGTGGATGGAGTGTCAGATGTGTGCCCTGAGTTTCTGGATCTGCTGCCTCCCAGACAGGCAGGTGGATGGAGTGTCAGATGTGTGCCCTGAGCTTTCTGGATCTGCTGCTGGGGAGGCCTGGAAGAATCTCCAGTACTCCAAAGGACTCCTGAGTCCTTTGACCTCAACCAGCCCACAGGAGCCCCCTGCACTGGCCAGTGTGTACCCACACTGTGCCTGGGGTGGGGCAGGAGCCTGGATAACATCGGGCCCAGGACACCCCCAGTCTGCATGAGCGGCTCTCTTCGGCCTCAAGAAAGAAAGCTGGGTCGGAAGTGGGGACTGGGGGAATCTATGTCTAGGGGACCTGTGTCCCCTGCAGTGGCCTAGGGGATTCCTGGATTTAATTACTGGTATGCATTCATTCACTCCCTCATTCATTCAGGAAGCTCCTGAGCACTTGTGTGCCCCACTCCCCGTGCTGGGGGAGGGCCCAGAAGTCCCCGGGGCCTCCAGGCCTGGCAGGCAAAGTCCTCAGGTGCTTCTCAGGGCCAAGCCAACTGCCACCTGCGGGCAGCCCCCTCCCAGGCCCCTGGCCTGCCCCCAGCTGGGCTAGGTGGTAGGGCAGGAGTCTCATGCAAGACCCAGGCTCCCCACCTTACTCATCCCACACAGACCCCAAGCCCCCACCCCACCCACTCCACTCAACCCACACAGACCCCAGGCCCCCCACCCTACCCACCCCACACAGACCCTAGGCTGCCCACCCCATCCCCACCGGGTAGCTCCTAGGGCTTCCTGGAGGAGGCTGCTCCACTCGCTGGCCACACTCACCTGTGTCCGAGGTGGAGACAGCCTTGATCAGCATGCTGTCGGTGACCACGTTGAGGGTGCAGAGGCTGAACACCAGGCCGGGCACCAGGAGGCAGAAGTGGAAGACGCTGGACATCCAGGCCTGGGACGGCAGGCGGGGGCCGAGCTGAGTGGGGGCCTCACGGGACCAGGCTCCTCTCTGGGGTCTTACCTGTCCCTCCCCACCCTGACTGCTGTCCCTGCTGAAGAGCTGGCCCCGGGTGGGTGTGGGGGGCTGGAGGAGTCCCCAAGGGCTTAAGCACAGATGGTACCGCCCAGGTGGCCTTGCCCAGTGAGAGGGTCAGGTGAGTGGGCCCAAAGCGGGGAGCCCTCACCATGGCCAGGCCCACCACGATGAAGACCAGCACGCTGGCCCGGAGCAGCACCTCCTCCGAGAAGTGGCTGCTCAGCTGCCCGATGACCAGGCCCTGGGTCACCTAGAGCCAGACAGAGAGGGTAGAAGTGGGTATGGGGGAGGCGAGGGAGGGGCGTCTGGACTGTGGCCAGCCCCCAAAGCTGGGGACCTCCAGACTGGCCTGTGGTGGCCAGGGCCCCTCTGCAGAGAAGGCCCCTCAGCATCTGCAAGCCCCGGGGTCTCTCCCTACTCCGCCAGCAGTGACTGCGTCAGGATGGGTCTGAGATCCCTGAGGAGTCGGGGCTCCTCTCCACAAGGGAGGAAGGAAAGGCCCACACCAGGGACACCGGGGATGGGCTCGGTGGGACAGGCTCGGCCGCAGGCTGCTCCCGGGGATGGGCTCGGTGGGACAGGCTCGGCCGCAGGCTGCTCCCGGGGATGGGCTCGGTGGGACAGGCTCGGCCGCAGGCTGCTCCCGGGGATGGGCTCGGTGGGACAGGCTCGGCCGCAGGCTGCTCCCGGGGATGGGCTCGGTGGGACAGGCTCGGCCGCAGGCTGCTCCCGGGGATGGGCTCGGTGGGACAGGCTCGGCCGCAGGCTGCTCCCGGGGATGGGCTCGGTGGGACAGGCTTGGCCGCAGGCTGCTCCCAGGCCAGGGCGAGGCTCTCTATCTGGTCATCTCAGCTCCTCCACTAAGCAGGGCGTGCTGGGCCAACGCGCCTGGGAGTGCAGGGGTGGCCCCGGCTGGAGGAGCCCCTGGGCTCAGTATCTGCCCACAGGGCAGGCCCAGCCTGCAGCACCTCTGCAGGGGACCAGTCACCCTCCCAAATTCCTGCCAGGCAGAACAGAAACTGCTTCCAACCGGAACCATAAATGGTTTAAAAATCTTACTTTCACACTTGCTTTATCTTAGGGTTTTTTGGGATTTTAACACCTTTTTTTTTTTTTTTTTTGAGATGGCGTCTCGCTCTGTCGCCCAGCGTGGACTGCAGTGGCGCGATCTCGGCTCACTGCAAGCTCCGCCTCCCGGGTTCACGCCATTCTCCTGCGTCAGCCTCCCGAGTAGCTGGGACTACAGGTGCCTGCCACCAGGCCCGGCTAATTTTTTTTTTTTTTTTTGTATTTTTGGTAGAGACGGGGTTTCACCATGTTCGCCAGGATGGTCTCAATCTCCTGACCTTGGGATCCGCCCGCCTCGGTCTCCCAAAGTGCTGGGATTACAGGCGTGAGCCACCGCGCCCGGCCTAACACGTTTCTTAAAGGAAGAGCTGGCAAGCTCACTTCGTGCAGTGCGTCTAAGAGGGGCTCACAGTGAGTGCCGTGAAGGACTTCAGATCCAGGACTCAGACACCAAGGTCAGAAGCCTATTTGTGTTGCGTCTCAGTTTGCCCATTAAGTTTAAAAAAGCTTGAACTTAGGAGCCCTGCAGGTTGTGACATGAACCTGGAGCTAACAAGCTTGTCCCTGACCGGACTTGGGGTCTGGGGGCTACTCTGCGGGCCCCCTCCTTCCCCTCCTCAGCCTCCTCTCCCGCTGCTCAACCTGTGTCGGGGTCCCCATGCCTCACCCTGCTCCTTCCCCGTCCCTGGGCAGTTCACCAGGCCCAGTTCCTGCGAGGGTGCCCCGACGGTGTTGGTCACCACCCCAGCTCTGTCTGTCTCAGGCAGGGTCCCCACTGCAGCCATGGCAGGCCCAAGTCCCCCACAACACAGGCCAATGACTGCTGTGTCCAGCCCAGCTGCAGGCTTCAGCCAGGGCCTGGCTAAGCGTCCTTCCTCGCAGTGAGCTGGGCGCAGCCTGTTCAGAACAGGCCCCATGGCAACAACCCCGGATTGTTACTATTATTGTTGCTGTTGTTTTTCTGTTTATCTCTTTTTACCCTGCCAGGGTGGCCCCTCCTGCCCCAAAAAGCAGAGGCCCTCTCTGCCCACGGTGGGGGTCCAGCCCCTCCCAGGAGCAGCTATTTTAGCACTAGTCTAGTCCTGGGCCCAGAGGCTGAAGAGCAGATGGCTTGGAGGTGCCAGGAATGCCACAGGCTTCCGGAGAGGCCGAGAGCCCCCACCCCCACCCTGGCGGGTCCCAGAATAGCCCCCCCGCCCCGCACTCTGGCTGTCAGGCAGCCATCCTGGGTGGTGGCAAATCATCACCTGTCCCCACCACCCAGGGTCTGGTCCAGAAGCCCAGAGGAGCTGGTGGTGGAGGTGTCTCGCCCCGGCCCGGGAGCTGAGCGGTTCTGGGGGGCTGGCAGACAGACACCTGCCGCATCGGAGCTGCCAGGGTTTCAGGGCATCCTTCCATGACAGTGTGGCCTCTGAGGGCTGGCGTCTTATCCTACCATGACAGCGTGGCCTCTGAGGGCTGGCGTCTTGCTCCTATGGGACCTCCAAAGGGGCCCACGCTGGTCTAACCACTTTGCCACGTTAGGTCATCTCATCTGCCAAGGACCCTGCAAGGCGGGCACTTTGGCCTCATGGGACAGATTTGGAGAGTTTGGGAGACTTGCTCTGGTCACACAGCTGGTGGGCAGGTGGGCTGCCACAGATCCCAGCCAGCTGCCCATCAGAGGCCGGAGTCCACTGTCCTCACAGCGTGCCCACCACTGCAGTTGGCTCTCCCTCCCTGGCCTGTATGCCTGGTTCCCTGTGGACCCTGACATGTGCCAGATGGGAGGCCAAGGGCTCCCCAGCCTCCGCCGGGGAGGAGCCTCTACTCTCAGAGGCCTGCCCCACTGGAGACCCCTGCCGTGCCCCCCAGCAGGCCCTGTGTGCCCACTCACCATCTGGAGGAGCCCGAAGAAGGACATGAGGTAGCCAGCTTGGGCGGCCTCCAGCTGGAAGAAGTCCATGGAGATGATGGAGAACATGACCATGAAGAGCCCTGAGCCGGGGCAGGGGAACAGGGGTGAGTACCCCCACACCCCGACCTTGGCGCCCACCTCCCTCCCGCCTCAGCAGCCTGGCCAATCAGGGTGTCTGGGCCCTGGCTGGTGACTGGTTCAGGGAGGGGCCTGTGATGCCAGCCGGGCCAATGAGACCCTTCCCTGGGATTCTGCCGTATCCCTGGTGTGGAAAGTGCCTCTCGTGTGGTTGCTAAGCTCTGGACTGTGAGCAGGAAGGTGCTGGAAGGGAGGGACCCAGGGCTGACCACGTGGGAGGATTTGGCCCCCAAGACCCACCACGGCTCTCTGTTATAAGAGCCCTCAAAGTCACGTCTGCAATCCCAGCACTTTGGGAGGCCGAAGAGGGAGGACTGATTGAGGCCAGGAGTTTGAGACCAGCCTGGAAAAGATAGTGAGACCCTGTCTCTACAAACACTTAAATTAGCTGAGCGTGGTGGCCCATGCCTGTAGTCCCAGCTGCTCGGGAGGCTGAGACAGGAGGATTGCTTGAGCCTGGGAGGTGGGGCCTACAGTGAGCTGAGATCATACCACTGCACTCCAGCCTGGTCAGTGGTCTCAAAAAAAAAAGGGCCCTCAAAGGGCCTGTTACTGAGGTTAGTAACTTGGGTTCCAGTTTTGAGAACCAACAGAGCTGGCCTAGGTGGGCTGGGTGGGACAGGGGCCGGTGCCAGTTGGAGTGCTGAGGGCCTATTCTCCATCCTGCTTCCTGGCTTCTCAGTTAGAGGAGTCCAGGCGGGGCTTCTGAGGGACAGGGCTGCTCGTGGGCTTGTCCGTGGCTCGCTATCCTATCTGTGGTCCGTGACGCCCTACGGTCTGCTGAGAGGGCCCAGGGCCAGCATGCTGCAGAAGGCAGTGGTGACACTCAGACCTGCTGTCCCTGCATCTCAGGCTGTCTGGAGAGGACGTGGGGCCACAGGGTATGAGGGTAAGAGCTGAGGAGCACACAGGGATGCATGGCTGCGAGCCAGGCCCTCTGCCCGTGGGGGCCCACCCTGGGATCTGCAGGTGTGCAGTGTAGAGGGGCTGGAAGGAGGTGGGAAAGACACTTTTCTGCCTTCCTCCCGCTCCTGCCTGCTCTACCACATCTGTGTGGACCTGTGGGGCACAGGCCAGAGGAAGGGCCGGGCCCTGGCCGCAGCTGGGACTCTGCCAGGCTCTGGCCGCTGTTGGGGCAGTAGTTGGGACTCACCTGTGGGGCAGTTGGAGGCCACCTTCACCAGGAAGATCCTCGGGACGTCTGGCAGCCGCAGCAGGGAGGCGATGGCCTTCAGGTCGAACACACTGGCCCGGGGGCCGCCTGGCACGGAGAGGCCATTCAGGCCTGCAAAGGCCATTGTCCCAATGCCCACCCCTCGCCCGGCTGCAGGCCTCGCCATTCGGAGGGCCCTGTTGCGCCCGCCAGGGTAAAGCTTCCTTCCTTGGCTTCAGCACCGCTCACTTGTGGGAATGGGAGCTGGTGATGCTCCCAGCTGCCAGGTTGGGCACCGCCCCTCAGCACACTTCTACGCATTCCTAGGGGCCCCCTGAATCCCCAGAGGCACTTAGGAAAAGCATTCTCTGCACGCAGGTAGACTGGCCTCAACCTGGGCATGCAGTGGCGGAGGCCTGCGGCAGTCCCTGAACAAGGGACCAATAGCTGCTTCCTATATGGTCCTGGCCTGGGGCCTGGGGCAGAGCATGACCAGGCCACCAGCCCAGAGGAAGACAATGGCAATACTGTACCACTCTCTGTGGCCACAAGTCACCGCCGTGGCCTGGCCCACCGGGCACCTCTGAGTGCGAAGCCACAGGCCCCCAGCCCGGCTCACCGAGTCCTTCCTCCTTATTGTCTCAGGGGCTCCTGCCTCTCTGGCTCTGCTGTGCTCGCCACAGGCCCATCTCCACCCGGCCCTCCCCCTGGACTTTCTAGGTTAATTCCATGACAGCCTCCTGCCCCAGGATGGTCCCAGGTGGGTCCCTCTGGCCCAGGCTGGGCTCTTAGTCCCTAGGCACCGAGGCATGGGCCCTGCCACGTGCCTGGCACAAAGGGGCTGCGTTCAGCAGGGGGCCAGCCTTGAGGGGACCCCCTCTGAGGAGCCTTGGCCTCTCCTCATGGGACCAGCCTGACCATCCTCTGCCCTCCACCAATGAGTGCCCCTCGGGCAGCACCCTCGCCTCTCCCTGGACACTCAGAGCTTCCGGAGCCTTGCTGGCCCACCCACCCCATTGGGGGGGTCCCTCCTGGTCCTCCCCAGGCCTCTCTGGGCCTCCCCTCCTAGCACCTTCCCTGTCTGGGCCTCCCCTCCTAACGCCTTCCCTGTCTGGGCCTTCCTGCCTCTCTGGGCCTCCCTGCCTGCCGGAGCCCCACTTCCACCTCTTCATGACCACACCTCACTTGGCTTCTATGATGTCAGCAGCTGGGAAGGGTTCAAGGAAGGCAGGAGGGTGTGAGTAGCCCCCAGATTTCCCCTCAGGCCCCCCGTACCCCTTGGCTGGAGCACGCAGGCCTAGCCAATGCCTTCCATTGCCCCAGCATCTGGGCAGGGTGTACCTGGCGGGGCTTACCTGGCAGTGGAGCCTGGGCGTCAGTTTTGGCCCCTTTGGTGCTGGCGGGGATGCAGGTGAAGCTGAGGACAGCTCCCAGGAGGGTGGCCAGGGCAGCCAGGATGGCCGGGCACTGAATCCTGCGGGCAACAGCCTCGGCTGCACAGGGTGCGGGTCCCAGGGCCCAGGCGCCCCAGCCACATCCCCCAACCTGCACCTTTGGTTGCACTAAAATAGCTTAAATCTGACCTCCCACATCCCCACAGTCTGTGGCCTAAAGAGTGGGGACTGGGACCCTCAGAGCACATTTATTAGGTGATGGATGAAGGAATGGGTGGGGCGCTCACCATCCCTGACCCTCGCCACGCCATGCAGGCCCCGGCAGCCCCTGTGGGTAGCAGCTGTGGAAGCCAGGCTGGTGAGCGCCTGGGGCAGGTGGCGGATCCTCCCAGGAACAGCAGCTCCCACGCTGGCCAAGGTCAGGAGAGGCTCCAAAGGGCAAGCCTGGTGTGCATGTCCCTGGGAGGGGCTCTCCGAGACCTGGGCACCTGTGCTGTGTCATGGGGATGGCTATGCTGCCTCCCCAGCGTGGGCAAGGGTGGGCCTGGCATTCAGCAGGCCCTCAGAAACCGACCCCCCTCCTGTTGGCCCCTCCCCACTTTCTAGAGTGTGGGGCATGCTGGGCTTGGAGGGGGCTTTGGGCTGGGATCCCAGAGCCTTGCAAAGCCCCGGAGGTGCCCCTCAGGCTGCTTTGCCACCTTCCCACCTTCCTGGGCCACTACCAAGGCCTGGGACTCTGGCTGTACCGTCAGCTTCCCTGCCATGAGTCCCCACCTGGAAACTTGGCCTGTGATTCCCCTGGAAGGAATCGGCAGGTCTTGTCTCCTGGGGACGGAGGCACCTGAAGCTGGCTGTTCCAACTGTCACCATTGCCTCCTGGGGGCTCAGCCAGCCCCCTCCCCTCAGGGAGAGACAGGAGGAAGTTGGGGCTTCCTACTGAGCTCGTCTGTAAGGCCTCCAGGCCTGTGCCGGACCGCCACGGCCTTCCTCTCAGCAGCTGAGCAAACTCCTATACAGCCTGCAAGGGCCCTTCTTGGTGAGGCCCCAGCCCTCCTTCCCAGACAGCATGCCATCTGAGAAGGACTCGCTTTACCAGCTGGCTAGAATCTGGCCCCTGAGGGCAGGTGGTCCAGGGTTGGACCCTGCGCGGAGACCGCAGTGATCATTAGATGATCGGACAAATGTGTGAGCCATTCACACACGCAGCACAAGTTCTGCCCCAACCTCAACAGATCCTCCAAATCTGCCCTGGCCAGGGCCTCAGGGCACAGGCACCCAGTAGGGGTCAGGGTCCTGGAAGATGCCCTTGCACCCAAAAACAAGGCCAGCCACAGGCCACCATGTCCCCACCAAGGAGTTCAAAGAAAGGACTTTCCTCGCCCCTCTTCACCGCAGCCACATGCGCACACACACACACACACGGGCAAACTTGTACACACACTTACCTGCATCCGTTTGCCAGAGCAAGGAGGGGACTTGGAGCCACACTGACTAGGACAGTCAGTGGGGCCACCTCTGAGTCCAGAGAGTCTGGGCATTGGCCACCCCTCATTTCTGAGGTGGGACCCCTAAGCTCACATCAGTCTAGGGGGGTGCTGGCATATCCACCCCACCTGTGCTGCTGCCCCCGCCAATCCATCAGGGCAGCTCCGACTCCTGCAGCACCCACCGCCCAGGACGTCAGCTACTCAGGTTTTCTGGCTGCTGGGGTTCCGCACGAATGGGCCCTTCCTTTGGGAAAATGCCAGGGAAGGGGAACGGCTGGGCTCGGGCGCCACAGCTTGTCCCTCCAGCCAGCAGGCACAGATGTATGGCGCAGGAGGGACAACTGGCCCCTGTGGCCAGCCCCAGAGAGACGGGCCCTTTCTTTGGGACCCTGGCCTCAGAGGCCTGCGTGTCACAGCTCAGGGTCTGGCTGGGCAGGGGCAAAACCTGCCTTATTTGCCAGATGTCCCAGAAGTACACAGGAGCAGACGCACCACTTCGATGGCTATTTTAGGAGGCTGGTGACAAGCAAGGCATGGTGGCAGGAAGCCAGGCCCTCGAGCGGTGGTGGGTAAACCAAAGGCCTGTGCTGCTGTGGGCAACAGGAAAGCCTGGGGCTGGGGGACCCTGGAGGGCCCCAGGAGGTAGGGAGTCAGGTCCCACCACTGTGCCAGGGGCCGTGGGTGGCTGCTGGGGGAGACGCAGGCTGTCCTTCCCCAGTCACAGCTCTCCTGCTCCCCAAAAATGAACTGCCAGGAGGGAAACGGGAGTGGGAAGGAAATCCAGCACGCTGGCCCCAGCCCTGGGGCCTCTGCACGCCGGACAGCCTGGGCATCCCCCGGGACCATTGACTGGAAGCACCCTTAGCACGGTGCCGTCAGCCCCTCCTGCTCAGCCCCCCTCAACCTCACCACGACCTGCCAGACGCAGGGGCACGCTGGCTTCCCGGGGCTCATCCAACACTTTTATCAGTGGAGCCACGACCAGGAAGGTGGGGACAGGTTAATTTGTCTTTGTCTCCTCCTGCTCTTTCAGTTGAATGGATTACAGGAGTGTCTGTCTGGATGCTGTTGAAAGGACACTGGACAGGACTCAGGGGACCCACAGCCTCTGTCCCTTCTCTGCCGCTTACCTGCTAGGTGACCTCATTTCCTTATATGCAAATGAGGGCTGGGTTCACAGCTGCCGGCTGCCCCTAACTCCACTGTTCTGGGGCCCCTCTGGACCTGCAGGGCGCAGCCCACCTGCATCCTGCCCACCAACCGCAGCCCACACCTGAGGCTGCCCAGATAGCAGGGCGTGGAGTTGGCTTTCAATCGCGTCTCCAGGAACCTCTGCTGAAGTCTGGGCTTCTGTGTGTTCTACGGTGACAAGCCCTCATCAAGCCTCACCTTACTCTGAGGCTCTGAAAGGGGACGCACAAGGTGACAGCATGTGCCCAGGTCATCCTGCTGCCAGGAGCGAACCCACAGGTGGGGCTGAGGCTAGGTCAGCTGGGACCTGGCTTTGTGGGACACCTAGCTCACAAGACGATGGGGCAGGGGGCTGTCCAGAGCGTCCCTGGATGTCCAGCCCAGGGCTGAGAGAAGTCATCCGTGCTCCAGGATGCTGCAGTTAGAACCATGTTTGAAAATGAACATCTTGCCATGCCACTCCTAACGCAGCTGCCGTCTGGCTTCCAGCGTGCCCCAGAAGGTCCTAAAGGCCCCTCTGGCCTGACCCTTCCCAGTCCTCGTGTCTCCTCGTACCTGGTCCCCCCATTCCCCAAACACATAGCCCTCCAACCAAACCACAAGCTCCCTCCTGCCCCAAATGGGCTCTGAGACTGGAGTGACTCACGGGCCCAGCAGGAGGCCTGTCCAGCCTGCTGCTCAACAGGGCTGTCCTGAGGGACAGCGGGGCCAGAACCATCTCAGCGGGGCCTGCTGCCTGCCCACTGTGGGAAGAACAGAAAGAACCGGAGTGTCCTGGGCACTGCGAGGTACACGAACTAAGGCAGTAGCTGAGTCACCTGGCTGGGGGGGCGGCGGGCCTGGGTCGCCCATATCCTGCTGCTCCCTCAGCTGCCTGCCAGCCCCTGCCCTGCATCTATCTGCCCCCGAGAGCCTCTTCCCTGTACAGCAGGTGCCCTGTTACAAACACCCCTGCACTCCTCAGCCTCCGCTCAGCGCTTGGGGTGCCCTGGGTCGTATGGGACACTGCTCACCTCCCCTCCCATCCCCTCCTCCCTCTCTGAGCTCCAGTGCCCCTGGCTCCTTGTTTTTTCTTGGCTGGGCAGGGGTGTCCTGCCCACAGGGCCCTGGCACCCCCATGGCACCGGCATGGCCCTGGTGGCTGCCTGTCCACCTGGGGAAGGCAAACCCTGCAGGGCTCCCTGCTGTCTGGCTCAGGATAGGACTCTATGGCCCCTCCCCATCCCTCCCCAGTCTGTGAGGGGCTGGGCTCAGAACATGAGTCACAGAGCCACCCCCCACCCAGCGTGTGTGCAGTGACTCAGGTCCCGGGTCCCTCCTCAGGCCAGCCTGGCCTCTCAGCCCTGGGCTCTGGAGGCTGGGCCCAAACCAGTTATACCAGTGCCCGCCCCCGCAGCCTGTGGGTGCCAAGTCCACTTCCTCCTCCCACCTGCTGCCCAGGTGGGTGCGGATGAGGCAGGACTGGGGCCTTCCAGAGGAATGGGATACACAGGTGGGTGGGCAGGGAGGGAAAGCCCACACATGTTGTGCCTCGGTTTCCATCAAGGAAGGGCAGGAAGGCTGCAAGGCGGGGGATGTTCACAGCTGCACCAGACTCCTGCCCCGCACCAGGCCAGGAGCCAGAACAGGCTGCAGGCGTTGGGGCAGCTGGACCAAGAGGGCCAGGGGGCTGGCCCTTGCCATGGGGCACCAGGCTTTGGAGCCTGGCTGGCACCTGGCCCCACTGCCTTCGGTGAGCCCCCGAGGGGGAGGTGTGGGCCTCCCTCACCCTGTCTGGGTTGGACAAAGGCAGATTACCAGCCACAAGGTCAACCCCGCAGCCCTCCTGTGCCACCACCACTCTGGGCAGCCAGCTTTTGCCACAGTGCCCAAGCAGCACCCCGTGTCTTGGGTGTGGTATGAGGAACCTGAGGGAGTCCCACACTGCCTGGGCCTTGGACGGGGACTGGGGAGCTCCATGGAGGGAGCCTCATCATCTCCTGGGCCTCGGTTACCCCTCCCATCAAAGGAAATGTCACAGCTGGTCTGATTATGAAACGTCAAGATTGTAAAGCGCCTCAGATCTTGGGATGAATGGAGGCAGGGAAGCGAATGGAATGTTCTGGCAGGTGTGGGCAGAGGTAGAGGCCGTCTTGGCAGCTACTGGGAGGGAGAGGGACATGAGTGGTGTCTTCTGGGTCAGCAGCTGTGATGGGGGAAAGGGCAGGTGAGGACAGGAGGGGACCTGTGGCCTCGTAGACGGGCCTGCAGGAGGCATGTGTGCTGAGCTGCTCCAGCACCATGGCCACGGCTTACTGCCTGAGCGAGCTCGGACCCTCCCAGCATCGTTGTGGGTGAGTAAGGGCAGGGGAGGGCCCATTTCATAGGTGAGGAAGGCTGGCCAGGGAAGGAGGCGGCAGCAGGCGGCTGGGCCCTGAGCCGGCAGAGTACCTGGGGGTGGGCAGCACCCTGGGATGGCAGCCGCCCAGCTCAGCCACCTGCTGGGGCCCAGTGCTCCTCCCCGTGCCCTCCTCACGCCCTTCCTCACCCTGGCCACCCTGGAGAGACAGGCCCTGGGTGGTGCCGGCTCCCCACACCTCACACCTGCCAGCCCCCTGGCCCCAGGGTGAGCCGTCCCTGCTGTCCCACCAGAGCTGCCCACACAAGTGCCCTAAGCCCCATCCTCCAGGGACACCCTCCCAGCAGTGTGCTTGGCTCCCACATCAGCCCTTCCCTCTCCCTGGGGCGCCTCCCCATGGCTCCTCCCACCCTGAGCATAGCCTCCTGGACCCACCTCTGCCCCCATTTATAGCACGACTTCCCGACCCCCTCTCTTTTCTCCCCATTTCCCTTGATCCGTCTATTGCATGAGGCTTCTGCGGCTGGCACTGACTTGAGGGGGTGGTGCTGGTCCAGCACTGGGGTGGCCTCCCTGCTGCAGATGGTGGGCCACTGTGGCTTCCTTGGCCACCAGCGGTAGAGGCACGGGTCCCTGACCCCCACAAATCCAGTGGCCCTTGGCTCCCAGGACGTGCTCCCTCCTCACCTCCCAGCCCCGAAACATGAAGTGCTGGGGGGCGCAGGGCTCCGAGCCATCCACACTTGAAGATGCACCCCATTTCTCCCCCTTATCTGGGTGCCTACTCAGTAGCTCCCTGGAGTGCCTGACAGGCACCCAGGCTGGGCCTGAACAAGACCCAAATCCCAGTGGCACCCCAGGCTGCTTGGGCCTCTGCGCAAGGCGCCAGGCTCCCCAGGGTCAGGCACGGCCTTGGCACTGCCATCTTGAGTTCCCACCCACATCCCACCCACTGGCAAAACCCAGCCAGAATCTACCCTCTGCTTTCTCTCATCACGGTCCCCTCTGGTCCAGCCACTGTCCTCCCCCACCTCGGCCGGCACAATGGCTGTCCTACCGGTCTCCCTGCAGGGGAGCTCACCCCCCATTCTCACCCCTGCTGTGCCACCCAGGGCACCCCGGCCTGGTGCCTGCCCCTTCTTCCTCCCTCCAGCCACACGGCCCCCTGGCTTCCACACCCAGGGCCTCTGCACCGTGGTTTCTTTGCCTCCCTCTCCTGCTTCAGGCCTCGACTCAGATGCCGCCTCCTCAGACAGGCCCTAGTGATCCCATCCATCGAGCCCCCAGTTCTACTTTGTGACTTTTTGCTCCATGTAGCTCAGCCTGATGTTACGGGAATTCCTATCACATTCCCTTCATCCCAGGGACTCAGCCTGTGTTGTCTGCCGCTGTATTCTAGAACCAGAGTCCTGGGGGCAATGTTGAGGTGTTCAAACTACCCACCCCACCCCACTCCACCTCCTGCTCACAGCCATCAGCAGCCATCAGTCCCCAGCCCAGGCTCCAGTGAAAATGCTGGGAGAACGTTCGGGGACTCAAACAAGGCCGGCAGCACAGCCCTAGAGACCTCCGGAGAGGGAGGTGTGCTCTGGGCACCGTCCAACAGCTCAGCCCCGCTGCCACAGCATCCCAGTCCCAGGGTGCTCCTGTCCCCAGCAGGAGGCTGCTGGGAGGCCTCCCTCCTCTCAGGGCCTCAGTTTCCCCAGCGTCCCAGTGGGGCTGTGCGTGGACAGCTTGGCAGTCCAGTCGCGCCCCGGACAGCACTGGGACATCACCTGGCCCTATCCAGGGCCAGCCAGCCCGGGAGGTCAGGCCTAGGCCTCGCGCGGGGCCAGACGTCCCCAGTAGCCACATCACGTGGCCACTCGCGCCCCACGAGCAAAAGAGGAAACCGAGGCCAAGAGGAGGCGGGGCGGGGCCGACCCAGCCGCGGGCGTCCTGACCCACAGACTCCGCCCCGGCCCCCACCACTCACCCGTACGCGGAGACCAGGGTCCCGCCCAGCAGGGAGCCGAGGATGACTCCGACGCCGAAGCAGAGGCCCAGCCGGCCCAGGGCCGCGGGCCGCTCCTCGGGTGCCGACAGGTCCGTGATGACCATCTGGGCGGCTGGGGACGGGGCGGGGGAGCTGAGCGGCGAAAGCCCCTCGGTGGGGCCCTTCCCCCCCTGACCCGCCCCTCCACAAGCCACGCCCCACGTCGCCCCCCACCCCCGTCCAGCCCTTAGGGCCAGACCCCGCGCGCACGCAGACCTCCCTGGAGGTGTCCCGGGTCCTCCGCAGGCTGCCCCCGACCCGGCCCCACCTGGACTCCAGTCCCCCCGGCCCTACCTGGCAGCGTGTGCATGAGCGCTCCGGGCAGGCGCGAGGCGAAGAGCAGGTAGACCCCGGGCAGGGCCGGGCTGGAGGCGGCCGCCAGGAGCAGGTAGAGCGCCAAGGCAGCCAGGAAGGAGAGCGTGAGCGCCGCCCGCGCCCCGCGCTGGTCTGCGAACCTGGGGGCCGAGGGGCGGGTCGGACCCTCACGGAGGCGGTCAGTGTCCCCTTCCCCCCGTCCAGGGGCTGCCCAGGCGGGGCTGACCAGGGAGGCTGGAGTGCGGGATGGGGATGGAGGGCGGGGGCGCCTGGGCGGCTGCTGGGAGGCCTCCCTCCTCTCAGGGCCTCAGTTTCCCCAGCGTCCCAGTGGGGCTGTGCGCAGACAGCTTCACTGAGCTGGGAGTCTGACCCAGGGCAAAGACCAACTCCGTGTAAAAATAAATGGTGGAATCCCAGGGGACCAAAGGGTGGGCCCGCGTTTTACAGAAGGCGTTTGTCAGGTTGGGTCTGAGAAAGCAGCGCCTTTCTCCCTTCTGTTCTGGGCCACTGGAAACCCTCCCAGAGATCGCTGCTGGTCTGCTGCCTGCGGAACCCTTCATTTCTGCCTACGGGTTGCTCTGAAGAGGCAACTCCCAATACGTGTCCCTTGCTCCCCTGTCTGCTGTGGCTTGTGGGAGGATGTCCCTGTCCTCTCTCAAGCTCAGTGTTCCCACAGCACTGAGACCCGGGGTGTATGGAGCCCCCAAAGTCCCTCCTGCCTGGTCTCGGCAGGCCTACGGGCTGGTGCTTACAGCCACGAGGTGTTCACCAGTCACACTCTCTCTCTGGCCACAGGCAGGAGTAGTGGAAGGCGTGGGTGGGACACCCGGGAGCCTACCAGGGGCCAAAGTTCTTCTGCACCCCCATCGGCCTGTGACACAGGAGTGCCGTCATCCCAGGGGGGTCCGGTGTGGGGTCAGGGAACCTGGCCCGTCTGAGCCCATGGCGTCTGAGAGGGGGCCTGGGTCACTGTGGGGAGAGCCCCTGTACACACACACACTGTACCTGCCAAATACCGGCCCGCCCAGCAGCTGCAGCACCCCGAAGGTGGTTTGCAGGTAGCCGAAGGCAATGGAATCCAGGCCCAGTTTCCGAGACAGGTACTGAAACACAGGAGGGAGCCCGGGGGAGGGGCTGGGAAAGACTGCAGGGCCTAGAATCTGGGGTCCCTGGATGGGCAGGGGGTGGGAGGGGACCGAGGGCCTGGGTTCTGTTGACTGCACAGTATGACCATCGAGGGGCCCTTCCCAGGGGGACCCTGCTCCTCTTCTCCTAGGCGGAAGCCTGTTGTGGTCTCTAAGGTCCTTGCAACTCCTCTCCTAGGCGGGAGCCCAGGGTGGCCTCTAGGGTCCTTCCCCTCTGGGGGCACGCCCCAGAGAGGCACCTGACCCCCACCATTTTGTCTTCATTCATTCAAAACTTTGTGGGGGACGCCAGCAGCAGTGTCCTGGCCAGCAACAGATTGTCCCAAGGCCCCCAAGTGACCTCCAAGAGGTGGCCCATTGCCCAGCAGGACACAGTCTGCTCTGTGAGGCCCCAGCCCTTCAGCCCCTCCGGAGGAGTAGGTCCATGACAGCATCCCTCCCAGGGACACCCTTATATCCTGCCCTAATTCTCTGTGATTTGGTCCCCCTGCAGCCGCTCCTCCCCCTGCCCCTGCCTCTGAGTTCCCGACTCTCCTTCCAGTGATGTAACTTATTATGGGCTTCATTGTGTACCCCCCAAATTCATATGTCTTAACCTCCAGAACCTCAGAATGTGACATTCTTAGGAAATGGGGTTAATCAGGTTACAGTGAGGACATGAGGGAGGGCCCTGATCTAATGTGACCCGTGTCCTCATTAGGAGGAGAATTTGGGACACAGACACACTCGGATGGATGACGTTGTAAAAATCCATGGGAAGACAGAGTGATGTGGCCACAAGCCAAGGGATGTCTGGGCTCCCAGGGGCTGGAAGAGGTGGGAAGGATCCTCCCCCGTGGGTTTCAGAGGGAGCCTTGATCTCAGACTTCTGGCCTCCCAAACTGTGAGACAATAGGCTTCTGTTGCTCTAAGCCCCCAGGGTTTTGGATACTTTGTTATGGCAGCCCCAGATGCTAATACACCGCCCCCGCCCCCTCCCCTGGACCTTTCCCTAAGCTCAGTCTTGGGGTCCCACTCCCCTTCTTTCCACTGTCCCCCTTGGTCCACACGAATTCTCCCCAGAGCACTTCAGTCCCAAGGGCAGTCGGTAACCCCCCCATCCCCAACCCCAGACTCCTTCTTCCTTCAGCTCCATCCCTGCTCCCTCGAGGATGGGAAAGCCCTCTGTCTGCCAGATCTCTCCTTTGTTTGTGAGCTTGACCTGACAATCACCCCACATTCCCCTAGTAAACCTCTGCCTCCTCCATCCCTCCCCTCCCCAGCGCCGCTAGTGTGAGGATGCTGAGCTTCTCTTTTTTTTTTTCTTTTCTCTCTTTTTGTTTTTTTATTATACTTTAAGTTCTAGGGTACATGTACACAACGTGCAGGTTTGTTACATATGTATACATGTGCCATGTTGGTTTGCTGCACCCATTAACTCGTCGTTTACATTAGGTATTTCTCTTAATGCTATCCCTCTCCCCTCCCCCCACCCCACGACAGGCCCCAGTGTGTGATATTCCCCGCCCTGTGTCCAGGTGTTCTCATTGTTCAATTCCCACCTATGAGTGAGAACATGTGGTGTCTGGTTTTCTGTCCTTGCGATAGTTTGCTCAGAATGATGGTTTCCAGCTTCATCCATGTACAAAGGACATGAACTCATCCTTTTTTATGGCTGCATAGTATTCCATGGTTTATATGTGCCACATTTTCTTAATCCAGTCTATCACTGATGGACATTTGGGTTGGTTCCAAGTCTTTGCTATTGTAGGTAGTGCCGCGATAAACATACGTGTGCATGTGTCTTTATAGTAGCATGATTTATAATCCTTTGGGTATATACCCAGTAATGGGATCGCTGGGTCAAATGGTATTTCTAGTTCTAGATCCTTGAAGAATCGCCACATGTCTTCCACAATGGTTGAACTAGTTTACAGTCCCACCAACAGTGTAAAAGTGTTCCTATTTCTCCACGTCCTCTCCAGCATCTGTTGTTTCCTGACTTTTTCATGATCGCCATTCTAACTGGTGTGAGATGGTATCTCATTGTGGTTTTGACTTGCATTTCTCTGATGACCAGTGATGATGAGCATTTTCTCATGTGTCTGTTGGCTGCATAAAGGTCTTCTTTTGAGAAGTGTCTGTTCATAGAGGATGCTGAGTTTCTCATCCCCAAGCCTGCCCACCTGTCCTCGCCTACCCAAGTCATCCTCCCTGCCTGCGTCACATCCCAACCTTTTGCCTCCTCAAGGGCAGGGCTCCCAATGTTCCTCTCTCCGTTTCTCTGCACAGTCCCCTTCTGTGGGGGCACCCACTGGACCAAGCTCCCAGTGCTCCTCTCTCCCCGTTTCTCTGCACAATCCCCTTTTGAGGGGGTGGCAATGGAGCATGCTCACATCCTGTTACTTCTCTTGCGTTCTCTTGACCCTCCCCTACAGCTACTCCCACATATTTGAGGGCGGAGCTCTGAGCAGCTGCCTCACCTTGCAGCCTCCTCTCTTTCCATCTCTTTCCTTCTCTCCCAGCCCTCGGAGCAGGCCCCAGGGGACTATACTATAAAGACACATGCACACGTATTTTTATCGCGGCACTGTTTACAATAGCAAAGACTTGGAACCAACCCAAATGTCCATCAATGACAGACTGGATTAAGAAAATGTGGCACATATAAACCATGGAATACTATGCAGCCATAAAAAAGGATGAGTTCATGTGCTTTGTACATGGATGAAGCTGGAAACCTTCATTCTGAGCAAACTATTGCAAGGACAAAAAACCTCCTGCTGTCTCCCCTCTCCCTGAGGTCCCCATTGACCCCACACTGCTGCCTCCAGTGGTCCGCTTTGGCAGGCCTCCCACTGGAGTGACAGTTGCCTTCGTGGCTTCTTCCCTCCTCCACGATGGTCTGCTGCTCTGGGCTGTGCTGGGTCCTTTGCCCCTCCTCCATCACCACTGCCAGTTCCCCCAGCTCATCCGACCTCCAGCCTCCCTGCCCTCTGGGGGAGCCCAGCCCATGACCGTCTCCATGCTGCAGGGCCCCAGAGCCTCTGTGCTGAACTGCCTTGTGTCCAGCTCCCTTCGGCTCTCCACTGGGGTCGAAAATCGTCTCAAACTCAACCCGTCCCCAACTGGGCTCCCATCTTTCCCTCTCCTCCTGTCCATGCCTCCTTCCTTATGGGCTCAGGCCCAGATCTTCAGTGCTCCCTGAGCCCTGCTTTCTCTCACACCCACTACAGTCCATTGACAACACATGCAAAATCCAGCCACCTCTCACCTCCTCCACAGCCATCACCAGCCCGGAGTTCTTTGAGCAGCAGGTGGGGTGTGGTCCCATTCTGGCCTCAACCGGTCCACTCTAGCCACTCTGCTCTCTCCACTGCCCCGGGGCCTCTCCTGCTTCCTTCCAGCCCTGCTCCAAGGTTGCCTTCTCTATGAGGAAGACCTCGCCCCCTTCCCACTGCAGCCCCTGTGCGTGTGGACCCCCAGCTCCGAGGGAGTGGGCTGTTGAGGATTTTTACACTCTGCAATATTTCAGGTTCTGACATCAGGGTCAGCTCCTGGGCACTCAGCACGGAGTTACTCCCCATGAGAGTCGATGGGTGGCTGAAGCCACTCCACCTGTGCTCTGTGCCCAGCTGTGGGAAGGGTTCTGACTTCTCATTCACTCTTCCCCGCACCAATCCTACAGGGAGGGACTGTTATTACCCATTTTATGATGAGAAAAGCAAGGCTCCTGCCCAGCCTTCCCCACGGGTAGGGAGGAGATTCAGGGCTTGGCCCCAGCCATTTAGCAGGAGTGGGCGGGGCGCCTGAGGCACGGCGGGGAGGGATCCTTAGGCTCACCCTCGGGCTGGGAGCCTCTGCCAGGCCCGGAATGGTGCCAAAGGCCCATCCCCACTCCCGCCTAGATGCCCAGGTCCAGGCTCTGAGGGCTGAGAGGAGGAGGGCAGCTGTCTGAGCCCACGCACGCCGGGCTTCCCAGAAGCAAACACAGGAAGGGCCGAGGTTGGCCCTGACTCTGCCTGAGCTTCTTGGTGATGTGAGACTTTGTTCCCAAGCCTCTCCAGACTTGGTGAATATAATTTAATCATTACTATTACAGCTTCCAGAGCCACACACTGTGGTATAGACTACTGAATGATACACTAAACTAACATGAATTTGCCAATGAAATGTTTCCGCATTTGGCAACAGAGATAATAAAATAAGACAGCATTCTATCTCTTGCAAGAAAAAGCTTGAGATCAATTTGCCGCCACAGATCATTTAGTGGACAACAAGGACCCAAGAAGATGGAGGGGAGAGATAGAAGCTGCGGGCAGGTGCAAGGAGAGCCTCTCTGAGGGGTGATCCGCCCAGAGCCACACCGGATTGAACAGCCCTTGGGGCAGGGACTCCAGAGGGCAAAGGCTGCCGGGTGAGAGGCAGGAGGAACAGCGCTAGGAAGGTTTGAGGAGGTGCTGCCCCCAGGAGGGAAGTGGGGTGGCTCCCCATGGCTTCTCCCGGGGCTGGCACTGAAGCTGGAGCACAGGATGTGCTGACGGGGGTCCAGAGGCAGAGTCCTTAACTTACTCAGCTTAAGCGTGGCATGAGTCCCAACTGGGAGGGGCCCTGGCAGCATGAAACCCCCACCCCCACTCTCTGCGACGGCCCAGATGGAGGGCAGGAGGAACAGCGGTTCAGCCCTGGCTGGGGCTGCAGGGGCTGGGGTGTGTTACTCACTGGCACGATGGAGAACTGCATGAAGAGGCAGGTAAGTTCTGTGGCGGCCAGCACGTAGGTAAGCAAGATGACCGAGGACCGGCCTAGAGCGCTCATCCTGCCGGGGGACCGGCCCTGGTCCCTGGGAGCCCGAGCTCCCTGCATCCTGGACAGGCGCAGCAGGGAGACCCAGGAGAGATCCAAGCAGGAGGCTGGCGGAGCAGGGGGCAAAAGTCCAGTTGATCCGGGCAGGGGTGCTGAGTCACTGGGTCCCAGGCAGCACCCGCCTGGCCTTGCCTGCAAGAGAGGACAGCACTGCAGGACCCCCTCCCCAGTGGAGCTCTCCTGCTACCTGGACCTTAGAGGACACATCAGGGGGTCCCCCTCCTCCACTTTTGACAGCTCTGGTCTCCAGGCACACAGCCTCCCGGGGAGGGGAGACAGGGACAAGCTGCTCCCCCCGACCCCTGCAGGTGGGCCAGGCTCAGTGCCTGGTTGCCTGACACAGGAATGTGCCATGCCCCACTTTTAGAGGGAGGCAGAGGCTCGGAGTGGTGGCTGAGTCCACCTCAAATCATCAGCGCCTTCTGTGGCCAGAGGGCTGATGTGGGTCCCTGTGCCTGGAGGCCCTCCGTAGGCCCACAGTGGCCCTGTCCCCAACACAGTGCAGCTCTCAGGGAAGGTCTACCTTCCCCTGTGGCCAGCAGCCAGAGCTCCAAGGGGCTTCTGGAATGGTCTTGCGTAGGGGAGACATAGCTCAGCCTTCCAGGCTCCCCAGTAGCTCTGCCTTACCTCCCACAGCGGAGTGCTGTCTGTCCCCACCCTTCCCCGCCCGGCCTCCAACTGGTGGGAACTGGATTTTGCGGCTGCAGAGGACTTCCCCAAATTTTGCCACATTAACAGCTGACTGCACATCTGAGCCCCGAGGTACCGAACCCAGGCTGGTGGGGTAGGGCGGGGAGACCCCTGAGGGTCCGGGAGCTGCGCCTGGCGCCCTCCCCCATCCCGGGATGCAGGGAGGCTGGGGGGAGCAGGGCAGCCGCAGCAGGCACGTCAGGGGCACCTCATTGGGCAGAGGTGCGACGCTGCGCCGGAGTTCGGGGTTCGGGGCTCAGAGGCCGCCCTCTCCGGAGTGTGCTCGAGTACCTGCCTTTGCAGGGGCGGGCTTGGGCACGGGTGCCGGTGGGGTGAGCGCTCCAGGGTGACCTAGACACCGGTCCTTCCGGGATGAGCCCCGGCCCCGCCCTTTCGGGAGATGACTTGCAACAGGGACCGCCCCTCTGGGTCTGAGTTCCAGCCCTCGCGCTTTGCAATCGCCAGTTCCGGGAGCGCCCGTGCCACGGTTTCTGCGCTCTCACTGGCCGAGCCCGCCCCTCCCCTCGAAGGACCCGCCCCTGCCCCGCCCACCAGCGGGCTCGCCCCGTGCCCGGCTTCGCCCGCCCCAGCCCCCTCCAGCTTGAATCCTGCCCGGTGCCCGGGCTGCTGGAGGTGGACACTCTGACCCTCAGGCAGCACCGGTGTCCACTTTGGGCCTGAGGAGGGGCAGTGTGGGCAGGGGATGGGACCGGGAGGTGGAGGGAAGGAGAGAATGGAGGGGAGGCAGGGGCGGGGAGAGAAAAGCGGAGGAATGGTGGTGAGGGGTTAGGGGAAGAAGTCAGGGGAGGTTGTAGAGGGTGTGGTGTAGCCTGGCCCTGCCAAAGGTCTGCACAGAGCCCCAGAAGAGTGACCAGGAGACAGCTCTGGGCCCCTCCTCACTTCCCTCCCCAGACCCGGAGGCTGCTAGGAGCAGTTGAGAGCCCACTTTTCCCCATTTCACCCTGCCTGCCACTTCCCCACCCTTGCAGGGGCCACCAGAGATGCCAGCACACAGGTAAACAAGCCTCATGCCGCCCTCCGCAGCAGGAGCCGCTGGAGCACACACACCCCACGCTGCGCACACTTGGCCCAAGCCCTGCCCTTGGCCTGGGCACCATTCTCCGTGCCCCTGACTGTCACTAAGTAGGGAGATGCTCATTCAGGACTCCTGCCCCACCTCCTCCCCAGGCAAGGGCTGGGCACAGGCTCAAATGTCAAAACCAGTGTCCCCCTGCCATGTGTCAATCATCGCTCCACAGAGCAGAAAACTGCAGGGGTGAGACAGGGTGGGACGGACATCGCAGAGGCGAGCGAGAGCCGGCCAAAGTCCTGGTGGGCAGGGGGGCCAGAGCCAGGTGGCCCAAGGCCGGCTGGCTAAGCCATTCCAAGTCACCGTGGGAGTGGTTCAGCAGCTACCCTTCGTTCAGCAGCTCAGATATGTTGGGCATCAGAAAACAATACCCCAAAATGAAGGCCTCAGAAGCAGCTTCGGAAGAAAAAGTGTTTCTCTGACCTTCTCTTGCTCTCCTGTCTCTCAGTGCCATTTTCCCCGAAGCTGGCCTTAGAAACTGGAATCCATTTTCCCCAGGGCAGGTCATAGAAATCAGAACCCCGCCTTTCCACACAGCCAGACATCAAACCTAAAAATATTGCTCTAACTTTCCCTCCACCTTTGTGTTTAGAAGCTGGCCATAAATTATCTGACCTCTCTTGTTTGACTGTAGGGCATAAGACCCCATTCCAGGAGGGTCCTGCTCCATGCCCAGAAGGAAGGAATGCTGCTCAGAAAGTTCAAGAAATCTAGACCAACAGCCCTCGCTGCGCTTCCCCTTGCGGTCCAGGAGCATTAGTGCAGGTCCCTTGGTTCATCTGTGTTCCCGCATGGATGTCCATACTTTGTTGAGCCTAAGCATCAGAAATGGCAATTTCCCCCATATCTTTTTTTTTTTTTTTTTTTTTTTTTGAGACGGAGTCTTGCTCTGTCACCCAGGCTGAAGTGCAGTGGCGCGATCTCGGCTCGCTGCAAGCTCCGCCTCCCGGGTTCACGCCATTCTCCTGCCTCAGCCTCCCGAGTAGCTGGGACTACAGGCGCCCGCCACAGCCCCCGCTAATTTTTTTGTATTTTTAGTAGAGACGGAGTTTCACCGTGTTAGCCAGGATGGTCTCGATCTCCTGACCTCGTGATCCGCCCCCCCTCGGCCTCCCAAAGTGCTGGGATTACAGGCGTGAGCCACCGCGCCCAGCCTGTTTCCCCCATATCTTTGGGTCTTTGTTCTGAAAACTCCCATTCACACACGTCAATCAATTTGGGGACCAAATGCCTTTTGTCCAATCAATCTGCCCTCTGTGAGGTGGTTTCTTAGCAAGCCCACGGGTGCAGTGTACCGCTCGAGGGGATTCCAGCCCAAAGAGTGCAAACGTGTTTGCATCTGGAGTGCGTGTCCCCAGATCCTCTGCCAAGCTCGTTTTCAAGAATAGTCACCACTGGCCGCCCTGGGGACTTGGGGAGAGTGCAGTCAAGCCGAGAGCCCAGGTCCAGCCAGAGTTTCCTGGAAGGACTGCACAGAAAGGCCGGCTGTGTAAGGTGGGGGTGGGTGACAGGAGTCTCAGAGTGTCTTAGATTTGGGACTCCTGGGGGAGGATGGGCATCCACATGAACCCTTACTCAATGGGGCAGGTGTGAGGGACTGTCCCCAACAGGTTCCAGACGCCTCCTGGGTTCCCTGGGGAGGGCTTAGAGGATGAAGCGGCAGGAGGAGATGGGATGAGTTACCAAACTGCCCAGAGGTGTGCGAGGGAGGCTGAGGGTCCTCTGGCGCTGAGGTGTGGTGGAGATGCTGGAAACTTACCACTGTCTTCCTCCAGGTGAAGCAGGGCCTCAGGTAGCCAGGGAACTGGTTGAGCAGAGGAAATCGGAGAGACCTTTTTTTTTGTCATGAACAGGCTCAGTGTGAATGGGGGAACTTCCTGGTTCTGAGGGAATGTGGGAAAATTGCCCTTTAGGCTGGGTGAAGAAGAAAGCAAGTGGAACCCTGGCACCCCTGGACTTCCTCCTCCAGAGGAAGCGGCTTTGGTTGTGGGCCAGCGAGCCTGTGCGTCCCCAGCCCCAGGGCATTCACCGCTTCAGAGAAGCAAGGCGACAGTTCTGCCGGATGAGAGGATCCAGGCTGACTGGAGGAAGGAAGGGCTTTGGCTCATCTGGGCTCAGGTTTGGGAGAGGTGGCTTCTCAGAGGAGGTGATGCCTCAGCCAGTCTTAAAGGTGAGCACGGATTGTTTGGGTATGGGAAGGGCATCCTGGCTGAGAGAATAGCATAGATAACGGCTTAGAGGTGAGCCCAGGCTTGGAGTGTTCAGGAAGCTGAGCCACTGGAAGGGGCTGGGACCAAGGGTGTACAGTGGGGTGACGGGGCAGAAAGTGAGTCTAGAGAGAGGGGTGACCCTGGGAGCGCTGGGCAGGGACACAGCCAGACGTGCACTGAGAAGTATTGCTCTGAACACTGCATCCTGGAGGCTGGGACCTCTGAGGGGTCTCCCGAATGAGAGGAGGCCAGCTTCAGAGCTGACCCCTGCCTACACCACTGCCTGGACATTTGAAATGGCTTTGGGCCTATCTTAACCCGACACACATTTATTAAGCACCTACTGTGTGCATGCCCCATGCCAGCTGTTTGGGACGTCAGCTGGCAAAGCTGACCGCCTGGTGGTAGCTTGCATCATTAGAGTGCATGTGCAGGCTTCGGGGAGGCACATGATCCCGGGTCACCACAATGCCTAAGGAAATGACTCACTGCCTATGAGCACTTGAGTTCTTCCTGTGTGTGCAGTGGACGCCGCTGCAGGGTTCTGAGCCCCTTCTGTTCTCCAAGGAGCCTCTGGCTGATGTGCTGATGAGGGGTTGAGGGGAGGGGCAGTGCAGGAGGTCTCTGCTGTGGTCCAGATGAGAGGTGGTGTGGACTTGGATGGGGCATGGGGGGATTTGAGGGGCAGGTTTGGAACCTCCCTGGAAGGAGGCCTGACAGGCTTCCTGCTGGTTGGGGCCTGGGCTGAGAGGGCCAACTGAGGGGGCCTTCAGGTGCGGCTGGGGGCGACATGAGGGGAGGCAACCCTGCAGGTCCATCCACGGGAGGGGCCTGTGGGCCAGCAGAGAGGGCAGAGTGTGCAGTGTGCAGTTTGCGGCATGTGGTCTGAGCTGGACGTGAGGGTGTCATTGACACTCATGTCCTGTTTAGAGCTCCCACCCTGGATGAGATGACCAGGAGTGGATGGGGCTAGAGAGGAGAGGGGCCAAGGGCCAAGGCTGGACCCCAGCATGAGGAGGAGGTGCCCAGGGTTCTGACCAGGGAAAGGGAGGGAAAAATAAAGGAGCTGGGTCTGGAGAGAGAGGCAGGTAAGCGAGTGAAGGCCTGGGAGCTTCCCTGGGGCCGAGAGCTGGAGTCACTGGTGGCTTTGGCAAGAGCGTCATGAGCATGGGGGCTGACCCTCGGGATTCAAGCAGGAGGAATGGGCTGGACACCCTTCTGAAGGGTTTTGCACCAAAAGGGGGCTGAGAAATGGGACTGTGGCTGGAGGGGAAGTGGGATGAAGAGAGAGAACCTTTGTTTACAATTTTAAGATTTAAAAGAGTGATGCTGCAGAGAACGGAAGGGTGATGTGGAGGGAGCGGGGAGGGTCTGGCCTTCACCATCCCTCCATGATTCTGCAGAGGACTGAAGGGTGACCTGGAAGGAGCGGGGAGGGCTCTGGCCTTCACCATTACTCCATGATGCTGCAGAGGACAGAAGGGTGATCTGGAAGGAGCGGGGAGGGCTCTGGCCTTCGCCATTACTCCATGGGTGAAGTGAACGTGTTCTCCTTGAGGCTTTGTACTCTTACTCCTATGATTCTCCAAGGACCTGTCTCAATAAAGCCAACAAGGTTTTGCCTGGGGCGGGACTAGAGCGGAGGCAGGGTTGGATGTGACTCCTGCCCGCCCGAACCTCGGTTCCCGCCCACCTTACACCTTCTCAGCCAGGTGAGGTGCGGTTGCAGACCTTGGTCAATGGGGGCTGCCTGGATCCCACAGTGGGATCTGTGTCTGACACCCTGCTGGGGCTCTGTCCCAGCACCCCAGGCTTTGTATGTGTTGTCTTGGGAATCACAGCCTTATGAGGGGCCTTCAGCCTGCTGTGGGCACTGGGTGCCTGGCCTCGGCTTCATCTGGGAGGTGTCAGGTTAAGAGTCTGGGAGGCTGGGTTCAAAGGTCCTTCACCCCCTGACCTGGTATCCTTGGGACCCAGGGGTCAGCCTTCAGCCCAAAGGGGCTAGGCTTGCCAGGTAGCCCTGCGGGGGGCCTGGTGGTGCCCATGCTGTCTCTCATCTGCTAGGCCCCGGCTGTGCAGGTGCACGTGAGGAAGTGGGCTGTCAGGTGCTGAGGAACCTTCTAGAACTGGACTCTGAATGCGCTTCTGGGATTGGAGGTTGGGCAGAGACTTCTAGGAGGAGGGGCAGGGGCTGGACCTCATCCAGGGCTGGTTCTTGCCGGGCTGGGCATTGGGCTCAGACACATCCCATGAGAGGTGTGTGGAATTGTGGCCTTTAGGGCCAGGGCCCCGGAGGAGGCTCTGCCAACAGGGGCTTCTCCACTGGCCTCTAGTGAACCAGGGAACCCAGACGGGCTTAGGGCCAAGGGCCCAGTCCCTGACACCAGTGTCCAAATGGAGGGAGGGCAGCAACGTGCTATGGGCTTTGGGGAGAGTCCTGTGGTCCTGGATGGGTGAGCACTCTCCCCTCACTGGGCTCCACTGTGGGCCTGGACCTGGGGCTCCAACATGGTGGGCTGTGGTTCACGTATTTGTGTTCACGCTGGCCAACAGCCACAGCTGAAGGAGATAAAGGCCCAGATGGCAGCATGGGGGAGGCGTCCAGTGTGGGGCCTGAAGACTGGAGCCCTTGAGGCCTTTGGGGGACAGTGAGAGTGTAGTCTGGAGTAGCCCACGTCCCCTTTCTCATACCACAGGCCAAGGGACCAGAGGAGATGGGTGGTGGAGCTGGGACCCTGCTCTAGGAAGCTCACTCATTGCTTGGGGGAGACCTGGTTTGCTCGGGACTGAGGAGTTTTGGGATGTAGGACTTCCCATGCCAAAATTGGGACAGCTCCGGACAAACTGGGTCACCCTCCCCTCATAGGACCCTTGGAGGCCAGAGGGACTCTCTCCGGTCCTTGACCTGGAGGCAGGAAGGGACGATGGTGGAGGTTGGGGAGGTAGCCAGGCAATGGCATAGGAACTGGGAACTGCGGGGTGGTGGGCCCAACCTGTGGACTCCCTTGAGGGATGCCTTGCCCGACCTCAGGACTCAGGAAGAAGGAAGAAGGAAGAACAGCCCTTGCAAAGGACGGATGTCCATCCGGGGAGGCAGGGGGAGGAGCCAGCAGCTGGCGGTCCCAGGCTGGCAAGGGCTGTGGTGGGGTGTGTGCACATGTGTATGTGTGCATGTGAGCATGTGTGTGCATGTGAAGGGCATCGTGGGATCAGGAAGAGATGTGCCTCCGAACGGGGTCCTGAGAGAGCAGCCTCACACCTGCTCACCAGCCAGAACTGGGAAACTCAGGCAGGATGGGTGGCATGGCCACCAGTGCCTCTGTCCCCCCACAGGCACCTGCCCGAGGGCCTGGAGCTTAGCTACTGCCCATCTCTTAGGTACACACGTCTCCCTCAACCGCAGCCTCCTTTGGTCCCAGTCCCTTTCCCCCACCCAGGAACAAAGGACAGCCCCAAGCTCTCACCATCCAACCCACATCCATGTTCTCTTTATTTTATTTTTCATAAGACAAGGTCTTGCTCTGTCATCCAGGCTGCAGTGCAGTGGTGTGATCATAGCTCACTGCCACCTTGAACTCCTGGGTTCAAGTGATCCTCCTGCCTCAGTCTCCCTGGTAGCTGGGACTGCAGATGAATACCACCACACCCAGCTAATTAAAAAAAAATTTTTTTTTTTATAGAGACAAGATCTTGCTATGTCGCCTGGGCTGGTCTTGAACTCCTGGCCTCAAGTGATCTTCCCACTGGAATTACAGGCATAAGCCATAGTGCCCAGCCTCCAGGTCTTTTAGAACCTTCAGAATTCAGTAGGGAATCCAGAAAGAAGCAGGAAGGATTTCCAAGAAGCAAGAGGAGAAGTCGCAAAACCCATGCAATTACTTCTGACCCTTGGAGGCCTCTCAGCTCTCACCTGTCCTCCCTGCCCCTAGACTTGCTGGCAGCTTCAGGGAGCCTGGCTATTTGGTTTCCACCGGGGGCAGCCACACTGGCATCTCAGTGAGGTGTAGCAGCCTCCCTTCCCTGCTCCAGGCACCCTGGACATGGCTGGGTGAGTTTCTAAAACTCTGGTGGTTCCCACCCTGGACCTCTGGTGACACTGCTGTGTTCCTGGGGCAGCCAGCCCTGGAGCCCTGGCCCCTCAGCCCCCACTGGATCATGCCACATTTTGCAAACCAAAGAAGCATGAGAGATAGAGAGCTCCAGCTTCAAGCACTGTCTGCCCTGCACTCATCTTTGGATGGGTCTCTGCCTGTGTCCCCTGCCTGGAATGGTCCCCTTGCCTGTACGTCTCTTCCCTTCCATCCTTGGATCTTGGCACAAGTCGTTGCCCTGAAAATCCCCCGTCCCCTCCTTCATCATACAACCTGGGCACCACCCTGCCTTGTATACTTATTTCTGCTTCTGCCTGCCCACCCGGAAGCCCCTGAAGGCACAGTTGCCCCTGAGGTCCCAGGGAGATATTGCTGAATGGACGGACAGACAGGTGAGGCCATAAATCAGACACCCTTAGTCCAGGCCTCAATTTGACATTTGAGGAGGAGGCACTGCTCAGGCCGCCAAGCCCAGGCCCAGGTGCCCAGACACCCTCAGCAACATCTGCCAGGCTGCCATGGCTAATACCCAAATACAGGGCCCTGCGAGGTGGCTCATGCTTGTAATCCCAGCACTTTGGGAGGCTGAGGCTGGCAGATCACTTGAGGCCAGGAGTTTGAGACCAGCCCAGCCAACAAGGCAAAACCCTGTCTCTACTAAAAATACAAAAAATTGGCTGGGTGTGGTGGCGCATGCCTGTAATCCCAGCTACTTGAGAGGCTGAGGCATGAGAATCGTGAACCTGGGAGGCGGAGGCTGCAGTGAGCCAAGATTGTACCACTCCACTCCAGCCTGGGCAAAAGAGTGAGACTCTCTATCTCAATAAAACCCAAAAACTCCCCCAAAAAGCAAAAACCCAAAAGCAAATACAAATAAGACCCCACATAAGCTCAATTCACTAACTGCTTCAAATTAAAACCTGGGGTAACCCAGGGAAGGGGGCAGCTGTAGATAGGGCTCAGCAGGGGGGCCCCAATCTTAAAATCCCCAGCAGTCAGCATGCGTGCCAGAGGCCTGTGCTTATGACAGGGCCCAGCACTCTGCAGCCAGCCCCACCAGGCTGGCATCTTCACCACTGACCAGGGCTTGCCTGGGTCTGGAACTCTTGAGCCTCAGTTTCCCCATCTGTGAAATGGGGACAACGTTAATCCCTGCCTCACGGGATGCTTGTGAAGATTAGACAAGATCATTTGCACATCAAGTGCATGGCATGAGGCTGCCTGGCAGAAAGGGTGTGCTGCAGTGGCAGCTGGTACTGACCAGCAGCTAGGGGATGGGGCCACTGCTGGGTGCTAGGCACGTGTGCCTCAGTGCTCACTCAGGGCTGGCGTGAAGACTGATGCATGAGAGTCGGAGTGACCTGTATCCCATGGACTGTCCTGAACTCTGACAAAGGTGGGGTTCACTGCCCAAACTGCTCATCATGTAGATAACATTTCATCCTAGGCTTGGCACGGTGGCTCATACCTGTAATCCCAGCACTTTGGGAGGCTGAGGCAGGTGGATCATGAGGTCAGGAGTTTGAGACCAGCTTGGCCAACATGGTGAAACCCCGTCTCTACTAAAAATACAAAAATTAGCCAGGTGTGGTGGCAGGCGCCTGTAGTCCCAGCTACTTGGGAGGCTGAGGCAGAATTGCTTGAACCTGGGAGGCGGAGGTTGCAGTGAGCCAAGATCGTGCCACTGCACTCCAGCCTGGGCGACAGGGTGAGACTCCATCTCAAAAAACAAACAAACAAACCAAACCCCTTTCACCCTGCCTGCCTGTTTACATGGCAGGGGTGTAGGTGCCTTTCCTCCCCGCCAGCCCACATCTCTGGGTATAGAGTGAATGTCCAGTTTTCATTACAGCACAGCTGGAGGGGTGGCCAGTGGCAGCTCTCTGCCCTGCCTGCCCCTCTAGGTTGGAGGGAGAGGCTGATGATGGTGAGGGTAGTGGCATCCTCAAGAGGAAGGCCGCTGTGCCAGGCACATACTGACTTGCCCTTTAAGCCTCATCAGAAGCTTTACAGATGAGAAAGAAGAGGCACAGAGAGGTTAAGCAACTTGCCCAAGGACACACAGCTAGTAAGAGGCAGATGCTCTGCCCAACTCCACAGCCTACTTGTTTGCTGCTGGCCAGGCAGTGCCTGTCCCCTGTTCCCCATACTGTTCCCCTTGCTGGGCCAATGCTGAGGAGCAGGTCTGATAGCCTCCAAGGTGAAGCCAGCTCCTGAGCTGCAGCCCCAAGCCCTGCAGCCCTCTCCAGCGCCCTCCCCTGGGCCCATTCTCTGCTCACTCTCTGAGCTCGGCCTGTGTGCCGCCACCTCCCTAACCACTTCCCCAGCTGCCCTGATTGCTGGCCCCCAGCTCCCAGCCAGAAGCAGGACTATGATTCCTTGTTGTTCCGAAGCAGCCAGGGCACAGTTGTGCTCAGGACTGAAGGGTGTGAGTGTCCATACGTGCCCAGGCAGTGACCACGCGGTGGGCAGGTGCAGGCCCGACACAGAGGCTGCAGCCTCGGGGCTGGCTGTCACCTAGGGGCTCCGGGCAGCAGCGCCAATGGCGGGAACGAAGGCAGAGGGCGCCGGGCTGCCGGCCGGGCCTGCGGGGGGATAGGGCAGGAAGAGGAAGAGGAGGAGCTGGGGATGAGGAGGGAAGGAAGGAGGAGGGAGGGGAGGAGGGGCAGGGGGAGCAGAGAGGAAATGGGGGAGGGGCGGCAGGGCGGGTACCCACCTCTCCGCAGAGCGGGCTCTTTGTCTCCCCTCCCCCACCCCCTGGAGACGGGCGAGGCCCACGTGCTGTTTCCCACTGAGGTGCGAGTGACACCGCCCCACCCCCAGATCCGAGGGGTGTTGGGGTTTGTGAAAAATGCGCTCCTGCCCGCTGCAGCCCGGACAGCCACACTGGGCAGAGCCCCCATCTTACACTTGAGGGGACTCGGGGCCAGAGAGCAAGGCCCTGGCCCAAGTCACCCCCAGGTGTGAGGCATGAATGAGGTGGGTGGGGGTCCTGGTGGCTGTGCCGTTTCGGGACGCCAGGGGGCAGCAGGCGCCCAGCTTCAGCCCTCAGGCTCCAGGCTCCAGTGGGCGGGAGGCTGCTTGGCTTCTGGCTGCCCCTGCGGCTGGGGAAGGGGGCACGGGCAACCTCTTGGTTGAGCATCTACTCTGAGCAGCCCTCGCCTGTGGGGTGCAGCCACCTGGGAGTGTGTTAACCTGGGAGGCCGCCAGGGCAAGCCTGCCGTCACCTCCTGGCCTCTGCGCTCGGTCTGGCCAACTGCCCTGGCTTCAAAGCTCAGCCAGGAGGAGGTGGAGAATGGGAGGGAGGAAGGAATGAAGGAAAGAAGGAAGGAGTTAAGTGTTGGGGGCTCCCCTCCTTCTCTGACCCTGGAGGTCAGTGGGGCGGGACCCCAGCCCAGGGCAGGAGGTGGCTTCACTGTCTCTGACTTGCTGGGGGACCCTAGGCCGGTCACTCCACCTCTCTGGGCCTCAGTTTCCTGCACAGGAAAGTAATAGGATTCAGAGAGGTCACGCCATGTAGCAGGCGCTTTTAACTGACATCTGAAATACAGTCTCCCTCAAGGCCTGGGAAGCCCCTTCACCCCCGAGGGCCCAGTAGGGGTGAGGCTTCCTCAGTAACTGCAGGCCCCTCCTCCTGCAGTGGAGGAGGGAGTGGTGGGGTGCATCTGGGGGCCCTCATGCCACCTCTCTGGAGGCATCCCCACTCTCTGGCATTTCAAATAGGCCCTGAGCTTCTCTGAACGCTGTGGCTTGGGTGTGGAAAGCAGGGTGGGAGGGAGTGGCTTGGAGAGGCTTTGAGGCCCTGGCGCCCCCCGTAGGCAGGAGATGCTGGTCACAGGGGTCTCCCCGAGCTCCAGCAGGAAGTCAGGGGGCTTGGTGGGAAGGGAGATCTGCTCACACCAGATTTGTTTTTCCTGCTGTTTCCCTGATAAAGTGAGCCACTGGGCCTGGGACCCCTGTGTCTGTGTCCTGTGGATTGGCAGGGAGAGGAGGAAAGGCCTGGTGGGCTCAGAGCTGGCTGCAGGGGTGTCTGACATAGGTCCCCACATGTCCTTGAGACCCTCCTCGGTACCTGCTTCCTAGCCCGGGAGCCCCCTTCCTAGCCCAGAAAGGCGCCGTGTGAAGCCCACGATGACCAGTGGCCCTCGGTTTCCTGGAACATTCAGTGCCGAAACCAGCAGTCTCAGGCAGGCTGGGACCAGGGGGTCCCTCTCTTCCAGACCCCAAGGGAAGCAGCCCCTGGTCCCGTTCTGGAGCAGGGGTGACTGTTCCCTATTCCCACTGGGCCTCTCCTCAGGGCCTGCCCAGCTCCGCCCATCGGTTCCTGGGGAGTGAGGACCCCTGGCCGGAACCCCCAGCACAAGGCAGTCCCTGTAATCGGAGCTTGTGCCGCATGTGGCCACGTCACCGCAGGGAGGCCGGCACCTGCGGAGGACGTGCCTGGCAGCCGCCCCAAGAACAGCCTGTCCTGGGGGGCGGGGCGAGCCTTGCGCGCGGGGAACTGGTGCGGGGGAGCTCTCCTGGCCCAGCATGGCCCCCCGCCAAGTGTGTGCTGAGCCGCCTGTTGCGGGAGGGGGGGCCTTGGGTTAATCTGTCACTCCCCATGCCCCTGGGGCCTCTGGGCTGGATGACTCCCCACCCCATCTTATGGATGGGAAGGTGGAGGCTCAGTGGGGGCAGGGAGCTCTGGGGCCTTTGGGGGCACAGCCAGTCAAGCTCCTGTCCAGGGCTGGTCTGAGGACCTGCTGCTGGGTGATGTGGTTTGAGGCCAAAGGGGTGGCCTTTCCAGAGTCAGGCATCCCTGGGCAGGGTTGTACCCTGCACAGATGCCCAGCCCTGGCTCTAGGGCTTGGGGTGGGAGATGTCAGGGGAGATTCCCAGGGCCCTTGACTTCTTTCTTTTCCTGCTTTCTTGTGCCCTCACAGAAGTCCTATGGAGGGGCTCAGGCTGGGTGAAAGGCAGGGCCAACCTCAAGTCTCAGTGACCTCAGGCAGGTGGCTTAACCTCTGGGAGCCTGAGTCCCCTCCCTTGCAAAATGGGCACGAACACACCTCCCTCTCAGGGGTCTTGGAAGGATTAAATGAGGCAACGAGCCCAGCCCTGGGTTAGGGCAGGGCCCTGAGCAGGCACAAGATGAAGGCAGCAAGTGTTGTCATTGTTTATAATATCCCTCTGGTCCTCTCCACAGGGCACCACCTGGGGAGCAGCTGGGGAGGCAGCCGGGAAGGGCACAGACACCTCTTGCAGGGTCCCTGGGGTGCTGTGGGAGGGTGGTACTGCTGAGGGCAGGCTCCGGGTACCTGGAGACTCTCTAGTGGGCCCTGGAACAGCACAGATTCAGATGGTGTCCAGCCCTCACCTCCTACCCACCTTGACCCTGTGCCTGCAATCCCCAGCCCTTTGTGATTGATGGGTGATATGGGGCCCATGGCTCAATGGAACATTCTTTGAGGCCTTCGTTTGTTTGAAGACAGATAGCTCAGGGCCTCAGAACCCAGGGAACAGGCCCGAGGCAGGTTTCACCATGGGTCAGAGGGGAAAGAAGAGCTCCCGGCCTGTCCTTGGTCACTCCCTGATAGGGGCCATTGGCCCACTGGCCGGGTGTCCTGTGTCCCAGAATTTGGGTTCCCTGGGGCTCTGGGTAGGGATTGGGCCTAACCTAGGACGGGCATTCCTAGCCCTGTGAAGCCACCTGCGGCACACATTCCTGATGGGGCCATGAACATGCCGACAAGGCAGCTGTACAGCTGCCACACCCGGGAAGGGGAGGCCTCGGGCAGCCGGGGAGGCACTGGAGTGGAGGTCACCCGCCAGAAAGCACATGTGGCCAAGGACATGGCTTCCTGGGCCTACCCTCGTTCTGCTACTCATGGACCAGTGTGTTTGCCTCTGGAAGCCTCTGTCTCCTCGGCTGTAAAGCGGGCCTACGACATTGACCGACCACCCATGAGGTTGTGGTGAGGACTGGCCCATGGGTGGCCCCTGGGAAACAGCTGGCTTAACGATTCCAGCACGAAGATCCACCAGGATTGGGACCTAGGCTTCTCTGGCTTCTGGGTCTTTCCTAGAAGGAACGCACAGCAGTGAGGGCTGCAGGTTAATCCTGCCTTAACTGCTTGGGCAGCAAGTTTTTCTTTTTCTTCTTCTTCTTTCTTCTTCTTCTTCTTCTTTTTTTTTTTTAGAGGGCGTCTTGCTCTGTCGTCCAGGCTAGAGGTAGTGGCACGATCACGGCTCACTATAGCCTCAACCTCCTGGGCTCAAGCAATCCTCCCACCTCAGCCTCCCGAGTAGCTGGGACCACAGACACGTGCCACCACACCCAGCTAATTTAAAAAATATTCGTAGAGATGGGGTTTCTCTATGTTGCCCAGGCTTGTCTGGAACTCCTGGGCTCAAGCGAGCCACCTGCCTTGGTCTCCCAAAGTACTGAGGGTATATAGGTGTGAGCCATGGCTGCAGTAAGGTTTGAATCTTCTCAAGCCTTGGTTTCCTTGTCTGTAAAAGGCCAACTGAAATCTACCTATGCCTTCCCTATGTATTAGGGTATGTAACGCCCCACTGTGATGGACAAGCCTACATTTCTAGTGGGTTAAGATGCAATAAAAGTTTATTCTTTGTGCCCAACACAGGCAATGCGGTGTGCAGAGGGTGCTTGGTGGTTCTCTCCTGATGGCCCCGCAGGGTCTGCAGCCTCCATCTGGCCAGCAGAGGGCGCAGAAGGACTGCCTGGGCAGCTCGGACGTGACCGCCTGGAAGTGGTGTACAGCGTTCCTGACAACGTTCCCGGCCAAAACGGGTCCCGCCGCCCACTTGTGTGCAAGATAACTGGAAAATGTCTTTCTGTGTGCTCCGAGGAGAATGCAAAGGCTGGTGGATGTAGTGCCTTTCCTCTACTGCTCTCTCAGCTGGGGGCAAGAATGACAGGACGTGAACATGCACACAAGGGCCCGGAACTCACGACCCCCGACAGCGGTCTCCCCCGCCCCCCCAACCCCGCGCTTGCAGGATTTAGGGCACTAGCACAGCACAGTCCACCCCTTGGGACTAGCACCCCCTCCGCAGTTCTGCTCTCTGCAGCAACATAGAGTACAAATATTGTTCCTTTTGTTTCTTTTTTCCCTTTGGATACATTTTTAATTACAAAAATAGAGCTTGATTGTTGCACCTAGACAGATGTTTGCTTGCTTCTGGGCCCATTGGGCCTCCTCTCAGAGCCTGGAACTCCCAGCCCCCAGCTCCTGGGGTGCCTTCCTCCAGGTGTGTCCCTGGCTTGGGCTGGGGGGACACAGCCCCGCTCCTGGGACGTGCAGGTTTAAAATGCTATTGGGTACCATCTTTGATCGAATTCAGAGTGACAGACTTAGAGCAGGTCACCTCTCAGCTTCTAACGAGGCCAAGACGGAGGAATCCCCACAGCACTGGGTTTGACTCTGTAATTAAGCTGGTAAAGTGGAAAAATAAAAGTAGGAAACCTAAGTGGAAACCAAACCAGAAAGCCAGGCAGCCCGGGAGTTCTGAGCCCTGCTTCCTTCCAGCTGTGCGGCCTCAGCGGCTGACGCGGTCTCTGCTGCTCTTCTATAACACAGGATGATGGCAGCTACACCCTCTGAGTGGTGTCACCAAGGCCAATGAGTCCTGATGGTTGGAGTGTGGGTATCCGGGGGCCTCTAGGTCACTACCCACTCTAGCCCTTTGCTCCTAGTCTCTGGGGAGGTGGCAGCATAGGGGCATGGAGCAGACTAGACTTTGCCTCTTTCTGCCCCCAGGCCAGTTGATATGAGCCCTGCTTGAGGGGTTCGCAGGGCCTGGGGAGCCTTCTTCAGCTTCTCTTTGTTTTCCTAAGATGAAAATTGTGACATCTGGGCTTGTTGCGGGAAATTTGTAAATTGTGCACAGAGAAGAATATGAAATTGCACATAAATCATGGCTTTTGGTTCCACCATCAAGAGCCAAGAATGGCCCTGGCCCCTCTCCTGGGTTAACGCCCTGTCCCATCCAGTTCACCCCCCTCACTTCAGATCTCGCTTCCCTGAGACCCAGAAGACCCGCCCTGCTCCCCCAGCTGCAGCTGCACACTGCCACAGCATTCCATGGGGGTGGGGGTGTCTTGGGACTCAAAGGCAGGCTGGTTGGGGTTCAGGGGACCGCACCTTCCCTCCCTCCCAGAGGTCTCTCTGCTGGCTCACAGGCTCACCTGAGATAGGGGCTTAGATCTCATGGGCTGCTGGACCCTCCAACAGGTGTCTGACAGTCCCCATCCCGATCTGGGAGGCTCCTGGTTTGAGGAGGGGGCTCCCTGCCTCATGGTAGGTGGGCCAAAAGGGAGGCAGCAGGAAATAATGGTCTCTTTTGGTCTGGCCTGGCTGGGGTGAAGCACCGTGTGTGTGCGTGCGTGTGTGTGTGTGTGTGTGTGTGCGTGCGCGCACGACCGAGGTCTGTACCAGGAAGGGCTGCAGGCGGGGGAGGGGCATGGTCCTTCACAGCCCCTTCCCCTATGACCTCGGGCAGATCTTTCACTTTTACCCAGTACAACAGCTTCCAGCCAGCCTGGACAGGCAGATCCCGGGGCTGGAGTGGTCTGGCCCAAGGCTGAGAAGGGCTGGGACCCCCGACAGTGACATGATGGGCTCAGCCCCTGTTCCATCTACTGGGCAGGGTGGGCCTCCGCAGATAGCGGCTTCAGACTCCAGCTCCAGGGGGCTGGTGGGAGTCTCTCAAGGTGTCCCACACATGGTCCCTCGGGGAAAGAGTGGAGCTGACCCCTGTCCCCCCTCCCGACTCGAGGGCCTTAGGGCCAGCAGGTGTGTGAGGGCTCCAGGCGCGCGGAGCCCTCGAAGGGACACCAGCCCAGCAGCAGCAGGCCGCGCGGGGGCAGCCGAAGACCCCATCCGGCGCAGGCCAGGGCCGAGCTGGCAGCGGCGGGTCCAAGCCTCGTCAGCTGGCGCAGGAGGCCCACGGGCGAGCGCGGGACGGAGCTGGGCGCCGGGGTCCGGACCGGGCCGGGGTCGAGTTGGGCCTGGCCGGACACCGGACCCGCCAGGAGCCGGCCCCTGCCGCGCTGGGCTGAGGCCCCCGCCTGCAGACAAAGGAGCCGGCGGGGGGCGGGAGCCGGGGGGGTGGGGGAGTGTTGCAGGGGGGATGGGGCGAGGGGGCGGGCGTCGCGGTGTCACGTTACCGCCCGCAGCGCCCTTTAACTCCCGCCCCCGCCCCGCTCACCGCCCCCTTCCCCTGCTACAGCGCGCTCGCCCCGCGGCCGCCAATCAGCCGCGCGCCCCGGCCGCGCGCCCCGCCCCGCCCCCGGTGGGTGTGCGCGCGGCCAATGGGCGGTGCGCGGGGGCCGGGCCGCGGCGGGGCGGGGCAGCGGGGCGGCCGCCAATCGCCGTGGTGTTGTTGAAACTGAAAATACTACATTATGCTAATCGCGGCCGGGCCCGCGCGCACGGGGGTGGGGCCCGCGCGTATAAAGGGGGCGCAGGCGGGCTGGGCGTTCCACAGGCCAAGTGCGCTGTGCTCGAGGGGTGCCGGCCAGGCCTGAGCGAGCGAGCTAGCCAGCAGGCATCGAGGGGGCGCGGCTGCCGTCCGGACGAGACAGGCGAACCCGACGCAGAAGAGTCCACCACCGGACAGCCAGGTAGCCGCCGCGTCCCTCGCACACGCAGAGTCGGGCGGCGCGGGGTCTCCCTTGCGCCCGGCCTCCGCCCTCTCCTCCTCTCCTTTCCCCTTCTTCTCGCTGTCCTCTCCTCTCTCGCTGCCCGCGTTTGCGCAGCCCCGGGCCATGTCCGACGCGTCCCTCCGCAGCACATCCACGATGGAGCGTCTTGTCGCCCGTGGGACCTTCCCAGTACTAGTGCGCACCAGCGCCTGCCGCAGCCTCTTCGGGCCGGTGGACCACGAGGAGCTGAGCCGCGAGCTGCAGGCCCGCCTGGCCGAGCTGAACGCCGAGGACCAGAACCGCTGGGATTACGACTTCCAGCAGGACATGCCGCTGCGGGGCCCTGGACGCCTGCAGTGGACCGAAGTGGACAGCGACTCGGTGCCCGCGTTCTACCGCGAGACGGTGCAGGTGGGGCGCTGCCGCCTGCTGCTGGCGCCGCGGCCCGTCGCGGTCGCGGTGGCTGTCAGCCCGCCCCTCGAGCCGGCCGCTGAGTCCCTCGACGGCCTCGAGGAGGCGCCGGAGCAGCTGCCTAGTGTCCCGGTCCCGGCCCCGGCGTCCACCCCGCCCCCAGTCCCGGTCCTGGCTCCAGCCCCGGCCCCGGCTCCGGCTCCGGTCGCGGCTCCGGTCGCGGCTCCGGTCGCGGTCGCGGTCCTGGCCCCGGCCCCGGCCCCGGCTCCGGCTCCGGCTCCGGCCCCGGCTCCAGTCGCGGCCCCGGCCCCAGCCCCGGCCCCGGCCCCGGCCCCGGCCCCCGCCCCGGCCCCGGCCCCGGACGCGGCGCCTCAAGAGAGCGCCGAGCAGGGCGCGAACCAGGGGCAGCGCGGCCAGGAGCCTCTCGCTGACCAGCTGCACTCGGGGATTTCGGGACGTCCCGCGGCCGGCACCGCGGCCGCCAGCGCCAACGGCGCGGCGATCAAGAAGCTGTCCGGGCCTCTGATCTCCGGTGAGCCCCGCACGGCCCCGCCCCGGCCCGGCCCGGCCCCGCTTTGTCCGGCCGGCCGGTCCCCCCAGCCCTCGGGGGCCTCGCTGGGTTCCCGCCTCCTCCCGTGGCATTAAAGGGCCCGCAGCGCTCAGGGCGCGGCTGCGCCCTTACCCCCCTCCCCGCCCCGTTGTTGTGCCCTCCAGCGGCTTCGCGCGGGCGGGGTGGGAGGCTGAATCCCGGCCGCGACCCCCCGGGAGCGCAGTTTTCGCCCCCGGCCGCGGGAGCCCCTCCCCGGGCGCGGCCGGGCGCCGTGAGCACGGCGTGGAGGGGGTTAAGCGCGGCGGCGGCCCCGGGGGGCTTGGCCGCGGGACAAGGGGAAATGCTTACACAGCACATTGCGCGGCGACGTAAACAAAGCTGACCCGCCGCGGACCTCGGCGCGGGCGGGGACGGCGCCCCCACCCCGGCCGGCCCGCGCCCCGCGCCCTCTCCCGGCCCCCTCTCGGGTCTCCGGGCCGGCCCCGCCCTGACCGGCCGCGCGCGCTGTCGCCCGCAGATTTCTTCGCCAAGCGCAAGAGATCAGCGCCTGAGAAGTCGTCGGGCGATGTCCCCGCGCCGTGTCCCTCTCCAAGCGCCGCCCCTGGCGTGGGCTCGGTGGAGCAGACCCCGCGCAAGAGGCTGCGGTGAGCCAAGTGAGTACAGCGCACCTGGGGGGGCGCGGAGGGCCGACCCGCCGGGTCCCCGCCGGCTTTGCTGACCGCCCCTCTCCTCGCAGTTTAGAGCCCAAAGAGCCCCGAGGGAACCTGCCGGGGCAGCGGACGTTGGAAGGGCGCTGGGCCTCGGCTGGGACCGTTCATGTAGCAGCAACCGGCGGCGGCTGCCGCAGAGCAGCGTTCGGTTTTGTTTTTAAATTTTGAAAACTGTGCAATGTATTAATAACGTCTTTTTATATCTAAATGTATTCTGCACGAGAAGGTACACTGGTCCCAAGGTGTAAAGCTTTAAGAGTCATTTATATAAAATGTTTAATCTCTGCTGAAACTCAGTGCAAAAAAAAGAAAAAAGAAAAAAAAAAGGAAAAAATAAAAAAACCATGTATATTTGTACAAAAAGTTTTTAAAGTTATACTAACTTATATTTTCTATTTATGTCCAGGCGTGGACCGCTCTGCCACGCACTAGCTCGGTTATTGGTTATGCCAAAGGCACTCTCCATCTCCCACATCTGGTTATTGACAAGTGTAACTTTATTTTCATCGCGGACTCTGGGGAAGGGGGTCACTCACAAGCTGTAGCTGCCATACATGCCCATCTAGCTTGCAGTCTCTTCGCGCTTTCGCTGTCTCTCTTATTATGACTGTGTTTATCTGAAACTTGAAGACAAGTCTGTTAAAATGGTTCCTGAGCCGTCTGTACCACTGCCCCGGCCCCTCGTCCGCCGGGTTCTAAATAAAGAGGCCGAAAAATGCTGCAACTCCAGTCTGTTTGTGCTTGTGCCTGCCTCCAGCTCCCTTCTCCTGCACCCCCAAAAGCTGGAGAGCTGGAACGCAGGAGAGAGCAGCCCAAAGTGGGCATCCCCAGTCCATCCAAAAGGGGAAGCCTCTCTCCTGGCTGGGCCTGGCCCACACCCACCTGCTCCAGTCCCCTTATCTCAGGAGGGGCGGCCGGCCTGCACTGCACCCTGCATTTATCACCTCTCACCTGCGGGGCTGCAGAAAGACAAGCCTGGACTTCATGTAGCCCCAGGAGGCAGGGAGCACAGCCCCTGACTTGCTGCCCAGACCCAGGCTTGTTTCAAGGAAACCACCCGCAACCCCTCTGCTGATGGGCTCAAGCCCCTGCTAGTTTGAGGATGCGCTGAGGTGGAGGGTGTGGAGCAGGGCTCCACCAAGACACAGCCAGTCCTCCAGACTTCTTCAGGCCTTGCACCAGGGTCTCCTGTTTTTGTGGGCCAGGGTCTCCCTAGGTCTTGCCACAAGACACTCAAAGTGTTCAAGGTCTAGTCACACCTGCAGTGGAGGAGGGGCAGCCTCGAAGCCTCTGAGGGGAGGCAGAAATGGGAGCACAAGGGGGAGGTGCCCTGGAATCAGGAGGACATGGGGAGGGGTGGCTTCTGATAACCAGGCTTTGGTGGAAGAAGTCGAGGCTGAGTGCACCCCTGTGCGCCCCCACTGTCCACCCTACCAGCCCCGAGTTTCAAAGCGCTCCCTCTTAGTAAAAGAGACGTTTATTATTTTAATAGCTGACCTATAAACCTCTGAAAATTATGGCTTACAATGGAAAGGGTGATGTAAAATAGCAAAAACAGAACGGCTAGCAGTATTTTTGCTGGTGCCTTGGGCTGGGAGAAGAAAAGAACTGGTGGACCCTTACGGGGCCCTACGTGACAGTTGCTGACTTCCTCCTCCCACCTCCACCGGGGGCAGGGACAAAGGGGGGCTCAACTTGAGATGGTCGAGATGTATTTAGACATGTAATTAACTGAGCTCCCCCCAGCTGCCTGGAAGGGCTGGGCGGGGAGGGTGATGGGCCTGGCCTCGAGGCCCAGCTGGGGCCAGACTCCGGGAAATGCCCCCGGGACCTGAGAGTGGCAGGTCTCGCTGCTTCGGCTCAGCAACAGGGACCCTCAGCTGACGGTAATGAGGGACCAGACCCATGTAGACCTGGCTTCGGCCTTCCAACCTCTCCCACAGGGGAGAAACCTCCACATTCACCTGTGTGAGGAGGACAAAGCCTTTTCCCTTCTGAGATAAAGGAGGGTGGCAGTGCCTTCTGCCTTGGGCTGGGAGGAGGCTGGACCGGGTGCCTGGCAGGCAGTTAGTGGGTGCACAGCGTAACCTGAGTTAACTGTTTGTGGTGACCGATCTGCTGGGTTGGGGCCTCATCATCCACAGCTGCATCTGCTGCCAGGCCTCCTGCTGCAGCTGGGGCCGGCGGGGCTCCTACCTTGCTTAGCTTCTTGCAGTCCTGGCCCTTGGGCACAGGACATGTGGTTGCCCAGCACCCTCTTGTCACTCAAGGGTAGCTTTCTCAAAAGCAGTGTGAGGCCTTTGTGGGGACGTGAAGGTGAGGCCCAGCGCCATTTCTCAGGAGGAGTTTCTCCCCAGGGCAGGAGCTGGCTGCAGGGATGCACAGGCCACCAGCCTCCATGGGCTGCTAGTCACACGTGGGACTCTGGGCACATGTGACCCAGGCAAGCTAGCCTTTCCTTCTGGGGGGCCTCGGTTTCCCCATCTGGGCTGAGAAACGTCCAGGGTTTTTTCCAGCACTGTGTTCTGTGATTCTCACGTGGGGACAGCCATGGAAATAATACCTGATGGCACTGTTTGCAAAGCTCTCTTCTCACCCATGCTGTTGGGAAAGAGCAGATAGGAGCGTGCGTCCTGGCCCCCAGGCCTCATCCAAGCTGAAAACACAGGCACCGGCTGGCAGCCAGCACACTCATGGGTCTGCCGTGTGGGAGTCACGCTCCAGCTCCACTGGGGATCCACAACCATCATATGAGCGATGACACCAGGACCGCCAGGCACACAGCAATGGCTTTTCTCTGTGCCAGGCATATGCTAAGCAGGATCAGCGTCAACCAGGTCCCACTGTTTTCCTTGTTTGAAGAGGAAACTGAGGCATGGAGTAATCCACCTGAGGTCACACTCCTGACCTTGGCAGGGCAGAGGGATGTTGGGCTGGGGTGCTCTGGGGCCGGGCCTGGAAACCATTGCACTATCCTGTCCCCTGGACTGGGCTGGGAAGACAGGCAGTTGCTCCGTTAACCTACAGACAGTCCAGATGAAAGTGATGAGGGAGAAGGGTGAATGTGTCGGAGCCAGGGGATCAGGGTGAGGCAGGAGAGATAAGGCAGGGGAGGCTGCTGGTGCCAGGGGGCCTTGGTGGGCCTGGCCTGCTGGTGTGTGTGAGGCCGGCACACGGGCGTACATGTGGTTCAGTGTAAGGGTGTCTTTTGGGTGTGCCTGCTGGGCCTCCCCCTTCCCTGCCCTGTCCTACTGGTCTCCTGTACCTCCCCGGGCCTGATGGACTGGTGCCAAAGATTGGATTTTGTCAGCCAGCAGTGGGGAGCCCCGGAGGGACTGAAGCAGGGAGTAGTAGAAGCATCTCAGCTGCTGGGTGAGGAAGGAGGAGCGCCAGCAAGAGGGAAGGGGGTGAGGGGACCAGAAGGACACTGTGGCCATCCAGGCAGAGGGCAGAGGCACTGGGTTGGGTGGACACTCCAAGAGGCTCCAGCATGCCAGCCCCTGTTCCAGGCACCAGAGACTTAGCAATGAATAGAGAGACAGCAGTCCCTGCTGCAGGCGCTTTCTCCACTGGTGACATCAGAAAACCCCTCCAGTGGGCTGTGGTGCATACAAAGGTGGTTGGTGTGGGGGGGTGGGACAGAGCTGAGCCAAGCACCAGCCTAGCCTTTAAAACAGGAGGGGCTAGGAAGCCCCTCCTCCAGCTCCCAGCAGGTGACATAGCAGGTAATGGTGTCTGAAGAGCACTGTTTTATTGTTAGTTATTTTTTGGTTCAATATTATTAACTGAAGTCCATAGGTTACAGGAGGGTCCGTTCTCAGTGCCGTACATTCTACGGGTTTGGACAAATGCTTACTGTCCTGTGTCCACCATTACAGTATCATACAAGGTAGTTTCACTGCCCTAAAAATCCTCTGTGCCCCACCTATTCATCCCTCCCTCCTCCCTAGCTCCTGCAACCACTGATCCTTTTACTGTCTTTGTAGTTTTGCCTTTTCTATAATGTCATAGATGTGAACTCATACAGCATCAGCCTTTTCAGATTGGCTTCTTTGACTTAATAATACTTAAGGTTCTTTCATGTCTTTCCATGACTTGAGCTCATTTCTTTTTAGCACTGAATAATATTCCGCTGACCGGAGGCACCACAGTTTGTTTACCCACTCACCTCCTGAAGGCTTCCAGGTTTGGGCAATTATGAATAAAGCTGCTATCAACATCCACGTGCAAGTTTTTGTGTGGATGCAAGTTTTTGACTCATCTGGGCAAATACCAAGGGGTACAATTGCTGGATGGTGTGTGGCGGATCATATGTGAAGGGTACATTTAGTTTTGTAAGGAGCCACCAAACTATCTTCCAAAGTGGCTGCACCATTTGTGTTCCCACCGCAGCTCCTGTTAAAGCCCAGCGTGGAGAGTTCCTGTTTCTCATCTGTGTACCACACCCACCACCAATTTCAGATGAATTAAAAAACAGAAACCCTACTACAATGTGGACACGGCAAGGACAAGGCATAATTCCAAACGAACACTGATGACCGTGGCTTGATCTCACGGCCCCGGCTGGTTCGGCCTGGCTCGGGGTGAAGAGCCTGGGCCCTTGGCCGTTCTTCATCCAGCTGGCCCTGTAATGAATTGCATGTTGTCCAAATATCTGCCTCCCCAAATGCAGGAAGATTCTGCATTTCCCGCACGTCAATATCAGACGTGGCCATGTAACTTGCTCTGGGCAGTGAAACGTGACCCACTTGGCATGTACCATTGCCAAATGGAGCCCGTCAAAGCCAGGGTCCTGCCGTTTCATCCCTCTGCTGTGAGACAAATGAGACCTCAGACAGGGGCCGCCCCTTCCAAAAGAGAAAATGGAGTACAACCCCAGCCCTCCAGCGAAGGGACTGTCGTGGTGAGTGAGAGATCCTCCATGCTTGATGTACGCTGCCAAGAGCTTTGGGCCTGTTTGTTATGCAGCATAAGGTAAGCTGACAGAGACAGGTTCCTTGAAGACCCAACTCACTGTTCGAGGTTTATGGGAATGACAGCAAGGGCCTGGTGGCATTTTGAGTTGTTCTGGTTACTTGGACACATGTCCAGAAATGACGCAGAGACTCATCCCTGCAAGCTGTGTTCAGTGTCCTGCTGGTGTTGGTCTAGCTTGTCACATTTGCAGGCTGGAGGTCAGGTGTTTCCAGCTGGTAGTGACGGGTCCTGAGTTCCCTCTTGGTTACCATCTATCCTGCTATCGTGTAGTTTTATGTGAGTGCCTTAACAACTGTCTAGTAAGTCATCTTTTTTTTCTTTGATGAAGGAATAAAATGATTGTGATTTGGGGAAGGGTCAAAGTCTCAGAGATGGAGCTGGCTGCCCACACTCTAGCATCCTGAAGAAATCCTGGCTGGGTGCGGACGCTCATGCCTGTAATCAAAGCACTTTGGGAGGCTGAGGTGGGAGGATCACTTGAGCCCAGGAGTTTGAGACCAGCTTGGGGCAATATAGCAAGACTCCATCTGTAAAAAAATTTTAAAAATTAGCCAGCTTTGGTGGTGTGTGTGCACCTGTGGTCCCAGCTCCCTGGGGGACTGAGATGGAAGGATCACTTGAGCTCGGGAAGCGGAGATTGCAGTGAGCCATGATCAGTTGTGCCACTGTACTCCAGCCTGGGCGACAGTGTGAGCGAGACCCTGTCTCAAAAAAAAAAAAAAAAAAAAAAAGTGGCTGGGCGAGGTGGCTCATTCCTGTACTCCCAGCACTTTGGGAGGCTGAGGCAGTCAGATCACGAGGTCAGGAGATCAAGACCATCCTGGCTAACACGGTGAAACCCCGTCTCTAATAAAAATACAAAAAATTAGCCAGACATGGTGGTACGTGCCTGTAATCCCAGCTACTTGGGAGGCTAAGGCAGGAGAATCGCTTGAACCCGAGAGGCAGAGGTTGCAGTGAGCCAAGATGGCACCACTGCACTCCAGCCTGGGCGACGGAGCAAGACTCCGTCTCAAAAAAAAAAAAAAAATCGCAATTGCTTATTCTGAAAATTAAAAATTGTGTTATTTAAGCCTTGAAGTGGTTGTTTCAGGGGCAGCTGAGATATTGATTATATCACCAAGCTCTGCTCCATGGGCAAGCCCCTTGGGATAAAAAATGAAAATGGCCTCTGATGACCTAGTGGCGCCAGGAAGAAAACGCTCTGATCTTAGCTGTTACTTGAAAGCCCTCAGGGGCAGGACTTTCTTGGCAGGGCTTGCCTGCTCCAGTGTCAGACAGCTGTGTGTACTCACCATTCCCTTCTGCCCCAAATCACAGCCACTACTCTGCTGTTCAACACTGAGGCATAAAGTCGGGTGTGGACAGGCAGCCGGTACCTCCTCTTCTGTTAGCATGATTACACCTGTTCTCATGATCTCCTGCCAAGTAAACAACTATCCCAACACTTTGTGGTTTAAAACAGTGGTTTTAGCCGGGTGCGGTGGCTCACGCCTGTAATCCTAGCACTTTGGGAGGCCGAGGTGGGAGGATTACGAAGTCAGGAAATTGAAACCATCCTGACTAACGTGGTGAAACCCCGTCTCTACCAAAAAAATACAAAAAATCAGCTGGGCGTGGTGGTGGGCGCCTGTAGTCCCAGCTACTCGGGAGGCTGAGGCTGAGAATGGCCTGAACCCAGGAGGCCGGAGCTTGCAGTGAGCCGAGATTGCACCACTGCACTCCAGCCTGGGCGACAGAGCAAGACTCCACCTCAAAAAAACAAAAAAACAAACAAAAAAACCCAGTGGTTTTATTTATACCTATGATTCTATCAGAAATTGGGGAACAGTTGGCAGAATAGCTTGGCTCTGTGTTATGGGATGTCAGCTAGAGTAGTTTGATTGGGGTTGAGGAATCAACTTCCAATATGGCCCACTCCCATGCCTGGCAAAGCCCTGGGAGCTGCTGCCTGTGGCTCCCTTCGCAGGCCTGCTTGGGCTTCCTCATGGCATGGCAGCTGGGTTTCAAGAGCAGGTGTTCCAGGAGGCCTAGGAGCAGCTCTAGAGACCTGGCCTCGGAAGCTATGCAGCATCATGTCTGCCTCATTTGATTGATCAAGCAAGCTACTGACACCATCCCAGATTCATGGCAGGGGGATCCTTTCTGCTTGAGTGGCAAAGGGTTTGCAGCCATCTTTGCCCCAACACCCTTCTTACAGAACCCAACCCTGGTGATTGATTGATAGCCAGCATGTTTGGGGGGGTTTACTTCAGGACCCACAAGCAATTGTTACCTGAATTCAAAACAGCCTATAATCCCAGCACTTTGGGAGGCCAAGGTGTGAGGATCACTTGAGCTCAGAAGTTTGAGACCAGCCTAGGCAATACAGTGAGACCCTGTCACTACAAAAAATATAAAAATTATCTGGGCGTGGTGGCGTGTACCTGTGGTCCCAGCTACTTGGGGGCTGAGATGGGAGGATTGCTTGAGCCTGGGAAGTCAAGTCTGCAGTGAGTCGTGATCACACCACTGCATTCCAGCCTGGGCAGCAGAGCAAGACTCTGTCTCAATAAATAAGTAAATTCAAAATAAAAACAATTTTTTTCCTCTAGCATGGATTTTCAGTAATTAACAGAATTAAAAAAAAATCATCAAACACTTCTTGTGTTTGACCTGACCAAGTGCCAGGAGTGGCTTCCTGTCTAGCAAATTAGAAAGATGCAGGCCTAGTTGAGAGGCACACTGCTGTGAGTTCATGTCAGCAAGGACCCCTGAGTAAGGGCTGCAAGGCCACTGTGATGATGTCACAAAAACTCTTGATCAGGGTATCTGCCCACAGCCTTTCTGCCTTCTTTTATGTGCGTGTACATAACATGTATGTGTCTATATGTTATAGACATACACACGTACACATAATGTGTATGTATACACACAACACATGTATGTATGTGTGCATATATTGTCTATATGTACATAATTTATCTCTTTTTGTTAACTTTGTATTTGGTTTTACATTTTCTCAGCAATATGTAACAGTATCACTGCTACTTCCTTACAAAGCATTCTTATGGAAATTTGCAAACATACTCAAAAGCAATAGAATAGTACATCACCAGCCAGTTTCAACCATCATTAACATTTTTCCAATCTTGTCAATCTGTTTCCCACCTCCACTTTTACTTTTTTTTCCTTTCTGCAGTTTCATAAAGCAGATCCCTGGCTGAGCACAGTGGGTGATGCCTGTAATCCCAGCACTTTGGGAGATTGAGGTAGAAGGACTGCTTGAGCCCAGGAGTTGGAGATCAGCCTGGGCAACATAGCGAGACCCTGTCTCTATTGAAAAAAACCAACAACAAAAAAAGCAGATCCCAGACACTGCATTCCCCCAACTGCAAATTCTTCCTCCGTGCAACTCACGCAAGTTTCATTCTTACAAATGCAATGTGGACAGGAAGATACAGCGTGGGTTCTTTCCCATCTTCAGTGTGGTGCACATCAGCTTTGCCCTGGAAAGTGTCCCTTTCCACTCATTCTAGAATAACAATGCTAGCTCCCAGGGAAGGCCCTGGGCTTTGCTTGAAAATGACACAAAACCACTGCTGGCCTCACGCCACCATCTGGCCAAGTGTCTTAAGAGACCATGCACCTGGGACAAATCCAGGACATCCTGTGTCCAGTGTCACACTTGGTGGACGGTCCCTGCATGTAGGGGACATCCCACGTTCACCTTGAAATCCTGACGGGTCAATATTTGCTGCTTCCTGGATCCTCCTGTGAGCCACTGATCCATTTTTGGGAGCTGAAATAGTAATCCAAGTGGAAATGCCTCACACGCACACGATAATGCACAGACACTGGGAGCCAGGCCAGCTGGGGAGCCCTGCCCGTGGTCTTAGCCACGCGGACTTACATTTGGGAATGCTACAACCTTCACTCCTATGGTCTGCGTGAACAAAAACCACTTATCCCCCTTCCCTTTGACACTGTCATCTGCCTGTGGCTACCTTCGGCATGATCCAATCCTTTGGGGGTGCCCCTGGCCAACCATTGGGTGGTACTGGGGTCTGTGGGCAGGGGTTCAAGTTAGAGGGTGGTTGCCTGGTGGCCCACATGCAGGAAACACACAGGGAGTTTGCATGGGCCCAGCTCATCCTTAGGCGACTGGAGCCCAGCTTGGAGCAGGTGGGGTGTTGGTTTAGGGTCTGCACTGGTGTTGTCTTTCTGATTGTCTCCAATTTGGGACTTCCTCCGTCTTGCTGGGGTCTGACTTCCCCTCACTGGTCCCTCTAAGGAGTGGGGCCTGTCTAGGGTGCAGAAGCCTCCCTGGGCCTCAATTTTCCCTCACTGAAAGGAGAACATAGGATCAGAGTCTCTGAGGGCCCATCTAGCTCGAATGTTCCTTGAGTGCTTGAGCGAAGCTTGCCCATGGTTTGAGATTTGTCCCAGAACCCCTTTTGGTTCCTTTAGACCCTTCTGCTCTAGCTGGGTGCTGATTCCATCCCTGTAGCCTGGCCTACATGCAGGCCTGGAAGACCTTAATTGGTCTGTCTGTGTAGGAGGGAGCCCCGGTCCCCACCGCCCAGTGCTCTGGGGGCTATTCACTTTAATGGTCATATAGTCACATGGGTTTTTATCATGCAACCTCAGCACTTCACTCTCAGTCCTGGGAAAAAGCACATGGTCTGGACAACAAGGCCTTACACCTGAGGGCTGTGGTGAAGCCGGAATTGCAGAGGGAGAAGTAAGGACACCTGAGACCTGGTGCTGGGTTTGACTATGTCCCCTCCAGAATTCGTGTCTGAAACTTACTGGCCAATGTGATAGTATTAATGTAAGTGGGAAGCTGGGCGCAGTAGCTCAAGCCTGTGATCTCAGCACTTTGGGAGGCTGAGGTGAGTGGATTGCTTGAGCCCAGGATTTTCAGACCAGCCTGGGCAATGTAGGGAGAACTTTTCTCTACAAAAAAAGAAATATTAGCCAGGTGTGGTGATGCGTGCTAGTCAGGAGGCTGAGATGGGAGGATCACTCAAGCCTGGGAGGTGGAGGTTGCAGTGAGCCATGACCGTGCCACTGTACCACAGCCTGGTTGACAGAGCCAGAGAGCCAGATCCTGTCAAAAAAAAAAAAAAAAAAAAAAAAAAAGGGCCAGGCACAGTGGCTCACGCCTGTAATCCTAGCACTTTGGGAGGTCGAAGTGGGCAGATCACCTGACGTCAGGAGTTTGAGACCAGCCTGGCCAACATGGTGAAACCCCATCTCTACTAAAAATACAAAAATTAACTGGGCATGGTGGTGGGCACCTGTTACCTAGGTACTTGGAAGTCTGAGGCAGGGAGAACTGCTTGAACCCAGGAGGTGGAGGTTGCAGTGAGCTGAGATGGTACGACTGTATTCCAGCCTGGGCAACAGAGCAAGACTGTGTCTCACAAAAAAAAAAAAAAAAAAAAAAAGAAGAGAGAAAGAAATAGGGCCTTTAGGAGGTATTTAAGCCTGAGGGTTCCTCCCTCTGAGTGAGATTAAAGCTTTTATAAAAGAGGCTTCCCAAAGCGTTCGCTTCACTTACAACACAGTGCCATCTTGGAAGCAGAGAGCCCTCACCAGACCCTGATTGCACTGGCACCTTGATCTTGGACTTCCCAGCCTCCAGAACGGTGAGAAATACATTTCTGTTATTTATAAATCACCCAGTCTCGTGGATCACCTGAGGTCAGGAGTTCAAGACCAGCCTGACCAACATGGAGAAACCCCATCTCTACTAAACCTAGAAAATTAGCCAGGCGCAGTGGCTCACACCTGTAATCCCAGCACTTTGGGAAGCCAAGGTGGGTGGATTACCTGAGGTCAGGAGTTCGAGACCAGCCTGACAAACATGGAGAAACCTCATCTCTACTAAAAATACAAAATTAGCCGGGTGTGGTGGCACATGCCTGTAATCCCAGCTAGTCAGGAGGCTGAGGCAGGAGAATCGCTTGAACCTGGGAGGCAGAGGTTGCAGTGAGCCAAGATCGTGCCATCACACTCCAATCTGGGCAGCAAGAGCAAAACCCCATCTCAAAAATAAATAAATAAATAAATAAATAAAAAATAGAAAATAAATCACCCAGTCTCAGGTATTTTGTTACTGTGGCACAAATGGACTGAGATACCTGGCATCTACCCTTGGAGGCTACCAGTAGGCCAAGGGCCAGCCAGGTGCCTCTGTGCAGGAGCCACGCTGCTCCCTGTTTCTCTTCCAGAGAGCACTGTATGGGGCTGACCCACCTCTGCAGCCAGGACAGACATGGCCTAGGTCCTGGTCCCTGTGGAGGAGTCTAGCTGTGGTTTTAAGGCAAAACTGGCCATGCGTGGTGGATCATGCCTGTAATCCCAGTACTTTGGGTGGCTCAGGCGGGCAGATCACCTGAGGTCAAGAGTTCGAGACCAGCCTGGCCACCATGGCAAAACCCTGTCTCTACTAAAATTACAAAAAAAAAAAAAAAAAAAATTAGCTGAGTGTGGTGGTGGGCGCCTGTAATCCCAGCTACTCGAGAGGGAGGCTGAGGCAGGAGAATCGCTTGAACCCGGGGGGCAGAGGTTGCAGTGAGCCCAGACCACACCATTGCACTCTGGCCTGGGCAACAAGAGCAGAACTCTGTCTCAAAAAAAAAAAAAAAAAAAAAAAGATAAAACCAAGTTCTGTCTTGTCTGTTTTCTTATGCAAACCTCTCTCACAGCCACTGCCCTCTCTGCATTTCTTGGGTCCTAGCACCCAATTTGGAGACTGCTCTGAGACATGCCCCTTGGTTCCTTTAAGCCCAGAGCTGTGTGCCTCAACTAGATGGGGCCACGGTGATGGTGGGGTGAGCAGGAAGGAAGATGGAAAAACAGACAAGTTAAATTATGTCAAACAACTCATTTATTTTCTCTTGTTTTGCTTTCTTTCCAGTGGCTCACTTGAGGGGTTTTCTTTTTCAGTTTTCCATCTGCTTCTTTGGGGTCCCATGGAGTCAGGCTTCAGGAGAAGACCCCAGCCCCTGCTGCTCTGTTGGGCTCCTCCTGGCTCCTGTGTGCTCAAGGTGCTGGGGTCTCTCCCCAGCCTCCCGTCACACCTCTGCTGGGTTCACTCTCTCTGAGGTGGCAGAGTGAACAGGGCCGACCACTGAAAGGGGAGTAATCCCAGAAAAATGAAGGGAAGAATGCAGGTCTTTAGGAAGCCCCATAGAAGGATGGGCGCCCCCCTCAACCGTGAGGAGCCCTCCCTGTCCCATGGAGGGATGCCCCCCCGCCCCCCGTGAGGAGCCCTCTCCATGGAAACAGGGTTGAGGGCCTGACCTCCCCCTTGGAGCCCCAGAAAACAAAGTGGGGAGGGTAGGGGGAAACTGAGTTGGCGGTGGCGGCACACGGAGGACCAAATCCTCTCAAGCTGGCGTCTGGGCGGGGTATGAGGAGCAGACCAGCCACGCAGCCACGGCGGCCGGAGTCACTCGAGGTCAGAAATGCCCAAGCAGGAAATGAGATGCAACTTGTAACAGACATCAAAGGAAATGGAAAAACATTCTTCTAATATGTCAGGGAGGCTAGAGGAAGGCGGGGGGCGCTGGCCCTTTATTAGGAGACTGGGGAGGGGGCGATAAGAGATGGCACTGGAAGGCTAGAAATAATTAAAATCAAAGCACCAGACACCTGGGGGTGGGAGTGAGTGTCCTCCCTGCAGCCGGGAGACCTAAGGAGCATGCTCAGAGCCCTCCAGGAGTGCCTGGAGCAGCAGTGGCGGGCAAAGGCCTGGCCTCGGGCCCGCCTCTGTCTCAGCCAGCTCCTCCAGGCCCAGGGATGTGGTCCCCATGGGGTGCCTGCTGCAGGCAGCCAGCACAGGGCTGGTGTTGGCAGAGCCCTGGGAACTGAACACAAGCCTTTTCCTGGAAGAGAGTCCCAGTGGGATCGGGGTGCCAGCACGTGCTGGTCCCGAGGGCACAGCGTGGCCAAATGGTCTTGGGACCGAGTCCTGCTCCTTCCACACAGAGAGGCAGTGCCTAACCAAAGGTGCAGAGGGAAGAGGGCAGCCTCAGGGTCCTTGTCTGTAGCCAGGGGCCATTGCCTCCTTTTCTCTACACAGGTCTGGGCCCGATCTCTGGTGCTCACCTGAGGCTGGCCGTTTAAAGTAGGACACTTCTCCTTGCCTCTTGCCTCTTGGGAAGCCTTTGATGGGCTGCACCCTGACGCGACCCCTTTCCAGGAGTCCAGGCGCACCCCTGGTGGTGGCATGGGGAGTTGGTGCTCGGCAGTGGGTCCTGACCACTTCCTGCCCATCACAGCCACGGCTTCTCCCCTCTGAGGAGGGATTGCTTTCTCAGAAGGGCGAGCTGGTGCTGGGCATGCACGCAAGTGTCCAGAAAGCGGGAATCCAGGGCCCTGAGCCTGCGTCCCTGCCGACTCAGCCCCGGCTCTGAAAGGGAAGCAGATGGGAGTGGAGGGGACCCCGTGCCCGGGGCCTGGGACCAGGCCGGCTGGGTGTGGCTTCACCAGGATGCGCCGGGTTTCAGCCTCTGTTCTGGGGGCTGCATAAGTCAACTCGGGGCGAGTCCCAAACTGTGCTGGGCTTCGGTTTATCACAGTGGGGCTACCAGACACCAGGTTACAGCCCTGGGGTCGGGGGGCAGAGGTGGGTTGATTTTCCCAGGCCCTGGGGGAGCAAGGGAGAGCCTGCTGCTCCCCAACACAGCGATTTTCCAGGATCCGACGCTACAAACAGCAGCAACATCCTTGGTGGAAAAGTTCAAGAATCTGGTCCAAAGGCAGCCTGAGTGAGCCAGCCGGGACCAGAACCAGGAGCCGCCCAGTGGAAGGGTAGGTGCTGGATGCCCTGCAGGAGGGACGGTGGTGCTGGGGCCTTGGCCACCGGCCGGGCAGCAGCCTGGAGCGCCGACTCCAGAGGGGAGGCTGGGCGCAGCTCCCGTCGGGGCGTGCGGGCAGCTGCGCCCAGGCGGGAGGGAGCGCGCGGCGGTGGCCCAGGCGGCCCTGCCCGACTGTCGGACCGAGCCTCCCCCTCCCGGCCGCGGCCGCGCTTCCCGCTAGCGGGTCCGCGGGGAGGGGCGGGAAGGCAGCTGGACGCGGCGGCGATTTATGGGCCTTTCAGGCGAGCAGGTGCCTCCTCGGGCCGCCCATTGTCTCGCCGGCCTCACAATGGGGCTGCTGCAGCCGCAGAGCCGGCCCCGCCGCTGCTCGCGGCCTGCACGGGCACGACGGCCCCGGGACGGCGGGAGAGCCTGCGGTCGGCGCATCTGTCCGCGCGTCCGTCGGTGCGTCCGTCGGTGCATCGGTCCTGCTGCCCTCCGCGCGCCTGTCCACGGGAACGGGCCTTGGGCGCCCAGCGTCCATCCCTGCGCGCAGCACGGCTCCGCTGGCCCTCGGGGTCCCCGCGCCCCGACGGTGCGCCCGCGCCCGCTGCGCTCGCTCGTCCTGCGCCCGCTCGTCCTGCGCCGTCGGGCACCCGGCTCCGCCCGGCTGGCACGGCCCGCGCCGCTGCGTCCCGGTCGCACACACAGGGGCCCATTCTTCCTGGCTCCGCGCAACCATATGGCAAATCCGCGTCGACACAGCAGCCCCCGCTCATTCAGGCGCAGAATGTCCCGCAACAGGGAACAATCACGACTCTGTTCGCGTCTATTATGGATGCGAACGGGGCGAGAAAAAAAATCATTTAACTCCAAGAGATAGCCAGCTAATTAGCAACCATATGTGAGCCCGGATTCAAAGCGATGCCGAGGAGTTCATTCTGCGTCGGGCGACTTTATTAGGTATAGAAGACAGATGTCCCGACAGCCCACGCATCACAGAAAATCGTGTCGGGGAGTTCTTGAAATGTCCGGGAGAGCTCTTTAAATATTAAAGACCCAGCCCAGCTGATGGACTGGGCCGGGGTCCTCTGGGATCCCCAGGCTGCAAGAAGAGGACTTAGCAACAGCGACTCTGGCAGACGCTGGCCTGGCTGGCCCAGGGAGGGGGTCCCTCCGCCTCCCTCCAGGGCCCCCTCTGGCTGCCCCTCCGGTCTCAGACTCTTTCACTCAGGTGCTCTGGGGCCCCAAGGAGGAACAAAGGGGCTTCCTGCAGGCACGGTTGGCCCAGTTATGCTTCAGGGTGCCTCCGAGGGTCACGGTGTGGCTCTGTGGGGGCGTCCCAGTCCAGGAGAGGAAGGCTGCCTGGGGAGTGTCTGGCTCGCCCTGCCCCCAGCCCAGCTGAGCTGGACAGACAGTAGGTCTTCCTTCCGAGTTTGCAGAATGAGTGAGTGAGTGAATGAATGAATGAATGGATGAGCCAGTGTGGCAGCCAACCCAACTATGAAAATCCCTCGGGGGGTGGGCGGGAGTGGGGACAATAGTGGAAGGAAAACACTCCCGATTTCTTTACCAAGAAAACAGCCTCTGGCCGTGAGCCTCCGATTCTTTGAGGAAGGAAAAGGAGAAAGCTTGTTAGAGAGAGAGAAAAAAATCTTTCTCTGTTTTCCATGCAATGCAATTATGTTCCAGCTTTTCCTCCTTGTTATTCTTTTAAGCCAAATGTCTGAATAAAAGGATTATTCCCTGCGCCCCCCCAGGACTGACCGTACCGCTGTCAGCAGGCGGGGCGCTGCTGGCGAGATTAACTGCAGCCTGTGGCTTCCGCATTGCTTCTATGAAAATAAGTGAGGTCAGCTGCCATTCAATTGTCGCAGCATATATATTTGAAAATTTAAATATTTGAATCAAAGGAAAAAGGGGGATTTGCATTTCTGCCCAACGCGAGGAGCGCGTTCCGAATGCCGCACAATGGAAACGTTTCAATTGAAATGAATTGTCTCCTCGCAGGAGGATTCTGTAGAAAGGCAGCCAGTGCTTTCTCTTTTGTTTTCTTTTGCTTTTGTTTTGTGTTGTGTGTTTTTCTTTCCTCTTACCCGCTTCAATCCAGGAGGGTGTTTTCTGAAAGTTGGTGACTGACTTTGGTTTCGAGGACATAAAGAAACATGGAAAAACTCCCCAGAAACACTCACATCAGAGGCCTCTCTGGCACAAAAGCAAAATTGAATTGAACATGTGCGGGTGAAAAAATAGATACAGGGGGTGGGGGGACTCCCAATGCCACTTAGAATGGGCTAATCAGCTGACTCCAGCTGGTCTGGACGCGGCTGTTAATGAAGGCCCCGGTGAGTGGGAGGGAGGCCCAGCGCCTCCGGCAGCCCCTGGTTCTTCAGGCAGGCCCTGATTGTCCAGGTCACCAAAGCCGTCAGCCACTCAGAACTAAATGCCACTGTCCCCAATTAGCATTAGGGGTATACAGACGTCAACTCTGCACATGGCTTTTTTTTTGTCTCTGCCTTGGAAAATGGTATACTGGGGGACTCTCTACTTGCACAATGTGCCCCTAGGTGTTGGGATGATGCATCTGAGGGAAACTAGCCAGGAAGAGCCAGCTTCATGCGCTCAGTCAGAGAAGGTCTCTGAGCCAGGGGTACGTGGGGGTTTCCACTGGTCTGGAGGGCTGGGGTGTGGTCTCTCTGTCTGCCCTGGCTGTGCGGGCCTGGACAGATGTAATCCCTCTGTGGATGCTGGGTGTATTCCTGCCTTGGAGCTGCCATCACAAAGCATCACAGACAGGGCTGCTGAGACAGCAGATGTTTATCATCTACCAGTCCTGGAGGCTGGAGTCCACGATCAAGGAGTCGGCAGGGCTGGTTCCTCCTGAGGCCTCTCTCCTTGGCTTGCAGACGTCACCTTCTCCCTGTGTCCTGGGAGGGTCATGCCTCTGAGTGTGCCTGTGTCCTCCTCTCCTTATAAAGACCCCAGTCCTGTTGGATTAGGCCCACACCAATGGCCTCATTTTAACTGTTTTCTGTAAAACCCTGTATCCACATACAGTCATGTGCTGAGGTGCTGGGGGTGAGGGCTTCGACATATGATTTTTGGGGGATACGATTCCTCCCATAACACTGGGCTTCCAGATTGGGCGTCCTGCCCTGTGGCCCGGGATGCCTGCTGGTGAGTGGCAATGTCCAGACCTCTGGGGACCTGGTTCAGCATGAGAGCCAGGTTGAGCTGTGGCACCTGCTCCTGAGCTGGGGGTAGGTGTGGTGACTGAGGCTGATGACAAATGCAGGCTCCAGGGCCTCCTGCATTTCAGAGAGATCTCAAGTGGCATTTGGGGACCCTGGTATTCTCCTCAAAGGATAAGCGTCTAGACACGGATGCTGTCTCACCCCCTCCCGCCCCCCTCACTGAGAAACGAGGCTCCTCTGGAAGCCGGCACCATGCCAGGCTGTGGGGAGAAGGCAGGGGCACCTCCAGGGGCTGGTTCCCTGCCAGGGGCTCTCAGTGCGGTGCTGCCAGCCCCACACCCGTGGTGTCTTCTGCTTATTTTGCTCTCTTGCTTCGGCCTTGGGCTTTCCTTGCCTTTTCTTCTCTCTTCTCTCGTTCCTACTTTTTCTTCTCTTTCCCAAATCTGCCCCTGCCCCCGCCCCCCAAGAAATTCCTAAATCTGAATAAAAGCCCAACAGGGCCCAACAGCGAGACCCACCCCCCAGCTCTGCAGGATGACCTGGGCCCAGCCCTGACGTCTGCTCTCGCACCCGCTGCTCTGTTGCTGTGCAACCTAGGCAGGTTAGTTGACCTCTCTGAGCCTTGGCCAGCCTGCCCAGTGGCAGACACAATGCTGAAGTGTCTCTTGGGCAGAGTGAGAAGGAGCTAATGAAAATGGCTGAGAAAACAGTCTAGGCATTTAAAAAATGTCACGTAATTGCAAAATAATAACGATAACAACAATATACTTTGGAATTTTGCTGGAACTGAGAGCAGGCCCGAGTGGAATTTGGCACTGAGTGGGTCTGGCCTGGCTTCCATCCAAGGGGGTTTAGTTACTGAGGTGCCCCCAGGACTCCATTCTGAGGCAGCCCCTCTCGTAAGATGGTCCTGACAGTGGACTCTGGCATGGGCTGTGGCTGGGGTCCCTCATCGGCTGGGGCCAGTTCCAGGCATTATTGCTACAGCACCCAGGTCACAGGGCTGGCAAGCCAGTGGGGCTTTTTATTTCTTTTGATTTCCAAATTGAAAATAGCCATATATTTCCCTTGGTTGTAGAAATAGCAGCATATGCTCATTGTAAAAAAAAAAAATGCAAACAATATGGGAATGTATAAAAAAGACAGTAAAAATTCCCCCAGATAGATGCTGCTATCCTGAGATAAGCGCAGATGGCACTTTGGGGCTCTATATCATTTTACATCTATGGGACTCACATTTACTTTTTAAGTCCAAAGCACATATTTTATTTTAATTAAAAAATATTTTTTGAGATAGGATCTTATTCTGTCACCCAGGTTGGAGTGCAGTGGCACGATCATGGCTCACTGCAGCTTCCAACGCCTGGGCTCAAGCCCTCCACCCACCTCAGCCTCCCGAGTGGCTGAGACCATAGGTGTGTGCCACCATGCCCAGCTAATCTTTAATTTTTTTTTTTTTTTGTAGAGACAGGGTCTCCCTATGTTGTCCAGGCTGGTCTCCAATTCTTGGGCTCAAGTGATCCTCCTGCCTCGGCCTCTCAAAGTGCTGGGATTATAGGCATCTGGCATAAAGGTATATTTTTAATAGAGACAGGGTCTTGCTATGTTGTCCAATCTGGACTGGAACTCCTGGGCTCAAGAGATTCTCTCACCTCTGCCTCTGGAGTAGCTGGGACTACAGGTGTGCACCATTGTGCCCAGCTCAAAGTACCTATTTTAAAGTATTAGAATGTCTATCTATTTGTATACACACACACAAACATATACTGTTTTAATTGAAAGTATTTAACCATAACAAACTGTTCAAGAGACCCGTAATCTGAGTGTGATAAACAAAGTAACAGTTTGGCAGAGAGTTGAGTACAAGCAGCTGGTGACAGTGCTAGGGCGGGAGAAGGCGGCTGGCGTCTTTTAAATGTGTTAGGGAAAGGCCCCAGGTTACAGGATTGGGAATGCGCTGTTGTTGAGAAGTGGCCGAGGGAGTACGAGGACAGTTCAAATGCTCTGGGTCTACCCTCGAGTGTGGGGTGAACATGGCGATTGCAGCAGTGGGTCCACACGGCACCTCAGGGCCCAGGGAGGGTTTGGAGGCGGAGGGCAGCTGGGCTGCACTGTCTTCCCCAGAGGAAGATGGAGGCCTCTGGTTAATGAAGCAACCACAAGGGGTTAGGACCAAGAGATGTTTGTCTCAAATGGGTGTAACCATCCCATTTGAACTGTTTCCTGGAAAGAAATGAAAGGGGGATTCTGACGGGGCACCTGTTATTTTATTGATAGGAAATGGTTTCCATCCCGTGACCATGGAAATTTCCACGGTGCGTCCTGGCCGTGCATATTCTATGAGCCAGCTTCCCCCAGCCCACGGCATGTCACTGTGCTGGCACCCATGAGACAGTGCCCTGCAGGATGGGTGACAAGGGTGGCTGAGCCCTCCGGCCTCGGCCTCGGTGTCTACTGGAACCCCCCATTAGGTCCCCCAGGTGGGCCTTGAGTACCAGCAGGGGTGTGGGCCAGGCCCTGAGCTTCACCCTGAGGGGAAGGTGGATGGGACTCCTTTCAAGAGCCAGGTGAGGGAGGTGTGGCACAGGGCAAAGGTTGAGGCTCCTGGGTGTCCAGGGAAGAGCAGCCCCTGAGGGGCCTGAGGACACTCAGAGGAGGAATGGGTGGAGGAGAGCTGGCAGCCAGGGTGCCCGTGCAAGGGCGCAGCAGGGCAGGCTCAGTGATGTGGAGCTGGAGGGTGGGCATTGAGGCGGAGGTGGGGGGTGGGGGGTGCGGCTGTGAAGGTCACGCCAGGGCCAGGGTGCCAGAGTCAGACTGGTGGCAGTTGGGCCAGATTCACTCTGTCAGCTGACTTCAGTCCCAGCTGAGCCCAAGGCTGAGGGATCCGCCTGCACTTTCAGTCCTCTGGCTGAGCAAATTACGAAAGTATCACAGAATGTTTCAGGAACAGATGATTTTCTTTCTCTTTCTTTCTTTCTTTCTTTCTTTCTTTCTTTCTTTCTTTCTTTCTTTCTCTTTCTTTTTTCTTTCTTTATCTCTTCTTTTTCTTTCTTTCTCTTCCTTTCTTTTTCTTCTTTCTTTCCTTTCTTCCTCCCTCCTCCCTCCTCCTCCTCCTCCTCCTCCTTCTTCTCTCTTTCTTTCTCTTTCTCTTTTTTTTCTTTCTTTTTTGAGATAGGGTCTTACTCTGTCACCTGGGCTGGAGTATAGTGGCACAGTCATGGCTCTATGTAGCCTCCACCTCCCAGGCTCAAGTGATCCTTCCTGGGACTACAGGCGCGCCGCTACGCCTGGCTAAAAAAATCAGAAGATTTTTTGTAGAGATGCGACCTCGCCAGGTTGTGCAGGCTGGACTGGAACTCCTGCGCTCAAGCAGTCCTCCCGCCTCGGCCTCCCAGAGTGTTGGGATTACGGGCGTGAGCCACCGCGCCCGGCACCCTTTTCTTTTTAAAGGTCTGTGGCTGAGTTTTGTATTGGGAGTATTCTTACTTACCCAGAACGTGGCTCTGTCTCTGTTTCATCGCTGGTGGTGGAGCAAGTGAATCACCCACCAATGTATAGGTTTTCTAAGTTTGTGGTTGAAATTTTGCTAGTAAAGTGGACACATCACAAAGAAACTGCCTCCCTCCCTCACTCTGCCCAGCCTGCCCCAGCCCTAGGCTTCGAGGCAGGCCTGGGCTCCCGGAGGATGCTCCCTGGCGCTGTGGGGCCAGAGGCCTGGGCCAGGCTCCTGCTGGGGCTGGAGATGGGCGGGGTGGCGGAGGCCGGCCCTGGCCTGCCTCATTTCTGCGCTCCGACCAGCCTGGGAATCTGTTTCTGTCATGAAAGGCGAGGGTGACCTGGCGGGCTTCTGCTCCTGGTTGGTCAGAAAGTCCGGGGATCCTTGGCTCCGGTTAAAGGGGCCCCCACGTCTGCCGTCTTGCCCGGCCGCCTCCAAGTGCCGCCGGCCCAGGGCTGAGGAAGGCGGGCCGCGGGGAGAAGGCGCGAGGGCCGGGCCGGGCAGGGGGTCCCGGAGCCAACCCCACCGCCCGGGCCGCCCCGGGCCCGCGCCCGCCGCCCCCACCGCGCCGCGCGTCTGTTTGGAGAAGAAAGCGGGCCAATTTGTTTTCATTCAGAATCACTTAAGATCCCATTTTGGAGAAATGAAAAGAGAGAAGCGCGCTTCCCGGGCCCGGGCCGCTGGGTGCCCGCCCGTGCCCGGCGGCGCGTCGAGTGGAGGGACAGCGGCCCCCTCCCTGCCCTCGGCCCCAGCACGCCCGGCCGCGGCTCCCGGAGGTCCGAGGAAGGCGGCGAGGCCGCGCTCATCTGCATGAAGCGCACACTCGCGGCCCATCTGCAAAGGCGCAATTAAACGCGGGGGTGGGGGGGCAGGGGCGCCCGAAATTAGCATTTCCGCGGCCATCTGGCGCGAGGAGCGGGCGCGGCCGGACAAAGGGCGCCGGGCGAGGGGAGAGGCGAGTGTGCCGCGGCATTGACCTGCAAATGAGGCTTTGTGCGCGCATTAAAGCTCGCCGGACCCCCGACCCCGGCCCCCGCCCCGCCCGCCAGGCCCGCGGCCCCTAGCGGCCCAGGCTCGGACTGGGCACCCCGAAGGTCTGGGGGTCGGGCCGGGCAGTGCCGCGACTGGGCAGGGGGCCGGGCCGGGCCGGGCCTGGCCGGGCCAGGACAGGCTGTGGAGCGTCGGAGCCCCCCACCCAGGCTGGGTTCCTCTGCAGCCTCCAGGAGAGCCCCTGGGACCCTGGCCCCTTGAACCCTACCCCTGCCCCCATCCGGTCCTCGCCCCTCTGGGCCGGTATTCCCCAGCCTACTCCTGGAAAGGATTTCTCAGGACGCAGGGGTCCTGGCTAGAATCCCTCGGGGTGGGTAAGTGGAGGGGGCGTGGACAGGTGGGGGCTGCGTGGTGGGGGCAATTTTGTATTGGGAGCTACTAAAAACTGGCCACCTGGACAGGTTTTTGTTTTTGCCATGGTCATTAATGCCCTCAATGTTTGAAAAAGGCCATTTCACAGTGTTTTATGGGCCTTAAAAATCAGGGACTCTTTGAAAATGGTTGTGGGGCAGCTTAGTGACAGCCAGATGATTAGCAAGAGCTCAGTATCAGGTCTTTAGGGGACCAAGTGTGTGGGGTGGTGGTACAGGAAATCTGGGACTCCCCAGCTGGTACAACTGAGGCTGCAGCCAGGGCCAATGGGCCGGGGAGCAGGAGGCCGGGACTGGGAGCCCTGGGGCCAGCTGGGCTCTGCCAGATACCTGGGTCACTTGGAGGCCCCTGGAAGGCCCCCTGGACTTTCTGCCACATTGCTCAGGCTCTGGGTGCCTACAAACTGCCCCCCATGCCGTTGGGCTGCTCATTAGGGGTTGTGGCCCAAATTAAACTGCAGTAGCCACCCCCAGAACCTCCAAAGGCCTGGGGGGCAATGAGGGGCACAGAGGACAGTGTGTGGCTATCTCTGGGTCTCTGTTCTCCCAGGTGGACCAGTGGGGGTTGTGGCGATGCTGTCCAGGGTGAGGTCCAGCTACGGTTGCCGTCCTGTCTGTCAGCACCAGCACCCAGCACATCTGTAGGGCCTGGGCCCCGGACCCAGCCTGAGGGTTATGAGGAGGTTTCCTGAAGGAGAAAAGCCAGAGTGGAGTCTGGAATGGAGCAGGGGGGACCATGGCCTGCCCTCAGTCTGCTAGGTGGGGCTGGAACCTGGGGTTTTGCTTGGGTGTGAAGAAGGAAGAGGCTGGGGATGCAGCTAGGTGCTGGTTCCTCATAGACCGAGTCATGATTTATGGGGACCCTCAATTATATCCCCTTAGCAGGGGCCACAAAGTCTCAAATCTGCCCAGAAATCCACACCTCGGAGCTCAGGTGAGGTCTTCTTCAGGTTCTCCCTCTGCAGTGCAGATACTGTCAGAAAGAGCAAGCTACAAATGGAGAAGTCAACAACACTCTAGTGAGAATTACCCTGCCAATTAATTTTCTCAGAAATCGGGGACTCAGGGACCGGTGTGTAAACACGAGTCCCTTAATGGGGGGTTCAGACAGGGTGGGTGTGGGCACACAGGGGTCCGTGCTAAAGCCTGGCACTGGATCCCAGGTGTGGGGACTCCAGCTCCTCCCAAGGGGCAGGGGATCTCCCGTCTGTGATGTGGCTGAATGACTCACCGCCTCATCTGTGGGCCAACATGTGTGGTGGGGCAAAGGTCTCTGGCCTGGTAGCCGTGTGAGCTGGAGGGGGGGCACTTCTCCATCCAGGCCTTACAGTTTCCCTTAGGTAAATGGGGCAGAGTAACCCCCTCCTTCCCCTACCACAAGGGTTCTGGGAGGTGTGGAGCCTGGGGTGTGGTGGTGCTTGGCACTCCGTGTTCTTTGGAAGCTGGAATGAGGTTCCTCAGGCCAGTTATGGGTGTGAGATGTCTGGAAAAACGAAGTAGACTGGACGGTGGCCTCATCTATCTGTGCTGGGCTGGGCACCAGCACCTCGCTCTCCCAACCTCTTGGGGTGCGCCCATAGAGGAGATGGAAGCACAGAGGATTTCAGAAACTCCCCACCTTCAGTGTTGCCTTCAAAAGTATACTGCTGTGGCATGTGGGCAAGGAGGGTTCTGGGGATGGGTGGGCTGTGGGGGGAGTAGGCGCATGGGTGGGGTGGGCCCAGGGGAGCAGGCATGAACCCAGGGAGAGGGTGCATAGATGGGGTGGAACCCTAGGGCTTCTGAGGGACTGCAGTGCGGCTGGTCTGTGTGGACAGGCGCTGGAGGGGGCACTGTGCAGAGAGCAGGATGTGGGTGAGCCCCTCTTTCCCCTCTGTCCTTCCCATCCTCCAGGACAGGGAAGCAGCCCTCAGCAGACAGTGTGAACCCCATGCCCAGTGTGAGCATGAGCACAGCTCCCTGCGCTTTGTCTTCAGGAGGTCTCAGATCCAGCCTGCATTGGCTTCCAGCAGACCCCTATTTCCTAATCCTCAAGGGTTGTTCTTGTCAGGCATCCCATTTGCAATGCCCTCGAGGGCCGCTGCCCGTCTGGCAGGGAGATCAGCTTCAAGGACACAGACAGTGTCTGCGGTGGGTGCTGAGTGCCGTAGGGGAGACCCTGGGCTGCTTTTGGAAGAGGAGCATCATGGAAGAGGAGCCCTTTCGCTCTGGGCTTTGGAGGATGAGTAGGAGTTTGCTAAACCCAGATGGGGAGGAGGGCCAGTTTGGCAGGTGGCGTTTGGGAGGACCTGGGGCAGCTGCCACAGCATGCGCCGGGCCTGAAGATGCCTCCTGCGCCTGGGTTTCCAGCTCTTGCTTCCTGAGCCGAGTTGGAGCTGATATCCATGCCTCCCAGCCACGGGATGCTCTTTTCAGTGTGACCAACCAGGCAGAAGAGCTGAGTGACAGGCAACTCGTGGCCTGGTCTGTGGAAGGCAGGGCTGCCTCTGAGCCTGCGGGTTGGGGCCAGAGTCCGGGCCTGGGCCTGCCACTCAGGAGGGAGCCCGGGGCAGCCTGGAGGAAGCACTGGGCCCTGGGGCCCGGCTGCAGAATCGGGGTGTACCCTGCACTGCGGAGGGCCTGGCTGTCCCTGGGGCTGATGACTGGGTGTGGGTGGGGACGGGCCCCAGTGGCCTGAGAACACTCGCACTTCCCTGCCCCCTCTGTCCCTCTCTTTACACCTGGCCCATAAGCGGCCAGTCTGGCTGGAGACCCTAAGCTGGAGAACCACTGGAAAAGAAATGGTTACTTTCTGCCTGGAGAGGGGGTATTAAGCCTCACCTGGGGCTGAGGCCTGGTCTCTTTAGGGCCTCCATGGAGCCCACGTGGCTCCCAGGTGCAGCCATTCTCCTCCACGAGGTGCTTGGGGGATTTGGCTGAAGCCAGGGCCAAAAAGCCAAAGCCTCTTCCTCCATAGCCTTTGCCCAAATGCAGAGGCCAGGGCTGGGGATAGGGGGAGGCGATGAGGGACCAGCTATGGCTGGTGGTCTCAGGTCCTGCAGGATGGTAAGGAGGGGAGGGTGGGCGGGTCTCCTGTCTTCGATGCAACTCACGCAAGGGCTGTCCTGGTGTCTTCTTGTCAGCTTGCTGCCGAGGCTGCCACCTCAGCTGCCTGTCTGTGAAATGGGTCCATGTGTCCCCATGCCTTGGCCCGTCTCCTCTTCCCTACAACAGGCTGCTGTGCAGCCTGGGGCCCTTTCCAGGCCACCTTCTCCATCTGCTCACTGAGGAGGGACCCCTGAGTCAGCGAGGCTCCAGCTTGGCTGCACCCAGCTGAAAGGTGAGTTGGTTCCCAGCCTCAGGCTCCTCATACGTAAGATGGGGCAGCAATGCTTGGCAAGTTCAAAGGAGATCCCTGTTAATGCTTGGCTTGGAGACTCCCTTGAGCCCACTCTGGGCTGCAGGAGGCCCTGGTTGTGGGGCAGGGTCTCTGCCACCTTCACCAGCCATCCTCACACTTGTGGGTGCCCCAGGGTGGGGCACGTCCCAGCCCTCTCTCTGGTCAGCAGAGGCTAAGTGAGGCCTGGGCTCAGGCACCAGAGGGCCCAGGTAGGGGAGGCGGCCGCCAGGTCAGGCCAGGCCGGCTCCAGCGGAGGCTGAATGGGCACTCTGTCCTGCCACCCTCGGCTGTCATCTGCCGCTGGGATTTGGTTTCCTGGACTGGTGCGGCTGCAGGTGGATTCTGCAAGGCCGGGTGACCTCGCAGCTTGGAGCCCCCGTGTCTCCTGAGCCAGGCGGTGGCCGGGGGGTGGGAGACAATGAAGCCTTTTCCTGGGGAGCAGGGGCCAGTCCGCGTAGGGGAAAGCAGTCTGCCTGTGCCCTGAGGCCTCTTGGGCTCGCTGGCGGCAAGAGGGGCCGCTCGGGACAGCGGTGCCAGGCCTTGGCAGGGCTCTCTGCAGGCTGGGCCAGCCAGGCGCCGGGTAACTGAAGCCACCTGGACACACGCGGGGGCTGTGGAGCGTTTTCGGGACACAGTTCTGCCTGCTTCACCTCAAGGATGGTGGCAGGGGGGCCATGGGGGAGGGAGGGAGGAGTGTGTTCGTGGCACCAGGGGCCTGGGGACTGACCCCCACTGGCCTCTCTGCTCCCTAGCGCAGCCTGGCTTCTGCTGAGATGAGGGCTGGGGCCGGCCCTCTCTGCTGGCTCCTCCGGAGGCACAGGTGCTCCTGGTAGTGCAGGGAGTGAAATTGTCTTGCCCCCCGCCCTTGTTCTTTGGGCCACGAGTTAAACTGAGCAGATTAGCAGAAGGAAAGAAATAATTTTCATTATGTACGTACGAGGGAAGGCCACAAAGCGTGACACCCAGAGAAGGGCAAGGTGATTTAAGCTTATATGTCCTCCCAACCACAGAGAGGAATAGGGGCTGGGGCTTCTGGGGTGGGGGCTGCACCAGTCGTGGGAGGGCCAGGGAGGGAGCATGAGTGACGGTGGTCTCCAGATGCAGATGAAAAGTCCCCTGGGACCCACATTGCCTCTGGGCAGCCCTCAGCGGAGGAGGTGAGGGGCCTTCTGGGCCGATGCCCCTGGCGGCCGCCTCTCCTGCCTGCAGCTCCAGGTGGTCTACATCCCAAAGCAGCATAGTCTGGCGTTTCTCGAGCTCCTTCAGTGGTGGGGGTGAGGGGGCTTCCTGGTGGCACAGAGCTCCAAGTTTGAAGTCCAGCGGGTGCGGTTGGTCACTGGGTGCCCTTGGACGAGGGCTGAGCTTCCAGGGCCTCATCTCTGTCCCATCAGCTGGGGGCATGGTAGCATCAGGTAGTCGATGAGGGGCCCCGGCTGGCACTTGCACTGGAAGGCCTCTGTGGGGTGACTCTCCTCATCCCAGGGCCAGGGAAGGGGTGAGACCAGGGCTGGGGGCACACAAAGCCCTCTTCCTGGGAGTGTTCCCAGCTTTCACTGGTTCATTTGTTCCATCCACAGCCCCCAACCTGGGTATGCCCACCTGGCTGTCTTTGCCCCAGAACAGTGGTCGTAGCCAGTGGTGTCAGAGGAGTGGCCGGGCCTGGGAGCCCGAGAGGAGGCAGCTTCTGAGCCCGGACTGTTGCCCGTGCACCTGCTTGATGGGGCCGGGAACAGCTCTGGGAGAGTGATTTTGGCTCTTAGGGTGCATGTGGGGTGGCTGGGTGTGAGTTTGAATCTCAGCTCAACCCAGAATGGGTGAATTTCCATTTGCATAGGGAGGCTGGACACAGTTAGGTCACAGCTGTCTGAGAAACTCTTTGCAGAAGGTCAGGAGAACAGGAAGGTCTCCACAGATGGGTTCCATAGCATCAGATGGGTGAGGACAGACAGCTGCAGAACAATTCGGATCACAGGCCGCTGCTGTGTGGTTTCAGAGCCCTTAGCACTTGCAGGTTAACTACCCAGGTGGGAGAGGTGTGTGGCTGTGGCGGGGGTGAATGGCCCTGCTTTGTCCAGCCTACGGCTGTGGGACATTTGGGAACACACAATAGGAAGGTTTTGTGGAGGTGAATGGCCCTGCTTTGTCCAGCCTACGGCTGTGGGACATTTGGGAACACACAATACGAAGGTTTTGTGTCTATACTTTGAAAAAATTCCCAAGGCGGCTGGGAGCGGTGGCTCATACCTGCAGTGCTTTGGAAGGCCGAGGTGGGAGGATCACTTGGGCCCAAGAGTTTGAGACCAGCCTGGGCGACACAGCAAGACTCTGTCTCTACAAAAAAATAAGCAAAATTAGCCAGGCGTGGTGGTGTACTGTAGTCCCCACTTCTTGGGAGGCTGAGGTGGGAGGACCACTTGAGCCTAGGAGATCAAGGCTGCAGTGAGCTGTGATCAGGCCACTGTACTCCAGCCTGGGTAACAGACTGAGACCCTGTCTCTAAAAAAAAAAAAAGTCCAGGGCAGATGATGTGGGGCATCTGGGGGGATTCTGAAGGAGCCCAACAGGACCATTGAGGACCGTGGGCTTGAGATGTCACCGTAGAACATTCTGGAAGCACCTATCACATGTGCTGCGTTGCCTGGCTCACAGCCCACCCTAACCATGTGAGGTAGGATGTGGTCTCAGCCTGTTTGATAGATGAGAAACCAAGGCAATGCACGGTCAAGCACCAGGCCCAAGTTCCCAGGAAATTCAGGCTCTGGAAGCTGTGAAAGAGCCTCCCCATCCTATGGCTCTTCTATGCCTCAATTTCCCCTTCTGTAAGTGGTGGTTCTCAGCAGCTGCGTCGATGGTTTGGAGATGCCGCTGAGGCCTCCTCCTAAAGCGGTGAGATGAGACATTTCCCTTGCAGACCCCCTCTGAGGTGGTGCCTGCTCCCTGAACTGGGCAGTGTGGGTTCACCCCAAGGATGAGGTGGAGGCCCAGAGAGGAGACAGGCTTGGCTGGGGTCAAAAACGGAGTTACAGGCGGAGCGAGAGCCCGCAGGCCCCCACGCCGCAGGGCCAGCCAGTCAAGTGGAAGACGCACGGGAAGTGTCTGCCCCTCTTTTCCTCTCCAGAGTCCTTTGACATGATCTCGTGGACCGAGAGGGGATTTGATTAAGACCCTTTGAAATTATTTAATGGCATTCACCACCATCCTGACAACCCCTCTTTAGAAGCCTTTCTCAAGCAGCCTCCTGCCCACCCCCAGGACGGGCCCTTTCCCTGGGCGATGCTACGGTCCAGCTCCCTGGGCCTCTGCTGGAGTCTCTGGGGTCGGCCCAGGCCAGGCCCATCAACACTCAGGGGCTGCACAGTTCCACCCTCAAGTGCCCTGGAGGGGCCCCACCCCGGGGTTGTGGCCTCTCCCAGCTGGAGCCTCCTCTTCCAGAGCCTGGCCAGTCCACCTCTAGCCCATTGCTCCCATTGTCCCTGGCAGAGATGCTTCCGGCCAGGCCTTCTTGGGGTGGCTGGGGGCACAGTTGGGGTGAGTGCTCCCTGAGTGCCCACCTGAAGGCTCCTCCCACAGATCCTCTGCCCCTCTGGGTGCTCGGGGGGCTTCTGACACCAGCGGCATCCTGGCCTTGCTATGGGGCCACTCTTCCCCATGGCACCTGGGCCACTTGTGACCTCCCTCGGCTGTTCTGGGAGAACTGGATGGCATTTGGGGCCCTTCCCTCTCTGGTCACCTGTGCTGACTCAGGCTCTGCCTGGCAGAAGTGTCCCGTGGGTGGATTTGCTGCGGAGACCTCTGTCTCAGGGGCTGTTTGTGTGTCAAAGCTCCAGGTTGCTGGACTGAAGAGGACGTCAGTACATGGTTCTCCCTGAGCACAGTGAGCTCTGTCATTGCTGTTTGGTCTTGCGTTGGCGCCGGCTTTTGCAATATCTTCTCTTCCACTGAGGATCCTGGGGTCAGTTCTGTGGAGCTGTGGTTGCAGTGAGCGACTGAAACTCAGAGAAGCCTGGCTCCTGCCCCAGGGCACCTGAGAGAGGGGCTGAGCCAGGCTGTGAATGAGGGGATCCCTGGCTTCTGGCTTCAGCTTTTCCTTCATTCCCACTGCCTCGTGCCACACACACAGTGGAGGCACTTCTTGTGTTGTAGGTATGTGTGTGTGTGTAGCGGTGTCGGGGTGTAGGTGTGTAGATGTGTGTGTGTGTGTGTGTGTAGGGTTGTAGGTGTGTAGATGTGTGTGTGTGTAGGGGTGTCGGTGTGTAGGGGTGTCGGTGTGTAGGGGTGTCGGTGTGTAGGGGTGTAGGTGTGTAGGTGTATGTGTAGGTGTGTGTAGGGGTGTAGGTGTGTAAGTATGTGTATTGTGTGTGCAGGTTTGTAGGGTAGGTGTGTGTGTAGGTATGTGTGAAGGTGTGTGTGTGTGCAGGTGTGTGTAGCTGTGTGTCAGCATTGGCCAGGGGAGGGATGTGGTTAAGAAACAACCAAAAGTCATTCAGTGGGGTTTGGTGAATCACATTTGCGGTCAGGCTGTAACAGAGTTTCTTGAGGATCTAACTGGGAAGTTTGAGATTTTCTGTGTGGCAGGTGCAACAGCAGCCTTCTTGGAGCCAGTCGGTGTGTTCTGAAGGCCCACCTGACCCTTGGCTGTATCAGGCAGGCACAGTGCTTTGTGGCTTCTTGGCCTGTGTGGGCCAGCAGAGGAGCTGTGCTCAGACCACCCTGGAATTTTGAACATCTCTTCCTCAGATCTGGCCTCTCTGGCCAAAGGTCTGGCAAGGCCAGCTCTTGCTTTCAGCCAGTCAGTTCATTCCTGCCCTCTGGCTTCCTGGCTGAGCTACCTTCTCTGCTGTGGAAGCCCCATTTCTTCTCTGAGGCTTTTCCAATGCAAAGTCACACAAACAGGCGCAGCACAGGCCCGGCCTTCCCCCAGCCTTGGTCTCCCTGTCTGTACCGGGTGGGGGGCTTCACGAGCTCTGAGGCCTTTTTGCTCTGGGGTCTCTCCCCTCAGCATGAGTCTTCTCTGTCCTCGGGCACCTGTTAACTCCTCTCCGTGGGTTTGCCGCTGCCACCGGCTTCCCAGGGCGCAGGCCCAGGAGGGAGATGAAGCTGTGAGCCTGGTTCCCAGAGCCTGCACCTCCTGCCCTGATGCTGCTCAGCTGCAATGCCACAGAAAGACCCCATGCGTCCTGCAGGCTGGAAAGGAGCATGTCACGGGGAATGTTGTGGAGGGGCCGGCAGTGGGGAGAGGAGAAGGTGGGGGGGGTTTCCAGGGTCATGGGTCATGCAGGTGGGGATCACTGTGCCCAAGTGACAAGCCCTGGACTCCATCTCGACACCCCCACCCCTGCACCTTGGGGCCACTCCCGGGAAGTGGAAGGAGCTGTGTGTTTGAGGCCCCAGAAGGCACCAGGATGGATTCTGTCCACTGAGCCATCCATGGCCACCTCTGGGCCCGGCTTGTGTCTTCCTGGGCCTCGGGCTCGCTGCCTGTACGTGTGCGAAACCCAAGCCTGGGGATAGGTGGGCGGTGGGGCTGGGCTTGGCTCTGGGAATTAAGGGCGGCCTCGTCCCCTCTGGGAGCCATGGGTGAGGGTCTAGAAGGAAGAGTGGGGAGCGGGCCCAAGCATCTCCTGGAGTCCAGCAGGGCTGCCCTGGGCCAGGCTGTCCATCTCCTTTACGCTCTGCCTCACTCAGGTGCCTTGAGCTGTGGGGGCTGCAGGGGAGGGGAGTTGTAGGAGGCCTGGTACGGGGTGCTGAAGAGGAGGGCCAGGAGGTCATAGCAGGACCTACTGAGGGAGAAGGATCTTGAGGGCAGAGTGGATGCCCCGCCTCCTATTACCCAGCCAGTGCCTGGGTGGGACAGGCTGGGGCCTTGGCCTCTAAGGCCTTGGGCTGGGGTGGCAGCCCCCAGCCCTCCTGCACTGCCCGACTGAGGGCCCTCTAGGCTTCCTCACCAAGGCTCCACAGTGGAGTTGGGAAGGGCCGGGGTGGGACCTGTCAGCTTCCAGGGGGCCCTGGCCCCGGCTGTCTGCACTCAGAGGCCAGTGGAAACTGAAGCTCTGTTTGGCTTTGGCTGCCCCAAGCATCCTCCAGGCCTGGCTGCCTGGGACCCTGGCTGACCTGGGTGGGGACAGGAAAGGTGAAGGGTGCTGGGACACAGGCCACAGGCCTGATCTCCCAACTAGCTGGCCCTCCAGGGCCACAAGAATAGGGCCAGAGGCAAGAGCGGGGTTGGTGCAGTTGGGGGCCGAGAATGGTGAGGCTGAGACACGCTTAAGATCCCCAAGGAGGCCGGGTGCGGTGGCTCATGCCTGTAATCCCAGCGCTTTGGGAGGCCGAGGCGGGCGGATCACGAGGTCAGGAGATCGAGGCCATCCTGGCTGACATGGTTAAACCCCATCTCTACTAAAAATACAAAAAAAAATTAGCCGGGCGTGGTGGTGGGCGCCTGTAGTCCCAGCTACTCGGGAGGCTGAGGCAGGAGAATGGCGGGAGGCGGAGCTTGCAGTGAGCTGAGATCGTGCCACTGCACTCCAGCCTGAGAGACAGAGTGAGACTCCGTCTCAAAAAAAAAAAAAAAAGATTCGCAAGGAACCCCTGGGTCCTAGAGCCCGGAGGGCTGTGCTGAGAGGAGGCTGGGGTGCTGGGGGGAGCAGGCTTTGGCACAGCTCAGATGGGCACTCCAAATTAGGGACTTGATATAGTTGAGAAAGGGCAGTCTTCATCCCTGCAGGTGACTCAGCAAATCCCCTGGAGATGGGGGTGCTGTGTGTGGTGGCCCCAGGAGCCCTGGCTCTTGTCTGCCTTCCTGCTCCTTCCCCCAGCTGTCTGGCTGCCCCAGATCAAAACACCTGGCCTGATCCCTCCTTCAGGGCGCAGGGTGTGGACCCCTCTCCTGTCCATTGGAGGGACGCCTGGTGATGCCCTGCTTGGGTCCTGGTACCTCTGCTGCACATGCAGCACTGGGCAGCCTCCTTCCAACTTTTCATTTTATTCCTTAATTTAACTGGCACTTCCTGAGCACCCAGCTGGGGCCAGGCTTGTACTAGGCACTGCCAGCCCCGGCTCCTTTTTGGGGCCTCAAAGGCCCAGCACAGCCCCTCTCCCAGTGGTGGGCCTGACTCCTGACCACCACGCTGGTGGGGGACTGCCTGCCAAGATGGTGCTCAGAGGAGGTCCTGAGTAGGGAGGGGGGCTGGACGTCAAGTACAGGGTGAGGATGGGGAAGCTGGGCTCATGGCGGGGGATGCCCAGGGTGAGTGGCAGGGTTGCAGCCTGTGGGGCCTCACAGGCCCACTCAGCAGTGGGGAGTCATGGTTGGCTTGAGAGCAGGATGGGGAACTGCCAGCTTGGGTTTGGACAGCTCTCCCTGGCACCGAGGGGCAGGGAGCTTGGTGGGGTAAGGCTAGATGCAGGAGGGGCCTCAGAAAGGAGCTCCGAGGCAACAGGCAGGAGAGCAGCAAGGAGGCAGAGCCCAGTATCACCCACCCAGGTGGTTTGTTTGGCTTCCTTTATTAAGCACCTACTGTGTGCTCACATGTCTCATCTCCATCAAGCCCCTGCCCCGTACGCCCCTTCTAGGGGGCACTTTTACTGTTCCCCATTTCGCAGACAGGACTGGGGTGGGAGCTGAGGGGCTGCAGGTCGGCCCCGCCCTTGACTCCTCCTCCTCCTGGCTCCCTGGCCCGAAGATGGGAGAACCTCGGGCTTGGCCAGTGCCAGCCCTAGAGACGGGCTTCCCCATGGCCACGCCCAGCACCCACGAGGGGACATCTGGGGGCAGGCAACGGGGGAGGAGAGCCTGGCAGAGGAGGTGGGTGCCCCAGGAAGCAGGAGCAGCCCCTCCCCCAGTCACCCCCAGCAGATGCTCCTGGCACCCATTGGACCCCGAGGACCTCAATAAGGGAGCCCAATTTGGAGACAAAGGCCGGCTCTGGGGACAAACACTCATGGCTATCCTCAGCCAGAGCAGCCAGGCAGCCGCGGTGAGGCCACAAAGGGCCCGAAGAAAGGGGCTGCGGGAGGGGCCGTGAATGGGTCGGGGCTGCACATGCCACCGTTGCCCGGGCGACGGCCCTCTCGCAGAGAGGTCTGCCGGGCCATTGTCCGGGGCCCGCAGGACGTGCCACACACCAGATGGTCGTGTGCTGTCTAGGTCACTTATCGGGGGACAGAGTGAAGGAATGCGGCCGGCACGGCGGGCCGAGGCGCCATCTGTTCCCTCAGTCCACGGGCACCGGCGGGCATTGAGCACTCGGCCGGCCAGGCCCAGCCTCCGCCATGGCTTTAATTAGCTAATTCCATAATTGGGCTTTATTTCAGGTAAATTGCATTTCACACCCGAGAGGGCTGCAATGGCCCGTCCAGGAGAGGAGTCCTCGGGCACTTTGTGCGCAGTCCATAATATGGACAACAAGGCGGGCTGGGTGCCGGGGCCGCGCCCGGCCCAGATGGGCGGCCCCACGGAGCTCCCTGTGGGCCAGGGTCCCGGGGTGGGCGGCCGGGGCTGGGGGGCCTGGGCGCTGTGGAGGGCCCTGCTTTCCGGCCGGCATCCCCGGGTTTCCACAAATATTTACCCAACAAGGAAACAACAGTTCCTGCCTTTCAGTAACTGCTGCTCCCGCTCCTCCCGGAGGGGTGCAGGCCAGGGAAGCCTGGGAAGCCCCGTGCTGCCCCTCCACCTCGTCCATCCCGGTCAGTGCTGGCCAGGCCAGATGCCAAGACCCATGGGTTGGGGGCACGGGCCCAGTGGGCTTGGCACCAGGTGGGACCCAGGGCCTTTCCCTCTAACAAGGGCTTCCACCCCTACTCCACACAGAAACCTGGGGCCCCTGTCCCTGCCACCTGCTGCTGGCCGCCTCCTGCCCCCAGTGGACTCAGGACAGCCCCATCCTTGATATCTCAGATGCCCCAAGCCCTCATATCCTGAGACTTCGGGATGGGCTCTGGAAAGAGGACAGAAGGCGGCTGCAGTCCTGAAGGACTGAGAAACGGTCCAATAGCTGAGGTGGGGGCACAGCAGATGCACCTGCCCCGGTTGAGTGTGTCTGTGCCGAGAGTGAGGCACTCTTTCCACCTTAGGAGAGGCGGGCCTCACAGAAAGCTGCAGGAACAGGGTCAGGGCGAGCAGGGTGGTGGCCCCTCTGTCCCACTCAGAGAACTGGACAGGCTAAGGGAGCATCGTGTTACCAATGGGGAAATAGAGGCCCGGAGGAGGCCAGGGGTGAGCATATGGGAGCCTCAGGGGCCCCAGGCCTTCCTTGCACCACAACCCCTCCAGAGTTTAGCCCTTGGCATCCTGGGGAATGGGCCTGGGTGGGGCCTGCTCCCAGAGTGGAGCATGTGGGTCCTTGATGAAGGGCCACCCTGGCCTGGGAGGGGCAGACAGAGAGGCCCAGACAGAGCCCATCTGCCGCAAGGGCATAGAGTCTGCTGGAAGACAGGCAGTGACCACACTGTGACTGCACTTCATGGCCAGGGCCAGCCCAGGGCCCAGAACAGGAGCGACGTCGCTAAGCTAGAGCCTTCGATGGCATCTTGCAGCCCCTCTGAACCCTGACCTACTCCTCAGTACACGGACATAGCGTTCCTATTCCACAGCCACCTGGGCACTGCTTCCAGGGGAACTGCAGGGGTCCTGTCTGTGAGAGACCCCATGGATGCCCCAGGAACCAAGGTGAGAGCAGTGCCCAGCCCAGCCTGTGATTCTCCACGTTTATTAGGAAAAGCTTGCACAATTAATAATCAAAATCACACTGTGAAACTCATTAAAACACAGATCCAAATCACCACAAATTATTGATTTCTATGCGATGTAATGCCCAGAAGGAACCCCTGTCCTGTGTAGGAACCGTCACTTCTCTGCGGCTCAGCAGCTGGCAAGGGGAGGTGGCAGTCCCCTTCTGTGTGTTTGGCTGGCTGCTGGGACTGGGCGAGGGGTTGGAGGCGGGAGCCCCACGCACAGTGGGCTCAGGGGCGGAGAGGCAGGGCTCCTCTCCAGCTAGGAAGAGCTGGCAGTCTAACCCAGGGAAGTGGGCGTTCCCCCCACTCAACCACGTGCCCTGGGGAAATGGTGAGACTGTCCCTCCTGCTGGAAGCTGGGGGCTCAGGAGCAGTCTCCACAGTCTCCTGCCCATGGGTCAGCATTTCCTGAGAGTGAGGGAGCCAGGCCCAGGCCCTCCAAATGGGCTCCTGGGCTTTTATTGCCGGCGGCCCTGTAGTCAGCGTGGGCTGGTCCTGCCCTGCCTGTGCCTGGCAGGGTCCTGGATTTGAGGCTGGGGTCCAGGGGTTGCTCTGTCTCCCCTCAGGAAGCCCCCTGGGCCAAGCAGGGTGGGCCTGCACTCAGCCTGTGCTACTTCCTGGCCATACATGGGCCAGGCCCTGTGCCCTGCCACTGGGTCCCAACCACCATGCCAGTGATGTCAACATCACCATGTGGGGGCCAGGGCGCTTGGGGTAACAACTCAGACCTGAGACGGGGCCCCCACACCGGCCAGGAAGAGGTGGCCTTGCTGAGCCCCCAAGTGCAGGCTGTGCCAGACAGCATGGTCCATGGGGTATTGGGGCCTCTGAGAGTGGGGCTCTTCTCTCTGGGCCTTTTAGGAGGTGGCCTCCTTCAGAGAGGGCCAGGTGGGGCCACTCTTGGCCTCCCCTCTCACTCAGGCCCATCCCCCAGCCCCATCCCCTCCTCAGGACCCCTCATCGGGGCCCCTCCTGGGCACGGTCAGCTGCTCGTAGGTGGGCAGGGTGTTGCTGGGCAGGAAGAGCTCAGGGTCGACGGAGCCGCCACTGCCGCAGGGCTGGGTGATGTGGGCCCCGCCCTCTCTGGGGGGGCCGCCGCTGCCGGGGGTGCTGCCACCGTGCAAGGAGAGCAGCTGGTGAAGCATGTCGGTGATGAGTGCCAGCCTCTGGTCCAGCTGCGTCACCTGCGGGGACAAAGGCAGACGAGAGAGTCAGTGGTGGGAAGCACCCAGGTGTGCAGACAGCCTCAGGGCCCAGGTTTGGGGCCAGAGAAGGGAAGGTGCCAACCGTCTCTGCAAGTGCATGCTGTATGCAGGCGGCACGCACGTGTGCACCCTATGTCTGCAAGGCCCTCGGTCGCGCCTGTGTGTGTGCAAGGAATGTGCATGTGTGCCGATTGGAGTCCATCCCGTGCGTGCTGGGAGTCCCTATATGTGTCCACAGGCATTCAGGCTCAGGGCCAGGAGCTCTCCTCTCCTCCTTCTCTGCTCCCCAGGCTGGCCGGCCTTCTGTGCCACATCCCCGCATGGCAGGGTCTGCACCAGGGACCCGGACCTGAAATATTTGGGTTTGCGGCAGCCTTTGGCTTCTTGAGGCCAGGCTTGGGGACATTTGGGTTAAGGGTCAAGAAAGGCTGGGGGCTATGTCTACTGTGTCTGGAGGAGAACTGGACAGAGGGCAGAGTTCAGCAAGGCTGGCTCATGGGCAGGGCCTGGGGTGGTTGAGGAGGCAGAGGGCTTGGGCTTTGCCTGGGTGTGCAGGGGATGCCCCTGCTGGGCCACTTCCAGGAGGGGCTTGCAGGGCACAGGGCTTGTGCCTCTGTGATGCTTTCTGCAAGGGGGTGGGGGTGGGTTTTTTTGTCATCCCCCAGGAACCATTATGCCATGTCTTTAACCTAGCGGGGACACCACTATTTTCCCAGACACCATCTGCACCCACATTCTGTGGTCAGAGCAGTGCCCTAGAGCGTGCCCTCTGGCTAGCCATGTGGCCTCCACCTTCTCAGGGGCTGGTTCTGCAGTGAGCTATGTGCCAGGGTGGCTGCCCTGCAAAGCTGGCAGGGAGGTCAAGGCAGGACAGAACCCGAAATGCACCCAGCACAGAGAGTAGGTGATCAGAGGCCTCGCAGTGCTGCGGAGGCAGCAGAGAAGCCCCAAACGAGTGGACAGCCAGGTGATCTGAGAGCTCCTTGGAAGGACAGCACCGCTGGGGAATGAGGCTGGAGCCCGCCCCGGGTGGGAAGTGGCCATCCAGCCTTGATGGGGAGACTGGAAGGCCCTGGCCGGCAGGCCGGCACCCTGGCACCCTCAGAGCAGGTGCTGGGTGGAGCAGGGCCAACCCCAGGGGCAGACTAGGGCAGGTGAGGGAGTCCAGGTTGGGGACCCCTCTCCCTAGGAGGTTGGACCTGGGGGCCCTAGCATGAGTGAGGGTTCGGGGAGGGCGCACAGCTCTGTTGGTGGCCACAGGAGACAGGGCTGGTCCTTCAGCCTGCGGTGTTCTTGCAGGAGAGCCCCTCAGCGTGCTCTGTGGAGAATGAAGTAGACCCTCCCCCACCGTGGGTACCTGGAGGCCTGGAAAGACCTAGAAGTGGTGGGGGAGGGGCAAACAGATCAGCACGCGATAAGGGCTGAACAGCAGAGCTGCTTCAGGGAAACGTATGGCTCCAGAGAGAGGCACGAAGATGACTCAGCCACAGCAACGTCAACCACTGGCCCTAAGCACAGGCAGCAGGCGGGAGCTGGCCCGGTCCACCTGGCCGTGCACTCCAGGGGTCTGCACCCTAGGCTGCGCCGGGCGGGCCTGGTCCCTCATGCGCCCGGCCCCACTGCTGATCCAGCCGGATAGGCTTGGGGTGAGGTGTGGGCCAGGGCTGGGTTCTGTGCGGGTGAGACAACCCCAGGGAAGATGCTGCTGGGTGACGTGGGCACAAGCCCCGGGATGGCCAGAGAGGGAGCAACCAGTTTGCTAGGGTCTGGGTGGACCCGGGCCAGCTTCAAAGGCTGGGTGCTGTGGTCGTCACCCACAGCACCTACCACGGAGGCTGAGCAGGCTAAGGAAGAGGCGGCCAACAGGGTGCTGTGAGAGGCTGAGATGAGAGGGGGGCGCCTGCCTGAGTGGGGCCGAGCGTCTGTCTAGAGGGCTAGGTGGGCAGCCTCCACCTGGGAGGGTGGGACTGTGCCCTGCCCAGAGCAGGAGCCCAGGGGACCCACTTCCAGCCCTGGGTGGTGGGGGCTGCAGTGTGGAGGCTCCCTGGCTCCCCTGTGGTTCTGCCTTGCAGGTATGGGGTGAGTCTGAGACCCAACTGTCCTGAACACAAGGGCAGGTGTACATCCGAGGTCTGACGGTCCAGGCCAGAGGGAGCCCCATGTTTTATTTTTCCCAGATAAACCTGATGTGAGGCCCAGACTATGGAGGAAAGGGGTGCAGGACTTCTGTGGTTTGGCAGGGGCAGGGGCCCAGGGCCATCCACCGGGGTCTCTCACACCCAAGGACCCGCCAGCACTTCAGTGCTCTGCAAAGCCACTTGGGGACGAGCCACAGAGGCCCACACTCCATCCCACAGATGCAGACACTGAGGCCCAGGAAAAGAGGGTCAGAGTCACTGGCTGAAAGTGCCATGTCTCCCATCCTGTCCCCACAGCTCCCACCCCAAGGCTCCATCTCGAGACCACGGAGCTGCCATATGGGGGGACACAGTGTGTCAGGTAGGGAGCCGGCGAAAGCAGAGGGCAGGGTGGGGCGGGGCCTCTGGGAGGGGGACCGGCCTGAGGTCTCGTTCTTGTTCAGCCACACCCTGACCCCCGTGGCTCCTGCTGCCGGCAGGACCAGCCCTCTCAGTCCCACGACCTGCTCATGCCTGGTAGGGGTCATGGGAGGTCTCTCAGCCTTCAGGGTGCACATGAGGAAACTGAGGCCCAGAGACCTACGAGAGCGTAGCAGATCAAAGGTGCAGCCAGCGTGGGTCTTTGAGGGCAAAGCCTGGGCTTGTGTCCTAGGGCTCACCTCAGCTCCCTGGGCCCCGCATACTGGTAGTGTGGAACGAGGTTTGCCCCGCGTGGCTTACTGTCACTAACTGTGCAGGCCCCAGCTTGGGTATCAATTGGTTTGGCATTAATTAAAGCACCAAATACATCACAGATGAACATTTGTGGTTTCATAAATTTTCACATTATGGCACTCGAACATCTGTCCAAGTCCCACATGTGCTAATGGGTGTGGAGGCCTTCACAGGGGATTCTTGGGACAGAAAGAGACAGTGGGTGTCAGGGCCGCAGGCAGGCAGTGCAGGCTGAGGGTGTGGCTGGAATCAGCGCTCAGTCCTGAGCCACTTTGGTGACAGCTCCTCCCGGCAGGGAGTCCCGGCACCGTGTAGAGAGGCACTCAGCCACCTTTGGGGTCGGGAGGCAGCCACAGGGCCGAGCTTGCCTCCGACGGACACTGAAGGGCTCCCTGAAGCTGCCTGGGCCAGCGTCAGCCCATGCCTGGCTCTGGCTGGTCCCAGGCTCACCTCAACTGCTGCCTGTGCCAACTGGGGCTTTGAGGGACTGGCTAGGGTCTCTGGCCCCAGAGACATGCTCTCATCATCCCAGCTGCTGGTGACAGAGGCCCCGGGGGTGGGCCAGGATGTGGGCTGGATGCCCAGGGCGGGTCCACAGTCTGATGCATCATGCTGCTGCCCCCCTTGTGGGAAGGGCCCAGGCCTGGGCTACAGGTGGCTCCTCGGCAGCCCCAGAGTCTTAGCTCTGACTCAAGCACTTGTCACAGCACGTGTCCCTGAAGAGTCCCACCCCACCACTCTGCGGGCAGGGCGCCTTCATCTCGCTGGCACGTTTGGTTTTTTTTGGCGATGGAGGAGCCTGAGAAGCACCTCCCATGGCCGAGGCCAGACCCCACCCATGCGGAGGTGCATCCGGGCAGGTGCCATCGGGGAGCTGCCGCCCTGGGGGAAGGCAGTGCATGCTCTAGGCACTGGGGCCGGTTCCCCAAGAACTGCTGGGACAGATCAATTTTGGGGATCTCAGCCTCCACCATTATTTGCAATTTGATAGTGATTAAAAGGCAAGGCAGACAAAAGCTGCTTTGTGCCCGGCCTGCACTCACCAAATTAATAACCATAAGAGACCTATGCAGCCCTCGGAAGAGAAAAAAGCAATTAGAATAACAGCTAGTTAGAGAGCCCCGGGCGGCCGGCGATCAAACCCAAGGCAACGGGGATTCCTGTTTGATGTGGTTATGAATTTGTTTTCAAAAGAAAATCTTGAAAAAGAGTCTTTCAAGGGAAATTTTTGCAGAACCTGCCCGGCCTTGATCCCCGCCTAGGACCGCCAAAGGCCCTGGCCTCGTGGATGGCAGACTGGCCAGGGACAGGCGGGAGAGGCCGGGCACACCCGCTGCTCCCAGGGTGGGGGTCCTGTTCTCTGCCTGGGCTGCAGTTCCCCAGGAGGCAGAAAACTCACTGCCCCTTCTAGCATCCTTGTTGGGCAGTGTCTAAAGACCAGGCAGGGCCTCCCCAGGGCCCTCTGTAGGGTCGCAGGGCAAAGGTCACCTTGGCCTTCCTCCTGTCTGTCCTGAGGAACCAGCAGTTACTAAGCCACTCTCAGGGCGGTACCTAGAATGTTTCATACCAGGCTCTGAGCAATCGGATGTCAGACCCGGCTCCTGTGTGGAGCTGGGCACAAGTGGCAATAGGTCACAGCACGTGGTAAGGTCGCGGTTCGTGGCAGGGCATGGAGCGATTGTGTTTGACTTTGCTTTAGTGCTTCAGTTCTTGGACAAAAGTCGACCGTGTTTCTCGCTGCTGAGGTTTTACCGCCAGGCCTTGGGGCAGCTGCCCTGCTGGAGCTTGCTGTGCTGTGGCCAGTGGGAGATGGCCTCAGAACCCCCCACACTGCTGCAGGGCCTTGGGCACAAAGCACCTCCTCACGGGAGCGTGCAGGCAGGCGTGTGTGTGCCGCAGCGGGTCTGGGGTCAGATCCTGCCTCTGCCGCTTCCTGGCCGGGTGACCTTGGGCAAGTCACTTTGCTTCTCTGAACCTCAGTTTCCCTGCCTATAAAACAGGGCAGCTGTAGCACCTTCCCCAGGAGGATGCTGAGGGGATCAAGTGGACTGAGGCATGAAGACACCAGGGACAGAGCATGGTGCTCAGTGCACTGCGAGCCACCCGATGGCCATGATCATTAGGGATTCCTAGAGTGCACGTACAGTTGCACATGTATGCCTGTGGCCTGAGGCCAAAGGAGCACTGCTGTGCACACGGGAGGCATGCTAGGTGAGCCCACATATGTGTACCTCGTACGAACCTGTGGCTGTATGAGTGTGGGAGACTGTGCGTGCAAGAAGGCAGGAACCACCCTGCACCCTTGTACACACTTGTACAATTCCCTTCACTTTCCATTAGGTTGTTCTCTGGGCTGCCCAAGGGTTGGAGTGCACCTGCCTGCACCCCCAGGCCCCTGGGCCTTTGTGTGTGCCACAGAGGTGAGCACCCCCTGCAACCCATCACAGGAGTTGGGGGTGCTGCTGGGACAAAGCTGCGTGGAGAGCAAGCAGCAACTCCCATGGCTTGGGTGCTTGGGCAGGTACCAGGCGTCCTCTCCTAATGGGGAGACAGATGGCACTGAGTCTGGGACCCATGGTCACACACATACCAGCTGCTCCCCCTGTCCCCCAGAGCCCTTCACCCGGGCAGTGTCCAGGCTGTGTGTGAGTCTTGGCCCAGAGAGTCGAGCGTCGTGGCAGCCCCTGTGCTCAGGCTCGGGACTGGCGCCTGTGGTGGGGCTGAATTGGCAGGCACTGAGGGTGAGTGTGTCCGCTCAGAGGCTGCAGACCAAATCCTCAACCTTGTCTCTGTCCCTGGTGTCTGTTGTCTGCCGAGCAGCCAGAGGAAGCTCTGCCGCGGCTGGGGACCCACACCGCTCATGGTCGGTTATGTCCTCAGCGGGTCCTCGGCACAGCGCAACCATGCGGCAGAGGCCTGGTCAGCTCCACCCCAACACCCTTCCTGGGGCTGCCGCTGCCTGGCTGGCCCTCACTGACCACCCCCCAGGAGCGGGGTTGCCTCCCTCTGAGAGAGGCCCAAGATGGTGAAAGAAAGACCCTTCCCCCTGCTGCTGACATCCACTTTTACCAGCCTCTGCCCACTGACGGATGCTTGGCCCCCCAAGGGCCTCAGGGGCGCCATGTCCCTGGCTGACGACTGTGGGGGAATATCTCAAGATCGTCACCACACGACCCTCGTTCCCTTCCTGGGACCTCGGCTAGCTAGGATGTCCCCGTCAGCTACTTGCTCTCTCCAGGGGCTCCAAGGCCTGCAGGCCAACAGCCCCACAGCTCAGCGTGTCCCAGCGGGAGCTCAGATTCCTCCCAAGCCGGCCCGAATCCTGTATCCACAGGGCACGACCAACTACCCAGGGTCCCTGGTGTGCACCTGGTGTCTGTGGCTCTCTGGTCTGGAGCATGTGCTCTGAGCCTGCCCCCCATGCCCCTTGCCCAGGCTGGCAGCATCTTCTGCCTGGACTGTCACAACCACCTCACTGCCTGGCTATGCCCCCAACCTGTTCCCCGCTTGTTCCAGGCAACAGCCAGGCTGAGCCTTCCCTCCCAGCCTGGGCCAAATCCTTCTGCAGAATTCCCACTGGACTGGGAGTAAAATCCAGTCTCCTTTTGCAGTGCCCCCAGAGGCTCCGCTGGCCCCTCTCCGGCACTGAGCATGCCCGTGTTGATCTGAGCGCCCATCTCAGTTGGGCCCTGGGGCCTTTGCACCCGCTGTCCTCTGCTGCTTTGTAACCTTAGCTCAAAATCCTGGGCGGCCTCCTCGTCTCATCTCTCCCCATGTTCCTGTAAGCCTTCACCACTCCCTGAAATGTCCCGGTTTATTGATCTCCTTGCTTGGTGTTTTGCCACCAGCTGGAGGCCCAGCTCTAGGCCAGGCAGTCACCGTCTTAACCCTAGACAGTCTCCCAGAGCCTGGAGCCTGGAGCCTAGAAGGTGCCCAGTAAATACATGGAGGGTAGAGTTGGCGCTGCACAAATGTTTGTTGAATTAGTAAGTGAGGCCCCGGCCAATTTCCCGGGGCCCCAAGGCTGGAGTGAGGGGGTAGAAGCCCCCCAAGCCCACTCCCTCCCAGGGTGGGTGCTGAGCAGAGAAGCTGAGGCTGGGACTGGGCCTTTTCACGTTCATTGATTTGTAAGGACTCTATGTTAAGAAAGATGTCAAGTACACATCACACATGTTTTTCCCTAGTGTGCTATTTGTCTCGTGTATGGGTTTATGGCATTTATTATTTTTTTGTTTTGCCACACAGAGGTCTTACTTATGTTTTCACTTTTTCACGTGGTCAAAGCCATCCATCTTTTCCTTTATGCCTTCTCATCCTGTGCGTGCTTGGAAGGGCCTCCTCCATTCCAACGCCAAAATCTTTTTTCCTAATACTTTTTTGATTTGTGTTTTACCCCCTAAATCTTTGAATCGCCTGGGATTGATTTCTGACCTACAGACTTACTTTTGCAGGTTATCCTGCTGATACCCCACCACTTATGGAATGATGGACCTTTTCCCCACTGGATTAGAATGTCCTTTTTGTGTATCATCGACCCTGAACAACCCAAGTTTGAGCCGTGTGGGTGCACTTCTACGTGGATTTTCTTCCTCCTCTGTCACCCGAGACAGTAAGAGCCACCCCTCCTCCTCCCCAGCTGACTCAACGTGAAGATGACGAGGATGAAGACCTTTACAATGATCTGCTTATGCTGAATGAATATCTTTTCTCTTCCTTACTTTACTTTATTGTAATACATGAAGCATACAAAATGTGTTAATTGATTGTTTATGTTATTGGTAGGGCCTCCAGTCAACAGGAGGCTATTAGTGAAGTTTCTGGGGAGTCAAAAGTTATACATGGGTTTTTGACTGGGCAGTTCGGGGGTCGGTGCCCCAACCCTGCATTGTTCAAGGGTCGACGGCACAAAGTTCCTGCACGTCTTCCTGTACTTTGGCGTCTACGCAGAACTGCCCTAGAGACCGCTCTTGTACATGCTTTGATACTGGGAGCCAGGGCCCTGCTGTCTGGAGGTGAAAGACGACAGGCTCGTTCTGGCATCCAGTCGGGGAGTGGCGACGGGAGCTGGAACCCACACCTCTCCCAGGTGACCTCATAACCTCCCCTCTTGTCTGTCTCCCTGGTCGGAGAGGTCGCGCTCGTCTGCTAAGAACCCGGAGAAGGCCTCTTCTTTGTACTCTGAGCAAACAACAAAGTCCGCACCACGGCTGTGGGGGCTGAGGGATCCCAGCCCCTGCTGCCTTCCCTCCCCCAGCTGGCTCCAGCCACCAGAGCCTCCCTTCCTCTTCCTCTCGGCCCGCACGCCTTCCTGGATTCTCCCTCGGCTCAGCCCTCACCTCGTCATAGCCCCCAGGGGGTCTATGTGTGCCGTGTCTGCTGACATGAGCCGGTGCCACATGGCCCCGTGCTCCTGGACACGCAGCCACCTCCCTCCCTGCATCTGGGTTGGGGCTGACGTTTGTGCCAGAGCCAGAGCTGTCACATCCACAGCCTCACAGACCTGCAGAGGCTGCTCCGTGCGGACATTCATGTCAACTTCAGGGTGGGGACAGAGGTCATGGAGGGAGTCAGTGGCAGAGCCAGGGGGGCCCACGTGGCACAACACTCCCTGGGTGGCACTGGAGCCCCTTTGCCCTCTTCCCTTGGAAGGGGCCTGGGCAGGAGGCCCAGGTGCACCCAGAGGCCAGGGAGCTGCCTCACTGCCAGGCAGGTGGGAGGGGGTGGGGAAGCCCCAGGCTGGGATGGGGTCTCGAGCCTCCCCCAAGGGCTGGCCTATCCCTAGCCCGGCCTCAGGAGCTTCCTGCCGGCAGACGCCAGGCAGGGGCGGCTCTGTCCAAGAGCCCGAGGCAGCTGCCCACCTGCCCACCTGCCCACCTGCCCACCTAGTGCAACCCCGGGCAGGGCTCGTCCCATCGGCCTCTGTTTGGGGGCCAGGCGGGCAGGAACGTCGGGCAGGCTGGGGGCCCAGGAGCCGTGTTTGTGCTGGCGGTGGGCACAGGCCCCACCTGCATTTGATTCTCTGCCGCTGCCTCCTGAGCTGCCCCCTCTGGCGAGCCCGCAGAGGCCCGGAGGCCAGGGGACACCAGGCAGAACACTTTGTTCGGGCAGCCAGCGAGCGCTCTGCTGCCTCAGCCAAACCCCAGCCCGGCCACGGGGGCAGGTGGGCAGGGGAAGCCAGGGCTGCCTGGCCGTTCTCGTGTCATTGCTCCAGGTCTGCCCACATCGGCCCTGCTGCCCCCACATCCTCCCCTACCCTGGGCCCTCAGCCACTTGCTGGGCCATCTGGAACCTCTGAGCGCACCAGCCCCTAGGACCCCAGCAATACCCCTCGCTGTCCCCGGAAGTCCACAAGCAGACCTTAGATACTTCCTCTCGCCTCCCTTCCCCAGCCCAGCAGGGTGGCCCCATACCACTGGAAGTCAGACCCCTGTCAGTCATAGGCTCTAACCCTCAGTGGCTCCGGATCAATGCCAGAGTCCGCTCACAACCCTGTGGTCTGGCCCAGCCCCCATCCCTGGCCTCACTCTGCAGCCTGCTTCCCGGCGCGCCGGTCCCTGGCCCCCAGCCCCAAGCCTGCTTCCTTCTTTCTGCATGCCGTTTCACACTCCTCCAGGTGCCTGACGGGCATGTGGATAGTTTGGCACCTGTCCCCCGACCCTGCCAGTGGCTGTGAGCCACGTGAGGTCAGTCTGGCTTCCTTCCATCCCCACCTCTGTCTGCCTGGTCCCTACTGGTGGTGTTTGCTTCTCAGAAGTAGGTCCCCTTCCTGAAACTGCCCTTGGCGTGCAGCAGGTATACCCTAAATATTCCTGAATTTGGGACGGGACGTTTCTGGGCTGGCTTCCTCAGTCTGTCCCACGTTGCCACCATTTTTCTCTAAGACAGAGGCCTCTGGGGCCCATGACCCCCTCTCCTTCCTGCAGACAGAGAAAGCACCGGCACCTGCTGATCTCCCACACCACAATGTCCACTTGCTGGGCGAGAACCTTTGAGGCATCCCTGCTGTTCTCGAGATACCAGCCTCGGCTGAGGGTCCCTCGCCGCCGGCCCCTGTGGCCCCCTGGGCGCCGCCCTTCTCGCCCCAGAGCCGGTTTCCTCTGGTTCCTACCTCAGGACCCTCACATGGGCTGGCCCTGCCTCCTGGAGCATCCACCCCTCTCCTTAGCCTCCAGACCCTTCTCATTCTCCAGGCCCCAGGTGAGGGTCTCCTTGGTGAGGCCCCCTCCCTTCCCCCTCCTGGTTTGGCTGTGGCCACTTCCCCTGCTTTCCATCCCCCACCTCTGTCTGCCCGGTTCCTGCTGGTGGTGTGTGCTTCTTAGAGGCCGCCTCCCCGAGGGCAGGGCACTGCACAGCCAACAACAGTTCAATGGCCTCTTGCTCGCTGGGAGACCCTGGGCCTTGGTCACCTCTCGAGCAGGGAGGGGCCGGGGAGTCTGTTCTGTGGCACAGTGCAGCCTGGGGGCTCAGGCCCGGGCGTGTCTGGGAACGGAGGCTGTGAGCGCGGAGCGGGCTCTCCTGGGCCCCAGGCCACTCCCTGGGCCTGAAGGGAGGGGCTCAGGGGAAGGATGAGGCCCCTCGTCCCCAGCTCCCTGGGCACCACTGAGAGGCCTCTGGCCACCTCCGTCCCTCAACATTGGCCACGCCCACAGCCTGCTGTGTTCTGTCTCCACCCAGGCCTCTCCCCGGGCGCTCTTGGCTGTCCCTGCTGGCTCAAGACGGTGTCCTCTCTCTGGACACTCGAGAGGCTGCCCAGGGTGCTCCCAAACACGCACACCATGTGAGCCTCTTCCTCCGCCCTACGTGCCCCATCCTGCCCATCCCCAGGAGAGGGCTGCCATGCCCCGTGCCCCCAGCCCACGGGCTCTCTGCGGCTGGGGTGCTTGTCTTCCTGAACCCTTTCTGTGAACGCCTCACATGTTTGCTTCAAAATTAGTCTGTGTACAGGGTTTTTCATGGTATAAGTACCCTATGAAGACGTTCTCCCGCCAAATAAAGACATTTCAAAGACACATCTCCATTTCACCTGCCCCATTTCCCTCTAGGGCCCCTGCCTGCCAGGTAACCAGCTTAGGGATCTGATGTTTCTCCTTCCAGCAACTTTGATACGCAGCTCGTGCCTGGTTCTGCCTGGTCAGCGAGGTTTAGCACGAGTGAGGCGAGGCGTGATGTGACACACATGTGGCTCTCCACTGCTTGTTTCCATGCGACACACTTGTGGAGGCTGCACGTAGAATCACGGGGACAGTGCTGGCTCCTGGGACGGCTGTGCAGCCCTCCTTTCTGTGGGGATTGCTGACATCACCACCCAGTCCCTGCTGGTGGGCGTGGAGGCTGAGGGCTCCACAGGCCAAGTCTTTCTGCCTACATGTGCTGGTGTTCGGGGGGAGGGGTCCCCTCTTCTGGGGAGCTTGGTGGCAGCAGCCAGGCTGTGCTCTCCCACCTCCTCCCCTTGGAGTGCAGTCCGGCCTCACCCTCTACCTCCTGGGTGAAAACTTCTACCTCCGGCCTGAAACGTCACCATGCCTCCCCACAGACAGACGGATGGACAGATGGGCCTCCCTGCACCTGCTCTGTGGGTGTGGGGGCTCCTGCTCAGCAGCAGTTTCCAGACCCTTCTCCCTGCTTTCCCCAAGCCACCCGCCTTGAATCTGGGGTGCTCTACCAGACCCATCCCCTCATTTCTAAAGATTTGAGCCACTAGTCGTGTCCCTCTCCCTCAGAAATGCCTTGGTGACACTTGGCTGCTTTCAACTCTTCCACCCATCTGCCTCTTGGTCTCATCTTTACCTTCTGCTAAAGGTCCTGACCCCCACCCCCGCCACGCCACGGGGCACCCCATGGTGGTGCGTCCTTGGGAGCAGCTCTGTCCCTTTCCCCGTGGCCTTTGCCCCGCCTCCTATGACTTCGATTCCCACCTGTCCCCGACCCCTGGGACCACTGACCGGGCCCGATCACCCTGTCACTGCCCTGTCATCTGCTTACCCCACACGGTGCTCTGCTGACCCAGGTCTTGCTGTCTCCCAACAGCCCCACGAGGCTTCCCGTCGCTCCTGGACACTGCAGGCTGAGCCCGCTGCCCCGCCGCCTCCATGAGGAAGGCTTTTCCTCTGTGAGCCCCAGGCCACCCTTTCCCTCCTTTAAGTAATTACTTAAGTCCCTTGCCAGGGCCCTCCCAGTACCCTTTCTAAAGACACCCCTGCCCCAGCATGCTGCAGGCTCCTGCTCCACTTTCCTCTCAGGCCCTCGTCGCTGTGGTGCTGCCTTTGTTTTCTGTCTCTGCCACGGCAGGGGGTCAGCTCCTTGGAGGTGGGGCTTCTGCCCTTGCTGTACCACTGCCTGGCACACAGTAGGTGCTCAATAAAGACTTGCAGGGTGAGCTGCCTGAAGAATAGTCACCAGAGGCCAGAAATGTCTAGAGCTCTGCCGGTAGGGTGACTGGCCGAGGAGCCTGGCCTGCATGTGTGCGTGTGTGTGTGTGTGTGTGTGTGTGTGTGTGAGTCAGGGTTTATATGCAGGTGTCTACAGGAGACATGCTGGGTTCTGTGCTGGGTGTGAGGAATATGGGAGCAGAACCCCAGGGAGGTGGCAGAGACTTGGGGGCCAAAGGGCTGGGGTGCAGGGGGGCAACAGCCAGGTGCCACTGGCCACCCCAGCCGCAGGGAGCCCTGCCCACCCTCCAGGTGCCTGGATGTCCAACCTCACTGCTATTCCCACCTCAAGCCAGGCCTGGAGATGGAGGCCCCATGACTCAGCCAGGGCCGGTTTGCAGCTGCGGCTGACCCAGACGGGCGGGCAGCCCCCAGCCCCCGGGCCTGCACCCAGGACAGGGCCGCCCTCCCTCCCTCCCCCGCTTCTGGCTCCTAGGACAGGATTCTCTGAATTCAGCTCCCCTGAGGCTGGGGCCAGGTTGGAGGCCAGGCCTGGGGGCCCTGGGCTGGGGTCCCAGATAGGGGCTGGGCGGCCAGGCTTGGAATCTGGAATCCAGCCCCATTCCTGGCATCTGCAGGAGCCTCGTGGGGAGGGAGACTTGGGATGGACTTCAACCAGCCAGGGCTGGATTCTTGCCCCGGAACCTGCATTCCTGGGGCAGCCAAGGGATCCTTCCCACTTCTGGGCCCAGCTTGGCCCTGCCTGGCATTCGAGGCCCATCTGGGGCTTGGGGGTGTCTCCCCAACTCTCAGACATAAGGACACCCTTCCAAGCTTGTTCCTTCACCTGGCGGGGCCCTGAGCCCCACACCCCTCCCCTGTCCTTTCTCCATCCGACATCAAGCGCCTCCCTGCCTCTGCTCGCACAGTCTCTGAGATGGGGAACTCAGCACCTCACAGGTGGGCCCAGCTCTGGTGCTGTCTGTGTTGGGGGAGCTGGGGCAGCCCCCAAAAGACCTTGGAGACAGACCCTCAGAGGCAGGAGCAGAGGCTGGCAGTGGATGCTGTGCCTGGAGGCCTTGAGGGCGAGGTGTGATGATGAGGCCCAGGCTGCAGGGCTCTTTCTGGCTCTCCAGCTCCGGAGAACAAGGGATTTCCTCCTGCTCTGCCCACCCTCCCCAGCCAGTGCATGCTCAGCCTCAGCACCGCACCTGGGCGCCCTCCATGATCTGCCCCACCTGGACACATGGCTCGAGGGGCACACTACCATGCCATACACCATGTCACGCACCTTGCCACTCCACATGCTACACAACCCAGCCCCAGCCCCAGCCATGCCATGTGCCACACCATGTGCCACACCACTCCCACCATGCCACCACCATGCCATGCACACAGCCACGCCAGGCACAGCAGGCGCTGAGCCCATCCTGCACGAATGCAGCAGTGTGTGTGTGTAAGGGGACCTAAGCCTCTGCCCATGTCCTCCCGGGAGCCAGCCCCTGGCTGCACTCCTTGTGGCTAAGTGGGGTTCTGCTGCCCCCCAGCCCCTGCTGACAGCCTGGGAAGGGGGTGAGGAGGTGGGGGAGCAGGCTGGGAGGGCAGGAAGTTGCTGGGGCTCCAGCCCCATCTGGACATATTTGGCAAGCCCCGCTCCCCGCCGCTCCTCAGCCTGTCGGAACGGCCCCTGGCGCTGGTGCTGGACACTCTGGCCTTCCCCCAGCTGCCTGTCCCACCTTCCCCACTGTTGTCTCGGTCCCGTCTCGGGGCACTTGCCCCAGTTCCTGCTGCTGGGCCCAGTGGACTGCACGGTCACAGCCAGGTGCAAACATGGGACCTGGTGTTTGCTCACCTCTCTGAACCTCCATTTTGCCTCTGCAAGACAGGGGCTGCAAATGGAGTGAAGCGGGGAAGCCTGCCCACCCCAGGAACCCAGCCTCTTGCCTCCCAGTGACACGGTTGCTGGCGGGGCAGCAGTGGGGATGCTCGGGGACCCCTGCCCTTGAGGCTGGCTCCCAGGTCCACGTGCCTGGGGCTGACTTGGGGCCTGACAGCTGCGCCCAGGTGCCCACCCTAAGGCTGAGACTCCCTCACATCTATGCAGTCTTCACAGAGGTCCCAAGGGGCTCTGGGATCCTATGAGGGGAGAAGCTTGGAGAGGGGTGGGGCATGTGGGCAGGTGGGGGGAGGACTCGGCTCCAGGGCACTGGCCCGGCTTGGCTGCCCTGACTCTGCCATTGTGTCCAGAAGTCCACAGGCCTCCCGTCCCTCAGGGAAGCAAGAAGGGGCTATGTCCTCTGCCCTGGCGCGTGGGCCCCTTGCGTGCAGGGGCTTCCACAGGGCCTCTAATTGCCTCGACTCCAGAGGCACACAGGCACCCCTACCCAGCATGTTCTCCCACACCCACAGCCTCCTAGCTGTGGGATAACCATGGACGATGCTGCCAACCTCTTATCCCCTGGTCTGGTGGGCAGTCCTTGGGCACCAGCCTGCCCTGAGCAGGGAACAGCAGCTGCATTGCCCACATCTGTCTCCCACTGGGAGGAGGCTAGTGTCCAGGTCACTCTGGGGGAGAGGGGAGGGACCAGGTCAAAGTGGGAGAGTGGAGTGAAGCCCCCTGAGCTGGGCATGGCTTCTGCCCCATGGAGCCCTGGCCAGGCCCTGTGGACCACGGCGGTGGCAGCCACCTTCCCCACACCCTACAGTTGTCACCTGGGGCAGCCCCAGCCAGACCATGGTCTCCTCCTGCCTTGGGGAGCATCAGCCCCAGCCTTGCCTTTCACCCCACAGCTGGGCCGCTCAGTGATGCCATCAGCAACCTTCTCCACACAGGCCCTACCGGGAGCTACAGAGGGAACATGCTCCGGGGAGGCGGGCAGACCTGAGGAGGGCTTCCTGCTGCAACTGTGGTCTCCCAGGCAGCAGGGTGCTTGGCGCTTTGCCTGCACTGGCTCTCCTGACCCTGCCAAGGCCCTGGGCATGGGCGGGGACTGCGTCCCATCTCCCTGATCTTGCAGTAGGGGAAGGTGAGTTGTGGAGTCGCAGAGCCCGTCTGAGCGAGCAGCTTGTGGGTATCCTGGTTCCTCTTGCTCCCCATGACCCTGTGCGGTCGGAGCTCTGACGGCCCCACTCCCAGGAGGGGACACAGGCACCCTGTCCTAGTCTCCCAGCCCGGAAGCCCCCACCCTGCCAGGTCCCGCACAGGCATCTGAGCCTTCAAGTCCCTCATCTAGTTCAGCCCTCTGGTACCTCCATTTGCAGGGCCAGGTCCAAGGCTTCTCTAACGCTGCCCATCTGCCAAGATGCCGGGCAACCCCCACTGTGCCTGAGGGGCCAGGCCTTCCCTCAGGGGTGCTGGGAAAGGGTAGGGTGGGGACCGGGCTGGTGTGTGTCCTGGGGACAATGAAGCTATCACCTGTCAGGAAGGCTGGGGGTAGTCTAGGCAGTTGTCCCAGGTCCTAAGCCTGAGGCCCAGCTGTCCACCTGCAGGGCTGCCTGGAGGTGGAGGTCTGCCTGGGCCTCAGGCCACCCCCCTGGAGCAGAGGCTCCTGGTACACGGGCAGGGCCTCCTTTCCAGCTTCCTACCAGGGGCATGTCCAGCTCAGGCCACTGCAAGACCATGTGCCAGGGGCTGAGTCAGGCATATCCCATGGACCCTGGACAGGTGAGACTCTTGAGGCTCAGAGAAGTGAAATCACTGGGGGTCATGGAGTGGCCACTTCCTCGCTGTACCTAGCCTTCCAGGGCTCTGGTGGGGGAGGGAGGAGGGGGCAACGGAGAGAGGCAGAGGAGGGCAGCGGGGAGGGGAGGGGAGGGCAGCGGGGAGAAGGGTGCTGGAGGAAGGAGGGGAGCAGTGGTGGGGAAGGGGAAAGGGGAGGAGGGGCAATGTGGAAGGAAGCGGGGGAGAGAGGAGCGGAGGGGACACTATGGTTGTGGCCATCCAGGACATCAAGAGGAAACTGACTGAAGTCTAGAGAAGGATCAGGAATAGATCTGGGCCTAAGGGTGGTGGTTCAGGGCACAGAGTACCAGAGGGACCCAGAGACCTGGAGAGCTTCTTGTGTCTCCACAGTCAGGGAGGGCTTCCTGGAGGCAGAAGCACCTTCGACAGCCCCACAGTGTTCCAGGCCTACAAGGCATTCACCCCTTCTCTCCCCTGTTCATGGGTTATTTCCAGCCGCCACTGGTCCAAGCACCCCCTGATGGTGTAGGGCAGGCCGGGCCACATACTTCTTCTCATGGCCCAACTGTGGGCACAGGCACCCATCACGTCTGCTGAGGTGCCTCCTCAGGGACATCCTGCCCTGCACCCGATGGCCATCCCTGTAGCAGCTGCTGCTGATCACAGAGCACCTGTCATTCTGAGAACATCCCATTGATCGCCGCCTTTGGCTTCACAGCCATACTGGGAAGCAGGCAGGGCTGCCCTCTGCATGCCAGAGGCCAGAAAATGGGGCGCAGAGAGCATGGGCAGCTTCCCTCAGGGGGCCCATTGGGCGGGTGCTGGGGTGGGGCTGAGCACCCAGACCAGCTGCCTCTCATCATCACCACTTCCCTGTCCTGCCTTGACAAGACCTGCACGGGGTCTCCCAAGGGTACCCTTGCGGTTTCAAAGACTCCCTGGTCAGCTCCTAACCCTGCATTTTCCTGACAGGAAAGCTGAGGCCTAGAGAGGGGTTGGGCCAGCCTGTGCTGGGTTACCTGATGATGGGGAGAGGGGAAGGCCCAGGTGTGTGGCTCTGTGGCCAGGGTGCTGGAGGGCACACACGTGGGGTGCCCTTGGGAGGTCAGAGGTCTGAGGGCCACGGAGATGTGGGGGTTCCTGGGAAGGCCCACAATGCTCGGAAGGTGAGTGGAAGGGTGGGAAGGTCTCCACCCAGGAAGGAGGTCCTGGGCTGGCCCCCAGCCTGCCTGGCCCAGGCTGACCCTGTGAGTTGATGAGAGATTCAGGCCCCATCCTGCAGCTCCCAGCCCGCCCTTCCTGCTCCCGGGGCTGGAGGAAGAGGTTCTTGGGACACTGGGACTGGGGTGTGGGGATACATGCTGACTAGACTGGGTGTGGTTTGCAGGCCATTGGGAGGACCTAGGTCCTTTAACAGGGGACTTAACAGGGACTTAGATCCCGGGGCCTTGGAGATCATCTAAGATATCATTCAGGTCATAGCTCTGGGATGCCTGCCCAGGGAAGAGCCCAGATCCCTCTGTCAACCCTTGCTAAAGGTGGGGAGGAGGCACCCACCAGTGAGTCCTCTTCTCTCACTGGCCTTATCCTGCACAGCCCCAGCCCCAGCTAGTCAGAGGGCTCCTGCGTAGCACCCAGCCAGTCCTGAGCCTGTGCCCACGGTGTAAAGGGCCTGCTGGTCTTTCCCCTTCACCACACACCTGCTGTTCCCAGCCAGGGTGGCATGCACCCACCTTCCCCTCTCAGAGCTCCTTGGCCAATCTCTTCCTTCTCTCTCTTCCTCCCTCCTCCCTCCTCCTTCCTCCTCCCTCCTCCTTCCTCCTCCTTCCTCCTCCTTCCTCCTCCCTCTTCCTTCCTCCTCCCTCCTCCTTCCTTCTCATCCTCCTCCCCCTCCCCCTCCCCCTCCCCACCAGGGTATTGGCAGAATTCCCTATTCTCTGGCACCATCACTTCCTTCTTAAATTTTCTTACCCTTAGTGAGAAAACCCGTGAAGCTCTCCCATCTTTAAACAGCCTTCCCTGGGCGCTAGATCTTCTATCTCTAATTTCTGTTCCCAGAGGCAGCCCTTCAACCCTACCGACTATCTCTTGGCTTTACCTTGGCATTTCCAAACTACACATTTACATTGCTGTTCCTTGAAATTTTGTCACTTTAGACATTATCTAGTGACTGCCTAACATGGAAGAGAAGTGATCAAGATTTTGTTCTCATGCCCCTGCCCTCCCCACTCCCTTATCTTTCCAACACAGTTAAATTAGAATTCTAGGCTAAATAAGTACTTACTGTTTGCATTTTACACAAACAGTATATAACTCTTTATGTCACTATGTAATCACTGTTTTTAGCTGTGTCCTGTGGTCTGTTATGATTACATCTTCTTGTTTTCCCTTGGGTTACAAATGGCCTTAGGTTTTGCTTGTTTTTTACTGCATCTGTCACTAATTCATTCTTGAACTTTCTGTAAGAATTGTAAAACTTCTTTCATCCTATTGAGAATACTGGCAGTCTATCACCTTCATTTTTTTTTTCTTCTGGGATTTCTTCCTGGAGTCTTAGCAGGACTGTTTGCACTGTAGGCATGCTGAGCAGCTGTAATGCTAGAACTTCTTTCACTCATGTTGAAAATTCTCTTGGCCTTTTGTTTTTGGTGTTGGAGTCTCCCTGGTTCTTGAATTGTGTTTCTCTTTCTTTGTTTTTTCCTCTCATTTTGCTAGAGCACGTCCTCAAGTAACTTTCTGAGAAAAGGCATGTGGTAGATACAATTTTTGACTGTGCATGTTTGGAAATGTCTTTATTCTATTCTCATACCTGAGAGTTTGACTAGGTATAGAATTCTGGATGGGAAATCATTTTTTCCCTCAGATGTTTGAAGGCATTTCTCTACTATGTGCTAGCTTTCTGAATTGCTGTTAAGAAATTGGATACCGTTTTGATTTTCTATTCTCTTGTGTGTGACTTACTTTTTCTCTCTGGAAATGTGGAGTGTCTGCTTTATTGCTGGTGTTCTGAAAACAATGGTGTGCCCCACCGGGCATTCTGGGAGTTGATGAGGGAAGTGGGGGAGGAGGTCTTCCTTTTTAGCTTGAATGCATTTACTGAATCCCTGTTGTTTTCATCACGAGAGCTCCTGCCCCACCCACAACTGCTCCTGGTGGCTCCAAGTTCAGAACCTCTCAGGCTCAGCTTTTCTGGAGACTCAACCTGTCTCTAGCTGAGCTTGAGAATCAGTAGCATCTGGCTTCATGGGCTGGGGTGAGACCTGCCTGTCAGGGTCCTGGGTTGGGAACTGCCTCATTCTTGGTGGCTCTTCTTCCTGCAGGGCTTGGTGTCTACCCTCTCCAGTCTCCTAGGCCAGTCTCCATCTGTCCTCCTGCTTCCCAGCTTCCAAACCTTTGTCAACATATTTTTGGTCTCCTCTTTTCTCCTGACCACTTTACCCTAGTTGATTTACATGTTTCCATGTTTTTCATGCCTTTACTGTCACCTTAGTGGGATTCAAAGAAGCTGAAATAGACATGTGTTTACCCATCACGTTTAACCAGTGCTTTCAGCTCTGGCACCTGCTGCTCCGGTCACCAAACCTTCCAGCAGCCCCCTGACGACACCATCTCCTGTCCTGACTTCTCAGAGTTTTCTTCTTGGGTGCTAGTCCCTGCCTGCTGAGGTCCTCCAGCTCCCAGGAGCCATGTTCCCATGGGTGCCTTTCTGCACGTGGCTGCCTCCTCTGAGTCCCGGCTGTGGCCCCTTCCCTGCTGGCTCCTGTGTGGTGCTGCCAGCCTTTGTCCTGCCCTCGCCCCTTTGCAGGTAGTGTTCCCTCTGTTGCTGGCCTCCCCACATTCGAGCTTTCAAGACCTCTATGTGCCCGGTGGTGCCTGGCTTGGACTCAGGGCCAACACCACCATAGGGTTCCCGGCCCCTGACCTCACCACTTCCATGTCTCAGAGGCATCTTGAATTCGACACACCCCAAACAAAGCTCTCGCTGCCTTCTGCCCGCCCCTTCCTCTTCATTCCGGAAAACAGTACCACCACATACCTGCTACTTACACCCTGGCCTGAGCCGCTGAAGTGTACCCCCATTTCCTCCCTCAAGCGCCCAACTCCTATCTGAGTCCTTCTGGTCTGGCCTCCAAGCCACATGTGGAATTTTCCCTCTGGCAAAACAGCCACTTGTCTCCATAGCCGCTCTCCCCCGCCCCCCCGACCCCACTTTTTTTTTTTAATCAACAGAACCCTGAATTAAGCTGAGTGTTTGCCTGCCTGGAATAGAGACTCCGTCCCCAGGGGCCCTTGCAGCGACTCAGGCGTGCGTCACATTCCGGCGGGTGGACAGAAAGGGGGATGACGTGGGCCGCTTCTGTGTAGGGTTTTACAGGAGTGGGGCCTGTCCTTCATGTCTTTTACCTCCCTCCTGCTGCTGGAATGCAGATGTGATGGTGAATGCAGGAGCAGCCGCTGGGGACCATAGGACAGAAGCACTGGATTGTGGACAGGAAAGCAAGCAGAGAGAGGAGGTCTGGGGCCAGGCTGATTCACCAGGCACACATCAGCCCTGAAGCTTCTGCTACTCTGGGACCCTGCGGGTGGCAAAGTTCTCTCTTATTTGGGCTGTCCCCAGGGTCACTGTCTCAGCAGCAGCTGAACCAAGAACCTCCCCTTCTCCCACCTGCCCTGACTCTGGTCCCTTATCTCCTACCTGGGGGACAGCAACACGAGGTGACTGTGCCTGGCCTCCTCTCTGCAGCCCAGCCTGTTCCCCTCCCGGCTCTGTGACATCTAAGCACATCACCTCTGAGCTTCAGGCTGAAGCCCTCCTGTGGCTTGTGAGTGACTGAAAATGACTCCAAACTCCTTAGAGGACTGCTCCGATGTCACCTCCTTGGAGATGTCCCCTTCCCCACCTACTCCACGGCTCATGGGCCACCTGCCTGGCTTTCTTCCTCCCTGTCCTTGTCACTCCAGGACCAGACACCCCACACCCAGTGGTTTACAGGCTGCTGGCCTGTGTGTCTCTCTGGCTGTGAGCATATGGGGAAGTGGTTAGTGTGTCTCCCCAGCACCCAGCATGGCTCCAAGCACATAGTGGGATTCTGAGTGGAGGCAGGGCAGGGGCCCCAAGACGAGGGGTGCCCAGGGGAGCCCCGTGCCTCTCTGGCCCTCTGCACCCCTCTCTGTTCTCCCTCTGGGAGCACAGTGGTGGGCTGGGTGTGCTGGGCCAGCCCTCTTGTGCCACAGCCAATCCAGGGCATTTCTACCCTGTGGGTGCCCAGCTGCAGGTCTGCTGGGGAGGCCTTCGGGGAAGCAGCAGCAGGAGGGGGCGGGGGAAAGTGCTCCCACACCGGCCTGGCGCACCCAACGCCGGGTCTGCCTGAGTTTCCGTGACTGTCTGCGCGGAACCGCACGGCGGTTTCCATCAGCGCTGCCAAGAGGCGGCTGCTGGGCCTGGCCGCGGGTTCTGACCCCCAGCTGGCCTGGTTACTGCCAGGAGACCCTGGGAAGCTGGGGAATACTGGAGCCCGAAGGGTTAACCTGCCCTCCCCGCCCCCAACCCCGGCTCAATTTCTTCATTTTTCAAAGGCCGGGCCCTCTTTCCTTCCAAGTCACAGCTGACGTGAAATGTAGCCTTAAAATGCAGCTGACATGAAAAACAATAGCACTCCCTCGGAGAGGTTCTGCTGCGGGCTGGACAGCCCCCGCCCCCCAATAATTACTCAAGACATTGGCATGAGCCAGGCCTGGTTAGGTAACAGGCTGCTTGCTGTGGAGGCTTATAACTCACAGGCAGTTACACATAATCTCTGCAGACAACAAAATCGTTTCCAGGATGGCGGGGAGGACGAGGCCTCGGGGAGAGGGTACTGGGGCAGGAGGGGCTGAGACCATGCCAATGGGGACAGGATCTGAGGAAGGGGCTCCGGGTGGCCCTGGGGAGCCAGCTTGTCAATGTGGGGAGGTGGTAAAGTGTCTGTGGAAAGGGGTTGCCCTGCCTCTCTCTTTACTCCAAACTCCACCCTTGCCCCAGTCCCTGGCGTGGAGGCCGCGCTGGTCCAGTCCGTTACTGAGCAAAGTACCCGGAGACTCATTCATACTGAAGTGTGAATGACTGACTGCTTTGGGAGAGCTGCCCCCGCGCAGCTCCGCGAAGGATAATTAATTGTCTGTTTATTGTTCATGGCCCCACTGTACTGACTTCCTCATGGGCAGGTCCACATACTTTCCCCTGTGTTCCCAGAGTCTAGTACATAGCAGACATTCAGAAAATATTTGTTGAAGACGACGACATCTAACCCAAAGAAGGAAGCGTCCAGGGTGTGATTCCAGGCACATGGGCGGGGCCCCTGGCAGCAAGGGCTGGACGACTGGAGGGACACTGGCCAGTAGAGGGCTGGGGCGCCCCTACCCCCCCGCGTGGTGCTTGCTCTTCCAGCACCCGGGGCCCCTGGCACCTTCCCACAGGAAACGCCCATTTCCCTGGAAGGACACTGAGCTGAGCAGGCTGAGGGCTCGGAAGGTCTGGGCTGCGGGCCTCCCTTGGCCTCCCATTGGTCTGGGTCTGCACCCTGGCGGCCTGGCTGCAGAGCCCACCCTGCCAGGAACTGGCTTCCTGGGCTATGAAGGCACACGCCCGACAGCAGGGTCGGGGAAGCCGGGCCCCAGCCCCAGTCCCGCCGCAGGGAAACGGCACCTCCCATGTTCTCTGGACTCTCTTTCCACCGTGACCCTGTCTCTGCGCATGGGACAGCCGTGTCCAGGCTGAGGCCCAGCACACTGCGCCTCCTGCACCAGCCACATGTGCAGACCAATGTCTGAGCTCGGAGCTGGCCCACAATCCCTGGCCCAGGCCCCATCGTACAGCTTCCATCCACACCCGGCCTCCCCTGTCCAAACGCCCCTGTCCTTGCCCAGTCACTGAGGCCCCAGAACTCACTGGGAACCTGCTCTGTGCCCGGCAGGGGAACTCGTGTCCCTGATCAGTGTACCCTCCGGTGCCAGGGGCAGGATGGATGCGGCACGGCACTGAGACAGGCCAAGTACAGAATTCTATGGCTCTGTGGTGTGGAACCCAGGGGACGTTCCTTCCTCAAAGCTGTCCCGGGGGCCTCTAGGATGCCCAAGCTCCTGACTGTCTTCTTCCCGCCACCCCCAGCTGCTTCCTGTACTGCAAGGCCCTGTTCACCCCTTGAGTGGCCCCATTCTCACTCTCTCCTCTCCCTGCAATCTCTTGCCAGGCAACCTCATCCACACCCCTTCTTCAGGTACCACCTCCATGTTGCAGCCTCTGTTTTCAGCTCCAATCTCCCTGCTGAGCCTTGCAGCCTAAACTGCCGGGCAAACACCTCCACGTGGACACCTCAGAACCTTTCAGGCCCTGCGTGTCCTCCTCCCTGCTCCTGTCTGGATGAATCGTTTCAGCCTCCAACATATGGCCAAGCCAGAACCTGGGGGTCTTTCCTGAAGACTCCCCTCCTTCACCACCATATCCAGCTCGTCCCCAAGTCTGGGGATTGTGTCTCCAAATCCCCTCTCGTATCTGTCTTCTTTCCACCCCTGGGCCTAGCCTCCCTCCTCCCAGGGCCTCTGCGTAGCCTCCTCACCCACCTCCCCTCTACTCTGGCCCCTCCATGGACAGCCTCACACTTCAGCCAGGGGGTGGCTCTTGCTGGAAGAGTTAGTTATCCATGTGCATGCATGTGTCTGGGTGTGTTTGTGTGAATGTGTGTGTCGAATATGGGTGTGTGTGACGGTGTGTGTCAAGGTGTTTGTGCTGTGGAAAGGGCAGGCCTGCTATATGATGGATAAGCACAAGCCTCCAGGCCTTAGTGTGCATGCCCAGCTCCACTCCCGGGAAGCCCATCACTGGTCCTCTTATCAGCTTTTGGTGACATGCTGGCCACATGGTTTCTCGACTTGTCAATCTTAGCTACTAGAATCTTCCTTGTATGAAGGTGAGGCTTAAGCTCTCACCCCACCCTCGGCTTTGTCCACCCTCTAACTGTCCAGCACAGCTTCCCCATTGTTTTGATGAAATCTATGCCCACTGCCTGGGTCCCCCACAGAGCCAGGGGGTATACTGTGCTCACATTTCCTTTCTGGGTTCTCCTGCTTCTCTGCTCTCTTCTCTAACAACACCTCCCTCAGGGAGATCCTCCGCTGTTTTGGAAGCTCCGTTGCAGATTTTCTTCCCAGTCCCACCTATTTTCTCTTCCTGGGTGGCCTCTTCAGGAGTATCCTGTCCTCTGCTCCTGCCTGGGCTGCCTGGGCTGGAGGCCTGTAGCCCTGAGCCAGCTGCTGGGCTTGGACCTCCCTGTTCTGTCTGTGTAGGGTCTTCTGCCTCCTTGTTGTTGGTGCCTTCCTTTTCCCTGGTTTCCTCCCACGTTTTGCTGGAGTGCATTCTCCAGAACCTTCTAAGAAAAGGGATAGAAAGCAAATTCTATACTTTTTTCCTGCAGTGACTTGGAAAAATTTTATAAGTTCTTGAGTATCTGAAAATGTCTTTACTGTATCCTCACCCTTGATAGATACTTTGGCTAGGTATAGAATTTTATTTTCCTTCACAATTTTGAAGGCATCTCTCTTCATAAATTTTCTCTACCAAAGACTGATCTGTTCAGAGGCCCATGTTTGGAAAATCACCTGTTACTTCTTTGAGAAGATTCTAGAATGTTGTCTTTATCTCTGCTGTTCCTGAAGGGCATGATGACACAGTGGCTGCTCTTTTCTGCTAGAGGTTCTCAGTGGGCCCTTTCTTTAGTCTCTATTTCCTCTCATCTCCCTTTCTGGAACTTCCAATAGCAGGATATTGGATGTCCTTGGATTGAGTCTGCATGTTTCTTGGGTGTTCTGATTTTCTGTCTTTCAGTCTTCATTCCACTTTCAGGGAGATTTACTTCCATCTTTTACTGATTTTTTTTTTTTTAATTCAGCAGCATAATTGACATTTCCAAGCACTCTTTCTGCTTCTCTAATTGTTTCTTTTTCACAATGTCCTACTCTGGCCTATGCCACCGTTCTGAATTTCAGATCTTACAATGGTGAGATTTGTTCATTGCTCCCTTGCCTCACATCCTTTGGGGCTCCCCCTGTTCTGAGCTGAGCCCCTGCCAAGGACTCCACCTTCCCTCCCTAACTTTCTCCTTTGGCCCGTGTTCAGCCCTCTCCATCCTCTCAGACCCACAGACCAGGCCTATTCCTTCCTGCCTTGGGGCCTTGGCCCATGACTATCCCACCTCTCCACTTAGTTAAGCTAATTTCCACCCATCCTTTGGGGTTCGGCTCACAGGGAGCTTCCTTGGGACACCTCTGCTAATACCCTAGGTAGGCTCACAACTTATTATGTAGCCTTTAGCTCTCTTTACGCACTTAGCACAGTTCTAACTAAACACTTGCATTCTGCCATAATGGCCTAATATCTGTCCCCATTTCCCCACCTCCACCTCCTAGAGGGACATCCCTAGGAGGGTAGGGTCCAGTCCATCTTATCCACACTATACCCCAGGGCCTGGCGCTGTGCTGGTGCTTGTGTCAGCATCCTGCACTGTGGTGCCATGTTACCACAAGCATAGCGCAACACGTGTGTGACATCTTGCAGCACTGGAGGTCAGGAGTCTCACCGGGCTAACAAGGTGTCAGCAGGGCTGATACCTGCTGGAGGCTCTAGGGCTGATTCATTCCTCACCTTCTCCGGTTTTCTAGAAGCTGCCTGCGTTCCTGGGCTGTGGCCCCTCCTCCGTCTTCAAAGCCAGCAGCACAGCACCTTCAGCCTCTCTGAGCTCTGCTTCCATCCCCCTGTCTTCTCCGCTGACTGACCCTCCTGCCTCCCTCTTAGAAGGACCCTTGTGATCACATTCGGGGCCCCTGGATAACCCAGGATCATCTCCCCATCTCTGGATCCTTCACTTAGTCACCCTGCAAAGTCCACTCTGCCATGAAGGGACAGGGATAGAATGAGGACATCACTGGGGCCATGACACGACTACAGAGCTCACACACACTTGCTGGGGTGGGGGTGTGCAGAGCAGGGATGTGGCTGCAGAGGAGGGCAACAGGAGTGGCTTGGAAGATGCACCCTTTAAGGAACCCCTATAGGACCAGTACATAGCAGCCAGGAAAAGGTGGGGAGATGTCATGGGCACAGGGAACAAGGTGAGCAGAGGGCAGGACCTCAAATGGCTGGGAGGGTTTCCAGCAGAAGGGCAGCACGCAAGGCCCATCCCAAAGGCCTTGGAAGCCACTGTGAACAGTCCAGAATTACCACGTGGGGAAGGGGACACCATGGGTAACTGTGTGGGGTCAGTGGGGCTCTGCCCTCATGAGGCTTTTTACCAGCCACTTCCCAATGGCCTCCCACTCCATCTGAGCCCATCCATCTGGCCCTCATGGGTCCCCAGACTCCCTCAGCCAGAGCAATGATTCAGGACACACAATGGCCCTGTGGCTCCACTTGAAACTTCTCGAGAAAGTGTGTGTGGCTGGCGTGACCCCATGGGCACCATTCTCACCATATTCCCCAACCCTTGCCAGGCCCACGGCCACCTTCCCATCCTCTCGCTTGCAGTGCTCCTGCCCCACGCGGGGCCTCTGCACCTGGAGTCACACAGCTGAGAGGCGAGGAAACGGGACTCGCACAGAGCACCAGGCTTCGGTGTCCGCCCTCTGACACCCGTGTTGCTACAGCACCAGCCAGGGGCCACCGAACACTTGACAGACCCACCCCACCCTGCAGGGACGAAAGCTTCCCACCAAGGCAGCAGAGCAGGCCGGACCTGGCCTCCGAAGAGTGCTGATGTCCTTAGAGGGAGGTTCAGGCAGCTGCAAAAGCAAGGCAGGTTAAGGAACCCCTCGCTTAGATGGGCCTAGAAACAGCCCCAGAGATGGCCGAGGCCCAGCACGGGCCAGGGGAGGGTGAGCAGCAATGGAGGTGGGGTGTAGGCACTCCCCTTGACAGCTCTGTCAGGGAGAAGAAAGTATGGGATGAAGGAAGAGCCAGGGGATGTGGAGGACATGGCTTCCAGCAGCTTCCAGAGGGGCTCTAGCAGGAGGGAAGGGAGGCGGAAGCCACGCAGACTCAAACCCTCAATGGAGACCATTTCCCCAGACGTAAGGAGAGGACACATGTGCCCAGGCTTTAAGGGCCCAGAGGATGGGGCAGGAAAAACAAATGAACAAAACCAACACATCAAGAAATCCACAATATTATTGGCCATCCTAGTGCCTGTCTCTCAGAAACTGACAAACCACAGTGGGTGAAACTAACAAACAAACAAACAAACAAACAAACAGCAAGGTAAGTCAGGAGGTGGAGGAGTCGCAGAACTCCACTAACAAGTTTAACACAATTAACAGAAAAGACTCCACCGCCTCCACACATATACAAAAAGGTCACAGAAATGATCCTATTAGGCACCAAAGGAAAACTCCATAAATTTCTAAAAATCTGTACCTTGATGTAAAATAGAAAATTATTAATAAAAATAGCAACAGATGGATACATCTTGAAGTTTAAAAAGTACCCTTCTAAATAACTCTTTGATTAAAGAGAAAATAAGGCAGAGAGAAAATCTTAGGATGGATTTACAAGGAGCTGATTACATGCCAAGAGTGTGGGATGCTTCCTATAGGGTATTTGGAGAAGTATCGATGGCAATTTTAGAAAATAAAAAAGATTGAAAATAAATGTGCTAAGCTTTCAACTCAAGAAGCTAGAAAAAGAACACCAAAACAAATACAAAGAAAAGAATGAACAAAGTCAAAGGAAGATATTAGCAAAATAGAAAAATATTTTATGAAAAAGAATTGACCAATAAAACCAAATGCAGGTTGTTTGAAGAGCCAGTAAAGTAGATAAACCTTAAGCAAGTAAAGTAACAAATAAGAATTAGGAATGAATACTACTGCTACCGAGGGAATTGAATAATTGTAAGTGATTATGATATATACTTTCATATCAATAAAATTGAAAACACAATATGATGGATAAGTTTCAAGGCAAAAAATACCAAAAGTGGCTTATGTGGTAGAAAATCCTAAGAAACATAAACCCATTGGGGAGACACAAATGCCAGTTACCTACCCTCCTCTAAAAGGTTTCCAGTCTAGTTTTTGGGGGTGATTTCTATAATTACCTAAAAAAGCAGACGACATCCATCCCATCCATCCCAGAGCACTAGCCAAAAGGGGAGGTTGCTCAACTTATCTGACAAGGTAAAACCCCAGGCACCATAACTGCTCAAGCAAACACAAGAAAATTCTAGGCCCAAATCAGGTATGAACACAGATGCTAAAACCTAAAAATGCATCAGCAGCTGGACTTGAGTCAAGATCACATAAGGTTTACCTCAGGAATTCAAGGAAGGTTCAATGTCAGGAAGGCTCTCGGCACCTGGTGTTTGGACCCTGCTGTTTCAGGTGTGTTTTCAACTGGACTTCTACCCTCATGTATGGGCTGACACGTGTTGGATGTCTCCCATTCCCAAATCCCCAGCTTGCCCAGGGGAGGGTGGGCTGGGCCTCATAAAAGCCTTGCCCACTCCTCACTTAAACTCTGGTTTGTCTTCCTCTCCTGCTCCTTCCTCAGCACATGGGCAGGCATAGAGCACACAATGCTCTGTCATTGTCTGTCCTCCTAGTGGGCCACAGCCCTTGGGAGGAGGGACTTTGGCTGTCTGGCCTACCACTGATGCCTGGAGCATAGGGATGCTTGGCAAATACTTGTTGAATGAATGAATGAATGAATGAACCAATGAACAAAGGCCAGGTGAGGGTACTCCCTAATCCTGTAGGGCAGAATCTCCCTGGAGAATGTCCAGCTGGTCTTTTCAAAGGGGCTGGAGAGGACTAGCTCCTTTCAGGCTGGAGCTGGGAGCAGGATGTGGGTCCTGTGGGGCTGGGTAATGCTGGAGGGTGGGATGAACCTCTTGTGCCACCTGCCTTCCAAGAGGCATGTGGCCCACTCTCCTAGATGTGATTCTGCTGGGCCTGGGGGTTGGGGGAAGAGCAGCTAAGCTGAGCTGTCTCCTGGCAGTTGTGGAGACACCTGTTGGGGAGTGTGTGGTGGGGGCTGTGCTGGCAGCTGAGCACAAGGCTAGCCTGGGCAGGGGGAAAGGCCTGGGTCATCAGACTAGGGTAGGGGCTGGGGGCTCTGGGCAGCTGGTGCTAAGGACCCAACAGGTGGGCCCGGTTAGGGACCAGCAGCTGGGCTGGTAGGGAACAACTGGAGACAGGGTGGGCCGCATTCCGGGGGCTTCCAGCCTCCAAGCTGTGTGCGTGTGGGGATGGGGGGTGTAAGGCATCTGGTGGAGAGGGGTTTCTAGGCCCCTCACCCCGGGTGGCAAAGTCCTGTGACAGCTCCCATCATCTGGCTCATGCCAGAGGCACCTACCCTTGCTCTTCCTCTGAGGAAGGCCTCTTGGCACTTTCTGAGGACCTCTGAACCACCTTAGGATGCACACTCTGTGGGGGCCTTAGCCACACCTGGGACGGTGGCTCCAGGAACACGGGCTGCAGCCTGTGTACATGCTCAAGCCAGGGCTTGGGGTGTGACTTTGCAGAAAGGGAAGCTGTGTACCCACAGGAGTGGGTGACAAGGGCACAAGGACGCCATTCCTGACCCCCACACTCTTGGGTCACCTGACACTGAGGGGAAGAGCAGACAAGACCCTTTCCTAGGGCTCGGAAGTTGGGGCACGCGCTCCCACTCTGAGGGCCAGCAGACACTGGGTTTAGATGTTGTGGAACTCAGGGTGCAGGGTGGCTGGCCATGTGTTTTTCAGACAATCCTGCCACTTTTTTGCCAGGATAGTGGGTTTTAGGTGTTAATGCATATTCTTTAATGATAAAAGAGAAAAATATTTTGTAGATAGAGTTTGGGAATAGTTGGGTTATACGAAGTTAGTTTTTTTCACTGCAGGCCTTCTCAGGGCTTTTAAAATGCAAATGTGGAGCATTTGCGCAAAGCTGGTAGGTGCTGGCTGGGGAGGGGAGAGTGCCAGAGGTTTCTAACATACATGTGACTCTGGATTCAGGATCTCTCCTTGGAATTTAAGTTGCAGCCCAAGGGGATATCATGTCTCTTTGAGTCTAATGTATCACCTTTGCCATGGAGGAGAGGAGGTGGGTCGTAAGTGGGTAGGCCCCTGTGAGAAGGGGGCCTCGGCTCAGGTCTGTGCTAACAGTCCCCAGACCCGGGGTAGCTCTCACCACCTCTGTGATGGCCCTGAGTTAATGCCCAGGGCTCTGCCCAGCGTCCTCCACCTCCCTGGCCAGGGACATCATCTGAAGCCGTCATCTCAGGTACCATGAACCAAAATTGGGGAACCTGTTCTTTCACAGGGTACATGCTGCTCAGGATCTGAAATGCCCCAGCAGGTCCTTCCCTGACTGCTGGGGTGGCTGCCACGACTGGGGTCAGCTTCATCCTAAGGGTATCAGTGTCTGCACAAGGCTGGGGGTCAGGGGGCACTGGTGTGATTCTCCTCCTGGGGTGCAACAGGGGTTCAAGGTAGCGCTCAGAAACTGGCTGAAGCCACGGAAAGGGCCGCCGTGGGTTCTGTCCAACGTAGTTAAAAACATCTGACTGCAACCACAAAAATGCTGGCATCCGAGCCTGCTGCAAAAACATTTTCATGTCAAAGGCAAGCGCACTGGTGCCGTGAGGAGCTTGCACCGTTAACCCTTGAAAGGAGCGTGCGCAGAGTTGGCCTGTGGAGCAGAGCCGGGTGCAGGCTGGCGCCACAGGCCTGGGTCATGGGTCGGGCATGTGGACTAGGGTGAGGGTGGGTTCCCTCTGTCTCCTGGGGTCAGGAGTGCCACTGGGCTCTGTTGCCCTGAGACCTCCCTGTTGACCTCAAGCCCTGACACCCTCTGCGGACAGGGACCAAGGTTTTGGAGGGGACCTCCAGAGGCAGAGGGGCAGCCACTGCCCAGGGGTTGGGCTGTGGTCACAGACATGTATTTGTGCATTTGAGGAGCCCTGAACAGACACCTGTGTCTGTTCAGGGCTCAGACATCAGATGGAGATGTCTGAAATGGAGGGGGCAGGGGCTCAGGGAAGGCCTCCTGAGCAGGGGACTTTGGAAAGCATGAGCTGGGAGGAGCGTTCAGTGCAGGGAGTCCAGCCAGGGCAGTGGGCCTGAGGCGGGAGTGAGCCAGAATGTTCCAGGAGCAGCAAGTGCATTTCTCCCTTAATGAAACATCATGGTTAGCCCTTGAGTCAAAGGGTCCTATAGCCCCCTTTCTGCTGCCTCCAGCCCCTCATCATATGTGGTGTGGCTTCACCACAGGGTGGCTGTTTGCTCCCTCTGGATGACAGGCAGTCAGAGTCCAGCTTTTCACCACTCCTGGACAGCGATGACGCACAACCCAGAAGCCATTCTCAGTCCCAAGGGTGTTACTGCTCCAGGGCGGATTCTCAGAAGGAGATCACTGGACCACAGGGTGAGTGTGGTCTCACTTTCAGCAGCCTGACCATTTTCACAAAAGGCTCTTGAAATTCTCCCCCACGGCGCTGGAGGCCCCTCTCCCCAACATCGTCACCAGCACTGAGCTTGACTCCACTTTTTAGTCTTGGCCAACTTGCCCTTCAAGTCTCCCTCCCACAACCTGAATCTTTATCCACTTCACTCGCCTGTTTGTCTTTTCCACACTGCAGCAGGAACTCTCTGGTGGCCACTGACCCTTCAACCACAATGCCATGGTGAGTTTCCCAGGATGGGCAGAGGCGTGTGAGGTCTTGCCCCTGGCTACTGTCCTCTTCCTCAGGGACTTCTTGATCTCCCAAGCCCCGGCCGCCAGCCGTCCACATTCATCTAACGGAGCCCTCACCCAGGACTGTGTGCACACTTGGACTCCCCAGAGCCCTGCCCGCCTGCAAGGGAACATATCCAGCTGGCTGGTCCCCCAAGTCCCCTCCACCCTGACAGGTGTGCGGCGACTCAGCGGTGCTTAATTTTTCGGCACAGGCAGCTGTTAGATACAGCCTGGAGACCCCCTGAGCAACTTGCCTTGGGTGAGGGTGTGGCCTCAGAGCCTGGAGCTCTGGGGAGGCCAGCAGGAAGGGCTGGGGGCAGCTCCACCCAGTACCTCCAGGGCCCCCATCCTACTCCCGTGTCTGCTCCCACCCTCTCCTGAATAGTCTCCAGCCTCTTCCAATTGCCCCTCTGCCTGCATAGGGAGGGACTGGGGTCAGCCTGGGGCTGGGGGCGATGGTGCCTGCCCCCCTGCAACTCTACTGTCAGGCATCCTGGGTGCCTCATCTTTCTTGGGCTTGGCAACTACAACAGGACACCCTGTCCCCACTCTCAAAGGCTCTGGGATGGGGCACTGGAGTGGCGATCCTGAGCTGAGATCAGGTGTTTGGATCTACAGGAGGTGGGCTCCCAGGACCTCCTCCGACCCCACAGGGCCAGGAGAGGGTCCCCCGAACTCAGAACTACCCTGTGGGCCTCAGCATAGCTTCTTAGAACCCAGAGGTGCCCATGAGCTCCCTGACAAGCCCCCCACCAGAAAGCACAGAGGTCCAGTGGGGTCCCTGCTGTGGCACCCATAAGACCTATGTGGGCTCTAGTGGGGAGTGTGGATGCTGTGGTGGCAGCCTAGACACCCCCAAGGCCCCTAGAGAATAAAGGCTGCCCAGGTTCAAGCTGTGACCTGGCCACCCCAGACTTGGGACCCTCAGTGACACCCTGAGCATGGGGGTAATTTGGGGAGGGATTGGTACTGACCACATAAGGCTGTTGAGAGCACAGGAAGCACCCAGCATGGTGCTCAGCACGCAGCAGGTGCCTGGATGATGGTTGCTAGGACAACTCCTGCCCACAGTGCATGAGGCCGGGATGAGGAAAGCTGTGTGTGCAGAGCAGGCCTCAGAAGGGCATAGCGCTGGGGCCGTCTGCACAGGTGCTTTCTCTCCAGATCCCAGGCCAGGCTCCAGAGGCAGCTGGGTCAGCCTGACCAGGAAGCTCCAACAGTACCCTCTGATGAGCATGGAAGAGTCCAGAGTCAAGACCTAGGCCTTGGTAGGACAGCAGACTGGTCTGCCCAGCAGGCAGAGGCAGATGGAGCAGGAGGGGATGCCAGCCTCGAGGACTTGGAGGCACATGTATTTCTAAGGGAGACACCCTTGCTTGAGGTGCTTTAGCTACTCATCCAAGCCTGCTTGCTCCCTCTCCCTCCCTCCCTTACCTCCACCCTTCCTTCCTTCCTTCCTTCCTTCCTTCCTTCCTTGTCTCCTTCCATCCATCTACCCATCCACCTATCCATCATTTCTCAATCTACCCATCCACCTATCCATCATTTCTCCATCAGCTCACCCACCCAGCCGTCTCTTTATCCAGCCTTCCCTTCCCTCCATCTCCCCATCCATCCATTCATTCACCACTCATCCATCCATCCACCCACCCATCTCTTCATTTCCCCATCCATCCATCCACCCACCCACCATCCTTTTATTCAGCTCTCCTTCCCTCCATTTATCTATCCACCTCTTTATCCATTCATCCATCTCTCCACCCACCCACACACCCATCGATCCATCCATCCATCTATCCATCCATCCATCCATCCATCCCACCATCCATCCATCCTTTATTCAGCCCTCCTTCCCTCTATCTCTGCATTTATCCATCCACCTCTATCCATTCATGCATCTCTCCATCTACCCCCCCACTCAACCATCTATCCATCCATTCACCCACCTACCCATTCATCCATCCATTATCCACCCATCCCTTTATTCATCCCTCCTTCCCTCCATCTCTCCATTCATCCATCCACCTCTTTAACCATTCATCCATCTCTCCATCCACATACCCACACACCCATCCATCCATCATCCATCCATCCATCCATTTCTTTATTCAGCCCTCCTTCCCTCCATCTCTCTATTCATCCTTTCACCTCTTTATCCATTCATCTATCTCTTCATCCATCTAACCATCCATCCATCAACCATCCTTCCACGCATCCCTTTCTGCAACCCTCCCTCCCTGCAGCTCCCCGTCCATCTACCTACTCATCCGCCACTCACTCACACTCATTAATGCTCCCCACACCCCAGGCCTATGTGCCCGCCCTCATTCTTTCCACAAGCAGTGAGCAGCTGCCTCCTGTGTATCTTGCGGCAACAAGATCAAAAGGCACTGATGACGCAGTCACTGGCCTCCGGAGTGACAGCCCACCACCGACTAAAAATAGACCAGGATCAGCCGAGATGTTGGTCCTCCCCTCTGTTCCTTCTCTCATCCTTTGAGTCCCTGCCCCCTCGACAGAGGACATACTCCATGTGGCTGAATGGCTCCAGATCAAGGAGGGGACCATAGAGACAGGGGCTGGAGGTGTTGTCAGGACTTGGTGACCAGGCGCAGGGTTGAGGAAGGGGGAGAGTCATGAAAAGATGGCGGGGGAGGGGCATTTGCTCTAAGCACTGACGGGCAGGCGGGTTTGGGGGTGAAAAAGAGGTGCAGGTCTCCACCCCTGTGAGAGTGGGGAGCCCAGGTTCCCTGAATGGAGGTGCATGAGGACACAGGGCAGATGCCCTTGAATGAGCCCTGGGCATCAGAGGGCCTGCTGGCATCCTGAGGCCATCAGTGACCTCCATAAGCTACTCCAGGCACCTTGGGGCTGGGATGGAACTCCCTCCAGCTCTGCCAGCCCCTCAGTTTGACAGGTGACTCATGGTGCCAAGAGGAAGACAGGGCTCACAGTCTGTCGGGTTCTTCCTCTGTACCAGGCTCCGTTCTAGGCACAGGGTTCTCACAGGAGAGATGGTGCTGGCCAGCTCTGTCTTCTCAGAGCTTCTGTTCCAGCTGGAGAGCCAGGCCACAGCCTCCAGGCACAGGCACAGGCTGGGGCAGTAATGAGGGATTGGAGGCTGGGGCAGAGACCTGAGGCCATGAGGGGGCAGCTTTGCAGCCAGGAGAGGGCAGGTGCCAACAGCAGACTTCAGATGGTTTGAGGGCTGGCCATGGCACAACCCCAGGGTGCCACTCACACAGGCACAGAGGCCTTGAGGCGGAAGCCCCCAGGAGGCTGGGTGGAGTCAGGAAGGGGATGTTGCAAGGGCAGGCATGGGGCCCCGGGGGCGTGGGGCCTCGGGGGCGTGGGGCCCACGGCCATGGAAGGGTGCCTGGATTGCTTCCTAGGGAAGAGGGAGGCCATGGGGGGCTTGAGCAGGCAGTGCTGTGGTCTGGTTTATGTTTTAAAGTCCCTCTGGCTGCTGCATGGAGACAGGAATGTAGGGGGAGAGAGAAAGCCGGGAGCCCCTGGGGACGGGGCTGGCCCTCCTCTCCGGGAAGGAGCTCTGCCTTCATACATGCTGTTCCCGCCTCCCGGAAATGCCCTTCCGGCCCCGGCAGAGGCTGCAGTAGGAAGATCAGGGGCCACAGAGCCGGCCGGGCAGGCTGTGATGCAAATGTGTCCCCCATCATTTTCAACTGGAGCCCCCGAGCACTGCCAGGGTGGGGGAGGGAACGGAACCCTCCTCGGCGTCCCAGGTCTCAGGGAGGAAGGAGAGAAGGAAGCAGAGAGGGAGGGAAGGAGGGAAGGGGGAAAGAAGGAAGGAGAGAGAAGGAGGGAGGGGAGGACTTTGAGGAGGGACTCAGGCTTTTCATGTATGTGAGTTGACACATTTCCTTCTTAGACAAGTTTCAGGGGTGTTTCTGTTCCTTGAAACAGAAAGTTTGTGTGGGGACCAGCCGTCTGGGAGTGCATGGCCAAAGCTGGGGTCTGGGGGTCAGTGCAGGGAGCATGGGTGCCTGGGAGGCTTCCTGAGGAGGCGGCGGCTTAGAGAACCATGAGGGCTGGGCTGAGGGGTGGCCGGCGGTGCCAGGAGGACAGGAACGAGAGGCGGCACAGCCGGTGGGGCTGCGTGCCAGGGCGTGGGGTCTGCCTGGGGCAGGGCCTGAGCATGCCCCTGTGAGGACTGTCCCACTGTCATCCTGCGGCGGGCACTCGGGAGCTCAGGAAACTGTAGAACGGGAATGTGTTGCTCACTGAGCACCGTTTTCCAGGCTTGAGCCTGCAGGAAGCCTGGCTTTCGCCGGCCCCTCCTCTTTGGTGGTCTCCACCCATCCCAGCCACCGTTGCTCAGCTCCCAGGCCCACTGCTGCACCGTCTCCCACGCAGCCCCCCACACTGACCTCCTCCAGCCAGGGGTCTGCTGACCCTTGTGCTGCGCGCCCACTGGGACATCCCCATCCTGAATGTGCAGCCCTAGACCGCAGCCCAGAAGGAGGACGATCACAGAAGGTGGCTGCCAGCCACCCTGACGCTCGGCAAGGGCCCCGCCTGGGCTTGTCAGACCAAGCAGGGCCCTGTGTTCACCTTCTGTCCCCTCATGCGGCCTTTAGGGCAGTGAACCTCAAGAAGGTCTCCAGCGGCACAGACACAGGCACAGCCTCATGCGTGCAGGCCCATGGACTTGGCAGCCATTGCTCAAGTGACCCAGACACTGGCTCAGGAGAACGTTCTGCTGCCTTCACAAAGCACTGATAAGGGTGGAGGAGCTGTGTTTGCAGAGATGATTCCCCACCCCAGGAGGTCACAGGCTAGGACCAGTTGCGATAAGGGAAATCTGGGTTGTAACAGGGACAATGAGCCAGGGAAGCCGGACAGGGGTCGTGGGGACGGATTCCCACCAGGGGCTTCCTGGGGGAGGCTCCATTTGGATTGGGGTAGCTGTACAGGGGTGTGACAGGCTCCAGACAGGACACGGCACTGCGGAGGTGCACAGCCTGAGGGTGAAGGGACGCTAGGGTCCACGCCCACCCGGGTCTCGCCGGGGCTGTAAGGGTGCCAAGACTGGGCGGGGGTGAGTCTAAGCCATCTGCTGCTCTGAATGCCATGCTGGGAAGGCGGGAGTCCTTGTGGAGGCACACATCAGGCCCACAGCACCAAGACGATGGGAAGGGGCTGAGCATGAGGTCCATGTCCTGTCCCTCTGCCACAGCAGAGCGTCCTACAGGTGGGACTCCCGGCTGCCAGCCCTGTACCTCGAGCCCAAGCTCTCAGATGCAGCAGCCTCAGAGCTCTAACATATGGGGTTCCTCAGTGTAATGACAGGCACCTCCCCCAGTCATTGTCAACACATCCTAAATGCCAGCAGGCCCATCCATGCACAGATCCCGAGCAAACATTGAAAAACATTCAGAACATGAGAGAGAGGGGCCTGGCTGGCCAAACATAAACAGAAGATCAAGGAATTAAGCAGAACTTAAGATATAAGATGTATCTGGAGTCTCCAGAAAGATCCTAGGAGCTGTCGTGCCCATCAAATGAGGGCGGAATGCCATGACCACGGTCAGAGAGCAAGCGTGTGCTCTGGGATATTAAAAACAGGACTGCTAAAAACATTTCCTAGAACTCTGAAGAGATAAAGTTAAGAATATAATGCCATAAAAAAGGGGAAGAAAGTTGAGACATCAAAGTGTCATTAAAAATGTCTTCAGTCTGACTTAAAAGGAATTTCAGAAAGAGAGAACAGAGATGGTGGCCTCCATGATGAGAAATCATACAGAGACCTTTCCAGAGCTCAAGGACTAAAGTTTCCAAAGAGCCCACCAAGTGCCCAGAACAGTCAATGAACAAAGCCATCCACAGGGAACTTCTCTGGGAAATTGAAACCCCTGAGTCCAGATGGTAGATACTAAACATTTCCAGGAAGAAAAGAAAGGCCACTTACAAAAGTATGAGACTAAAGCAAGTATAAGACTTCTGAATAGTAAGTCTGGATGCTAGAAAACCATAGGACGAGGTCTTCAAAATTCTGAAGGAAAATTACATTCAGCTCCAAATTCTATACCCACTTAAACTATCAATAGGGCACCATGGTTGAATGAAGATATTTTCACCATGTAAGAACTTTGAATGCTTACCTTCCACACAGTTCTTATCAGTAAGGCCCCTGAGGCTTCCCCAGAAAACTGAAGAAATGAGCATTAAGCAGGTCTGAGTACCAGGGAACAGTAAACCCAATCTAGGATGGCCAGAAAAAAGGTCAGTTGCAGAATTATGCAAGGAAGGAGGGTTTGGGAGGAAAACACATCAATTAGAGACAGAGAGGGAAGAGCTCAGGGAAACATGGCTAGAACCAAAGGGGATTTGAGAGAAGGGCTCTGGCCTGGAGTGTTGAGCACGTGGTGGAGATGATAAAGGCCAACAGTGCACAGGAGGATAGCAGGGAAGCAGGCATGAGCCGTGGGGCCCTCTGGAGTCAGCGACCGAGGCAGAAACCCAACCAGTCAGGAGATGAGTCCAACTGGAAACGAAGAACTGAGAAGAGGTGTCTGTGGTGAGAGGACTATGGGGAGTCTGTTGCCACCTTCATACACAGCACCAAGACGAACAAACAGAGGGAAGCAGAGCCCCCAAGCTGTGCACAAGTATCACAAACCTGGACCAATGCCACGGTAACAACAACCCATAAATGAACACGTGCTGCACCAGGAGGCTGCGGGGGCGGGGTTGCAGCGTCGCTGGCTACCACACAAAGCTGAGAGAAGACCGCAAAAACCCACGATGAGTCCAGCGTCCCACATTTTATTTTCCTTAACCTGAAAGTGACATTTAGAAATGAATTTCTCTTTTGGTGAAGAAACATTTATCTGAATTCAGCAATTCCTTCTGTTTTACTTTGGTTTCTTCTTAAAAAAAGAAAAAAATCAACAATTCAAAAGCTGCAGGCATCCCTTGATTCCATATTTATATTTGCTTCTGATGGTGTGTCTGTCTGTCTGCCCACTCATTCATCTACTCACTCACACATCCATTGTCTGGCCACCCACCTACCCACCCACCTACCCACCCCTCCATCCATCCATTCCTCCATTCCTCCATTTATCCATCCCTCCTTCCCTCCCTCCCTCCATCTCTGCATCTATTTCTCTGTCTCTCCATGCATCCATATATCCATCCATCCTTCCATCTGTCCACCCATCTATTCACCCATCTACCCACCCATTGTCCATGTGTTCATCCATCCATCCATTTATCCCTCCCCTAATCCTCCATACAACAATCTGTCCATCCATTAATCTGCCCATGTATCTAACCATCCTTTTTCTATGCAACATACAGAGAAGCGTCTGGAATGCTGCTCTCCTCACACTAAGGATGGGTATTTCTAGGATAACAAGGGGTATCCTAGGGAAAGGGGGCATGGTCATGAAGGTATTTACCTTTCATTTCAGACCTTTCTGTACTGTTGGAATTTTCTAGAAATTCAAATAGAACCAAGATTATCAATCAATCAATCACTCAATCAACCAACCTACCTGAGGACTCCCATTTAAAAAATTAATGATAGTTCTCTGTGGAGATATTATGGTCCTCTTTTGTTTTCTTCTCTGCTCAGTTCTGCATCAGAGCCTATTAATAGCAACTCTGAATGCTATTTTCAAATGCCCCTCCCTCGGAGGTCTTCCCTGACCACCCCTGTTCCTCTCCGGCACAGTGCCCTGCTTTGCTCCTGCACAGTAATTTTCCTGGTCTGTAATTACATGGTATATTTTTGACCGGGGTAGCTCTGTGATGCCAGGACCGAGTTCTAGCCCATCCCCGTAACACCTCCATTATCTTCCACTGGGATATCGCAGGGGCTTGGTGGGTGCTGGGGGAGGGCTGGAAGGCGGGCCAGCCTGGATGGGTTCACCCTCAATGCCCTGGGCAGATGGCATCAGATCTTGGTCTGGTGCTTGGCAGTGGGCAGGGAAAATAAGCCCACAGGGTGCCCAAGTGGTGCCCACAGTGGTGTCCATGAGAGGGGCGGGAAGCAGCCGCCTTCACTTGCCACGTGCCGGGCACTGGGCCAGGTGCTCAGTGGGGAGGGCTCCAGGTACCACCGGCCCTGCCCCCAGAGAGACCGTTCCTGTCTCATCCTTACAGATGTGGAAACCGAGGCTCCAGGAGGCTGTGCAAGGTGCCCAAACTTGGCCTTCTCTACCGCTGCTTCCCTCATGCTGCAGCCAGGGCTTGTCAGGGGCAGCCTCAAGTTGGTGACCGGATTGGGGGCCAGGAGGCATGGTGGGCAGGGAAGGTGGCCACTGGAGTATCGTGATGGGGGAAAGAGGCAGAGAGAGGTCGGAAGAGGCCGGTAGGTGGGAGGAAGTCAGGGAGGAGAGTGCGGGAAAGGCAGGCAGCTCGGGTGGGTGGGGAGGAGGCTGAGGGAAGGGGGGCCCTGGAGGGGGTGGGGGTGCCCCTCGCCCGCCTGTGCCCACCGCCGGCTGTCCTGGCGCGGGTTGCGGAGGCACTGGGCGGGAAGGCCTGGTAGGCTGGGCCCGAGGAGGGCCCGGCCCGGGAGTGTTCCGAGGAGGGATTTATTAGTGAAACAAAAGCATATTTTTCAGCAGGACTGTTTGTTCAGTTACCTCATGACATCGCGCTGGCCCCGGGCCCGGAGTGGGGGGGCGAGGAGGCCCAGTGCAGCGACCGCGGGCGGCACAGTCCCGCTCTCCATGGAGGGTCCCCTCCCGGCCTTATCTGGTCCCGGACATCAAAGCGGGGGCTTTTCATAAGCGAATTAAAATAGCACACAAACAGCACAGGGCTGGGAAGACCCCGGGCCAATTAGCTTCCAGCAGAATAGGAGGCCTTTCAGAGCCGGCCACGTTCGAGGCGTCGCTGCGGCTTGTCAGGCTCGATGAAATATTTTGCCCAAAGCTCATTATAATAATGAACCTGCATTTCTTTCCTCAAGAGAATAATTAGCAGACTTCCAAACGGGCTAAAGCAGCCATTTAAACACTGCCCCTTCATCGTCCCATTTACTTCATTCTGTGACAAGGAAACACTGGCGCCTTCCGAAAGAGCCGAGACTCCCAGCACCCTCCCTGCACGGTCACAGACTGTGGGGCCTGCAGAGAGGGGCTACGCCCCAGCCCCAGGGACCCCGCCCAACCTGTCACCCCTCCCCATGCCCCCGCTGGTGCTGTCCCGGTGGTGCCGTCCCTCTCGGGCTGGCCTGAGAGTGGAGAAGCAGAGGCCTTTGTGTGTCACCGGAGCCAGCACGCAAGCCAGGCTTTTACTGTCTCTGGGGGCACGCTATTCTCTCAGGGCACAAGAGAGGGGCGGGGAGGGGTCAGGTGGGGGCCACCCTCAAGGGAAACCTGAGCCCGAACGTACTCCCGGGCAGTGGTCTGGTACAGCTGAGCCTCTGATGATGCCCACGGAGAGAATGAATGGGGATCCCCCAGGACAGGTGGAAGATGGAGCTGGGGGCTGAGCAGGTTAGAGAAGGGTTACCTGCAGCCTCCTCGGAAAGCAGACACGGCCCAGCTGCTCGGTGGGGAGCACAGACAGGTTACCTGGTGCCTAGCCACTGGCACAACCGGGGTAAGGAAGAGGCAAGCCTGCGTTACACAGCCCAAGGCGGGTCGCCTACCCTCCCACATGGCTGGCACCACAGACAAGGAAGCCAGGCTTCACTGGGCACAGTGGCCCATGTGGCCCCAGGCAGGCTGGGAAGGACAGACAAATTACGGAGGGGCTAGCGTCCTCAGCAGGGAAGTCCCCTTGCTGCCTCCCTGCGTACCTCCCTCCCTTCCTCTCTCCCTCCCCTCTCTTCTTCCTCACTCCACATTGATTGTTTACTCTTTTTCTGTTATGGAGGTAAGAACCACTTACGGGAGAAATTTTGAAAAATATGAAAAAATCTGTTTCAAAAACATATCTCTAAGTCCACCCTCCAGAGACACGTTTCCGGGCATTTTCTGTAAGGTGATGTTTTGGGCACCACCTCCCACCCCAGAAACTGGGACCATGTTTGTCTCCAGTAACCTTGTACATGGGGCATTTTCCTGGGTCACTGAGGGATGACTGAAAGCTGCATAATTGTCCCTAATGTGCATAACAAGAACCAACATCCCGCAAATGCTGCACATGCGGTCTGTTTCCAATTTCTCACTATTATAAATAAGGCTGTGATTAGCTTGTTTGTGCATAACTCTGATTTGTTCTTTAGGGAGAGAATCCTGGAAGGAGGATTATGAGGTCAAGGGGGGAGGAATGTTTTTTAATCCCCGTGATACGTGTCATCAGAGCGATTTCTGGAGCAGGGAACCGGCTCATACTTCCATTTCTCCTCGGCTTCCCCAGCACGGAAGACCACACAATTAGGTTCATTTCTGCATCTTGCGTCTCTTCACTGAAACTCTTAGAGCAAGGGCTAGCACGCTTTTCTCTAAAGGGCCAGAGAGTAAATCGTTCTGGCTTCGTTGGTCACACGATCTCTGTTACAACGACTCAACTCTGCCAAGGTGGTGTAAGGTTAGCCAGGGACGATGTGTCCACCGGTGGGCGTGGCTATGTGCTATTAAAACTTTATTTACAAAAACAGGCAGCGGGGCCAGATGAGGCCCCAAGTCCACCTTACAGGATGAGTGCAGTGAGGACCTTCAGATCCTTTTGTAAATTGTCTTTCTAGTTCTTTGCCTGCTTTCCTACTGCGGGGCGAGTGCTTTTCTCATAGATTTGAGTTTTCACTTGCAAAATGTCGTCCCTCTCCGTCGTCGGCTGCAGTTTTCTCCCCAGCTTGCTGTCTGGTAGCAGCTTTGGGCAGGCAGGGAGGGGCCCTGTGCAGCTGCAGCCTTTGCTCTCCCCAGCCAGGCTGGAGCTGGGGGAAAGGCTCTGTGACCTGGGTCCCCAGCGGCCTGTGAACCACCCCTGCGTCTTCTAGAGACAAAGCCCTTGCTTCCGGCTCTCAGCCTCATCTCCACGTCTGGCTCAGCCTGACCCGCTGACACACCAGAGGGCTTGTCCGGCAGCTGCCCATGGGCAGAAACTCAGGCCCGGGATGGCCAGACACTCTTCCTGGTTTTGTTTTCAAACTGCTTCATTTTTACCCCGGGGGCCTCATTGCCTGTGGAACTCTGCCGTCCCTGTCAGCATTGTATCTGACTGTGGTGCTGCCTCTCCCTGACCACATGTGTTGTCACATGTTCCGGTGACCTGAGCCAGGTGGCCTGGGACAAATCCCAGCTGGCAACTGTGGGCCCGTGCCTCAGTCTCCTCATACACAAAATGGGATGAACAGCAGCATCAGTTTCATGGTGGGGACACATATTTCCAGCAGCTCCAGACGCTGGGTGTGGGCGCAGGGGAAGGCCTTGGTGTCGCCTCCGTCTGCAAGGCTCATCCTGTGCCAAGGGCCAGGAGAGTGTGGAGAATGGTGGCTGCAGCTTCACGCTGGGCAGTGCAACCCCACTCGTTAGCTTTTGCCTTTAGAAATATCAGCTATTTTCACCTCTTTATGCTTCTATATGAGCCCTGGAACCACTCTGTCAAGTTAGAAATTTCAGTGATGCTCTCCACAAACCCACAGACAAAACTGGGGTGACACCCAGCCCTCTGAGGGGAGCAGCCGGCTCTGTTCCGGCCTCCATCCCTCCCTCCCCTCATCTCTCCCAGCACCGTCAATACAGCCTTGTTTCTGCCCAGGGCGGCGGGGTTCTAGTTCACAGATGGGCTTGACCAGGCGGCCTGCATTCAGATCTCAGCTCTACCACTGAGTTGGGTGACTTGGTGGCAGTGGAGTATTTTGTGCCTCAGTTTCCCTTCTGCAAAATGACGTTGCAGGAGGCCTGTGCTTGCTGATGTGCCGAGGCATTTGCAGGGCTCGGTGGAGAGCAGGCACGTGGCATGGGTGGTGTGGGAGCTGGTGCACAGCATGGGTGAACTGCAGTTGTTTCTGGCCCTGTGAATATTGCTGCCTCTGTATCTTCTAATGGGCTACTGGGCGCTGTAGAGAATCCAGTGGGTCCCTGCAGCACTTCCTAAGAAAATGCAGAAGGAGCTCCAGGCTCCTCCCCGTGTGGTTCACCCGCCATCCCGTCCTTTCCCCTCTGCCTTCGACTCCCCGATACCTTCCGCTGCAGTTGGGGCTGCGGCCACATGCTGGCCAAGGCTCTGTGTGAGCCGAGTGGGATCTGCCAGGTGGCTGGAGCAGGTGGCAGAGGCGGCCCCATCCAATGGCTGGTGTGGGGTGTCCTGAGTACCTGAGTGTGCATAAAAGCTGACCCTGGGGTCCATGGGCATAGCAGGGTGGGAGCTGGTGGGCCCGAGGTGGGGATGAGAGGGGAGGAGGGAAGTGGGGAGAGGATCAGGGAGTGCTTCTGAGAGGCCAGGAGAAAGAAGGGCACAGGAGCTCCCTGGCAAGTCTGGGCAGGCCACAGCCCTGGGCATTTGGGGGACAGGCTGGGGGTGGGCAGGCTGGGGCAGGCCGGGACCTGGAGATGGGGCTGCAGACGGTACAGGCCTAGGCTTGTGTCCCCAGTCCTGGCGGGCTCCACTGAAGCCCCATCACCCCCAGCTCTGCCAGTGCCTGCAGGGAGAAAGGGCGAGGTTTGGGAACAACTGGCTCCTGCTCCCCATCACACCACCTGGGTACCCCTAAAGCTCCTGGGAACACAGGTGCATTCTCCAGAGCCCAGAAGGCACCGTGGTCTGGAGGGAATATCATTCTACACACACCATGGGAACTCTGCCACATCCTCCAAGCCCCATCCCCACCTCGCCGAGTCCTGCCACCGTCCAGGCTGACCTGGGCCCCCAGGAAGCCCTTGCTGACTCCGGGGCCCTATTTTTTCCTGACTAGGGGCGAGTCCTTGGGAGGATGCTCCAGACAGTCCCAGGGTCTTCTGGCAAAGCCATGGCAGGTCCTCCAGCAAAGCCAGGGCGGTTCCTGGGTGCCCGTGGGGGGGGGGGCCCGGCTGGGTTTTCTGGGCTACCCTGAGCCCCTTGCTCACTCTGCCCCTCACCATTGACTCCCGTGGCCTTCCGGCTGATGGGCACTCCCATCCTGCCACCTTCCCTTCATGTCACCTCCTGCTCTGAGAGAGTGGCCAGGGCCAGCTCCTCTGGGTGGCGAAGTGGAGCTGAGGGGTTGCCCTGTGGTGGCCAGGGCACTGTCTAGCCCACCTCCCTGGCTGGCCGGTCTGGCCTTTGCAGGTAGCGCTGTAGGGTCTGCTGGGGCTGGGGGCTTCTGGACTCTGAGTGGGGAAATGCTCAGGGAACGTCCAAGGGTGGGTGGCCACTCAGCTTCCCCATTCCGGGACTGTGAGGTGAAGGGCTGGGAGCATGCAGTGGCTTCTCCCCTCTAGCTCGCAGTCTTCAGGAGACAACCCCGCCCTGCAAACGCCTCCTTCCTGGACCCAGCCCCTCTGTTCCCCAGTGAGTGTCATCTAGGGGTTTGACCGGGAGAATGAGCATCTGCTGGGCCTCTTGCCACTAAGCCTTGGGGTCTGGCCCTATACCCTGGGGACCCAGGAGGCACTAGGCTGGCTCCTGAGAGGCAGGGTGGCTGCCAGAGCCACGGTCCCCAGAGAGCAGAACTTTATGAGAGGGCACTGAGCCAAGGCCCCCAGCTCCTGGAGTCTCCAGGGGGCTTAATTAATAGACATTGGGCAGGCCCATGAAGGGCTGCCTGCGCCCGAGGATGGCACATTCCAGGGCAGGCTCCCCGCTGCCTCAGTGGCCCCCTTGGGATGACAGTTAATACTGGTGAGGGCTGGGAGGCTGTGCTGGTGGCCCCAGTGCTGCCGGCTGGCGACAGGGCCGGAGCCAGGGCTAAACCCCTGTCCTGCTGCCCTCAAAGCCAGCTCTGTCACTGTGAGGACAGAGGCGACAGCTCACAGACCAGGTGGGCTTCGCATTGTCAGAAGGCGGGTGTGGCTGAAGCTGGGCACCCTGTGGCCTCCCCCTGCCTGACCCCTGGAAAAGCGGAGTGGAGGGTGGATGGGCCCCAACACCCTCAGCACGTCCTGGGCCGGTGTGAGTCTGGGTGAATGTGCCCACCGCGCCCCGCTCCGCAGCTGGCGAAATCGCCTCCAGCCACAGAGAATACAAAGCTCCCCCAACACCCTACTGGAGGCAAAGACCCCAGACCCTGCTCTGGCTTTTTCTGTGCTTGGGCCTGCCCGGGGCTCCAGCCTTCTGAGGTCTGTGCTGCCAAGAAGAGCAAGGGAGGAGGCAGTGTTAACCCAGGGGCTGCGGGGACACCATCCCTGTCACTGCTGGTCTTCCCTGGCGCAGGCAGTGGGCGTGGCCCTGAGAGGCAAGGACACCCCCGCAACAAGCTCTCCCCTCCCTCACTTCCTGCCCTTCAGCATGCAGTGGGGGCATCTCCCCAGGCTCCAGTGGCCCGACGGAGGACTTGTGTTATGAACTGAACTGTGCCCTCCTAAATTCACATGTTGAAGCCCTAATCCCCAATGTGACTGTGTTTGGAGACGAGGCCTTTAGGAGGTGATAAATATTAAAGGAGACTGTGAAGGCAGGGCCTTGGTCCCATAGGACTCACGTCTTTGCAAGAGAAGGCGGCAGCACCAGGGATGTGTAAGCACAGAGGAAGGGCCCAGCCTATGAGCCAGGAAGAGGGCCCTCACCAGGAGCCGACCCTTCCACAACCTTGCTCTCGGACTTCCAGCCTCCAGAACTGTGAGGAATAAATTTCTCTCACCTAAGTCCCCTGGTCTGAAGCCTTTGCTGCTGAGCCAGCTGATACGACTGGCCAGCAGGAAGCTGGAGAGCTAGAGGGGACTGCAAGGGCAGGTGAGTGCCCGCCCCTACAGGCACAGGGCAGGGTCCGGCACCCCGAGTGGGTCAGAAGCCAGTCCACCTACAGACAGCTCCACGTGACAGCCATGGAGCCCAGTATCCTGTTGGAACTGGGGAGCCTCTAGGGGGCTGGTCTGTGCAAAGAGTGGACCCACTCCAAACCTGACTGCACTCTACCCTTCCACCATCTCTAGTCTGTCTGGGCCACCAGCACCCCAGGAGCCACTGCCTGGCCCTGCCCCAGCCCTGCACCCACCTCCATTGCTTCTGTCACCAGCTCTGGCACCTCCCATTACCAGTGTCCCCACCCTGGGCACACCTGGTCTCCTGCCTCCCCATGCCTTCTGGAACATTCTCTAGAATGGGCTCTGAGACCCTGTCCTCATGAGTGCCTGCCAGCCACACCTTCTCCTCCTGCCCCAGCGCCATCCTGTTCTCTGCTCTTACCATAGCTGAATTCTCCCATAACTTGGGGAATGGTGACGGCAGATGGTCACTGAGTGGACAGCACCTGCTCTTCTCCGTGCTCAATGGGGATCTCCTGAACCCCCGCAAGCATGTCCCCATTTTAGGGTTGAAGAAACTGAGTCACAGAGAGGCTATGTGTGGTGCCCAGATTTACACAATGATAAGCTGGGCGTTGGACCTTGGCATCAAAACCCTTTCCACTTCAAGCTTGGAACCTTCACGGCCACAGCTGCTCTGGCCCCCGGTTCTGTAAACGCCACCTCAATCCTGTGCGGGACCCAGGCCCCTTCCCCCACTCCCTGGGCCCTACACAGCCTCAGAGCAGGCAAAGTGGGGAGGGCTGCAGCTGGGAGTACCCAGGTTTGGGCCGAGGTGAGGCAAGTGGGGTGGGGAAGAAAGAGGCTACAAAGCTGGCAGGGGCTGGGAGTGGTTCCAAGGACAGCCCAGGGGTCTGGGCTCAGCTGCCTGCACTGAGGCGCTGGAAACCTCCTCTATAGCCTCTGCCCAGTAGGAAGCAGGAACGGCTGTCAGCCCCCTCTTTGCAGGGTTACCCTGCTGGGGGAGGCCTCTGTCCCTCCCACACCCTCAGGCCACTGGGATGGAGCAGGAAGTGGCTTTATTCCCTTCTTGAAGGTGGCGGGAAAGGATCCCAGATCTGTGACCTCCTGGCCTTTTGGGTGGGGCTGTGGGCTCTGGAGACAGGGCAGGGTCAGAGCCCTGGGAACTGTGGACGTCTGCATCTGCTCACAGCCCCCAGGTCCCAGCAGCCTTATCGGAGCCCTTGGCTGGGAGCCTGGAGACCTGAGGGTGGCTGAGCCGGCACCATGCTTCTACCCCACCCTTAGGCAGCTACCCAGGCCTCTCCGGACCTCAGTTCTGCATCTTCAAAATGGGGTCGCCCAGGTAGACATGAGGACTGACGGGCAGGCGTGGGACACTTGGAGCTCAGGAGGGCAGGCACCGAAAACACACACCCTCTGTGCTGTGACTGGAACCCCCCATGCAGCCTGCCGACTCATTTCCACTCTGTACAACTCTACTGAGAAGCTCCTCTAAATGTTCCCGATTCCAACCCAGAAATTCTGCTCCTGGCAAATCAAACACAAGGGAAAAATGCAGAGGAGGGTATTTGCTGTAACAGGATGGAGAACGGTGACTACCTGCAGACAGCACAGATGCTGCTCCCTGGACACCGAGTGCACGAGCCCCTTGGAACTTCCCTTTGGCTGTCTTGGATACAACATATACACACCACACTCACACACACAAACACCACACACACGATACATGCAGACACAACACACACCACACTCACACGTAGAAGACACACCACATACAACAAAACACACACACTGCCCTCACATACAAACACACCACACCACACATGCCAACACACACTGTGTCCAGGCATGCAAGCATGCTACACACCACACCACACACACACACACACACACACACACTCGAACTTACAGCTACAGAAGTTAAACATCACATTCCACTTCAGTCCATTCCAAAGAGCGCTGGTTGTCACCACAACAGTGACCTCCTGGCCCACCATGGATGGACAGCCACATGGAATCTGAGCACCACCGCCCCCGTGGTCCGGCCCCTGCCTGCCTCTGAGAGTTTCTCTCCTGCGCTGCTCTCTCACTCACTTTGATGCAGACACACTGGCTCCCTTTCTGTTCCAGGCACGTGCCTGTCCCAGGTCCTTTGCTTTGCCCCTCGCCAGCTGGTGTCCTCTTCCTAGTTACCCAAGGGAGCTGCTTTGTCCTCCTTTGAAGGTGCCTGTTTAGATTTCACCTGCCAGGTAAGTGCCGCCTGACCACCTGCATTCTTGTCTAATGTCCCCTTCCTCGTGGGTACCCTTCACGCGGGTACCCTCTGCTCTCCTTCCTCTTCTTCCTCTCCTTCCCCCGTCCTGTTCCTGCTCCTCCAGCCCCTTCCCCTGTCCCAAATTAGGCAAATGTACATGCATAGATCAACCCAGCCCTGAGCCACAGAGGCGAGAGTTCAAACAACGCGACCAATTTATAAACAATTTTCTCTGCTACGATTAAGTTACATTTTCCCCAATAGCTGCTTCATTTTCTTGTCAAAAATACACAGTTTTCACATTTGTCTCGCTGCAAGGGTAATTAATTTCCAGACCATAAGTAAGAACTTAATTTGATACCTGCAAGGATTATAAACTATTTCAAGCTGTTGTTTACACGAAATCAAGAAAATTCGTTCTGTTTGCAATTATGTTAATGAGGAAATAGAGTGGGTATTTTTTTTTTTTTTCAGGGAACTCGGCATAATTTTGCCATCACCAATGAATTAGTTTAAAAACGTCTGCTGCTGCTGCCGCAAACCCCTCTACAGCTGTTTTTGAGGTGACCCCAGTAAGGAGGCCCCCCAGACGGCTGAGGATCCCAAGGAAGGCTTTTGTGGGAACGGCTCAGATGACCATGGGCAGGTGAGTTCTGAGGACTGGGCACAACCCCAGGTGGTTGGCAACTAGCTAGGTCTGCAGGTGGGGCTGAGGAGTCTTCTTCAAGCCCTCCTGATGCCAAGCCGAAAGGTGACCAGGAGGGGAAGGGTGGTTGGGAACCCAGGGCGTGGACGGTCCAGCCCCTTCCTCTTGGACAGCCATTCCTGGGCCCTGGGCTGCCATGTGGGTTTGCACCATGCAGGCTTGCTTGGGCCTGGGCCACAAGTGGGGGCACTGAGGGTGGGAAAAGGGGCTGCTCTCAGGGTTGAGGAGAGACACCCCTAACTCAAGACTCAGTATTGTCCCAAGGCCGCTGTGGATGGCTGTGCAATTGGGTCCCCTGTGAGGGTGAGAGGGCTGAACTTGGCCTGGAAAGGGGCTGCATCTGCCCACCGCGGTGCCCTGGGTTGGCCATGACCCTGAGCAGCCTGGGCTGCCTGGGCCAACCTGGAGGCTGGCACAGTACGCAGGGCAGGTGCCCAAAGGGAAGAGGTATCCCCTGTGCCTGGGGGAACCGGCTGGCTTCACAGGATGGGACACTCAAGCTGGGTGCCGAAGGCCATGTGGTCAGGGTGAGGCAGGCTCCCAGGGGAGGGAGTGCAGGCACAAGCAGGGGGCTGTAAAAAGGTCCCGCACACCTGAGAAGGGGCAGAATGGAGGAAGTACGGGGCCCGGGGGAGGAGGAGGGGCCAGACTACACTGTAAAGGGCCCTGCTGCACAGAGAAGGCAAAGAACCTTCAAGACATACAAGAAGGCGGTCAGATGCTAGTGGGGAAAGGGCCCTCGAGCTCCGGAGCAAGGGTGGTGGGTACGCAGGGGCAGGTGGCCAGGAGGTGCAGGGCTGGTACAGCCACGGGAGTCTGCGGGGTTTTGGAAGGTCTGCTAGGAAGAGGCCAGCCCAGCCCGACCTTGATGACACAGCAGCTGGAGCTGGCATCGCTGAGAGCCCAAGGAAAGGTTGTCTTCAGCCTCCTGGCCCCGTCAGGCACACCTCTGGCTGCCCAGTGGGGGACGCACAGCATGAGGACTCATTCGCGATGTGACCGCTTGGTCTGCAGGCAGGTTGGGGCCCGTTCCTGGCTGGCTGTCTCTGGGGAGCTGGGAGCTGGGGGCTGGGGCCAGCGCTGCCCGGCCTCTCCGTGGCCCAGCCCCCAGCACTGTCCTCCTCTTCACAGGGCCTCCCCCCCGCCACCCCCCCAGGTCTGCCCGGAGCGGCCGGCATCGAGGCTCTGGGCCGAGTCCTCGTAAATCCTGGGGTGCTGGAGACAGCCCAGGTGAGGCCGTGAACAATGCCCCGTTGTGGCCCCGTGGGGACGGTTTGCCGCCACTTGCCACCAGCCCATACGTTGTAAAATCTCTCCCCACGGATCTAATTTCGCCTCTCTGGCCCTTGGGGGGTTAGGCCCGGGACAGGCACAGTCTCACTCCACACAGAAACCATTTACGGTCGGGATAAAGGCGGCCTTTATTGGCACCGAATGGCGAACGTTTCCCTGCCCCATCGTTTTCTCACCGCCACATCTGTCAGGTGGCGCAGGAGGGACGGCGCAGCAGTGGGGGCTTGTGTGGGGACAAGGACAGGCCGAGAGCCGCTGCCGCCGGGAAGAATGGCTCCCAGTCTCTGTCTTCCTGGGAAACCCACGAGGTCTTCCTGGGTCTGTCCACCGCCTGCACCTCAGTGGGCCCATTATCTTCAGGCCCAGCTCTGACGCAGGGAGACACGGCCCCGAGGGGCTGAGTGGGCAGGAACCTGGACACAGGCCCCTTCGGGGCACGTTTTCCTTCCCCATGGAGAGGGTGTGTCGGGGTGTGAGAGTGAGGAAATGAGGACTACTTCTCAGGCCCCATGATAGGCCTGGGTCGGCAGTGGGAGGCCTCGCCTGGTCTCGGGGTATAAAGGCTGAAGGTGGAAGGGTGCTGGGAAGATCCGGGAGAGGAAAGCGATGGGTGCTTCCTGCCACCCTGCCATCAATGCCCAGGGTCCTCCATGCTCCTCAGTTTGGGAGGAGCCGTGAGAACTGACGTGGCCGCCTTGGCCTTAGCCAGGCGGTGATCTCAAACAGAGCTTCATCAGCACTGTGGCTGCCATGGGGCAGCGTCACCTGGCAGGGGGCCAGGGGCCGTGCTGGCTTCTGGTGGGACATGGAATGATTTCAGGTGGTGTCCGAATAGTCCCTGTGTATTTTGGTATTTACATTTATGTTTTCATGCATGCCGGGAGGAAGTGCATTGCGCCATAAGCCAATGGTTTCACACGTGTCGGTTCTAGGCTGCTGCAGTAGAAGTACTTAACGGGCACCAAGCACGGTGGGTTCAAGAAAACGTCATCTAAGAAATGTCGGTGGCTCTCAGATGTGGAAAAACACAAAGGGTGTCCCTGTGTGAGTGGGGCAGGGGGCCAAAGGCCGGTCTCACCTGGGGAGGGGCCTCCATCTCCAAGCCCTGTGCAAGGGGTTGGCCACACTTACCCCCTGTTCCCCCGGCCCCCGCCCCATGGGACCCCTGCTTGTGGAGGCACTCAGGGGATGAGAGCTGGAGAGACTCCAGGGCAAGGAACCCGTGGGGTTCCTCATGGACCCGGGGAAAGGCAGGGTCCCGCCAAGTTTGTGGAGCAGAAAAATATTGTTTCTTGCAAAATGGCAGGGAAGAGTTGGCGGGATCTGTAGCTGGGGGCTGGGTGTCACCATGGCAACGGAAAGCCAGAAGCTGGCAGAATTAGGGGCGGGCTTCTGATTTCTAGGGATGCTGGCCAAACCCCAGGTGAGCCCCAGTGGGTGTGGGGTAGGGTGGTTTAGATCAGGGGCCTGCTCAAGCCAGGCTGGGTTGGGGGAAGCTCCGTGGGGCCCACTCTGGGCCCAAGCATGACTGTGTCTTTAGCAATTGCTCTGTGACTGGGTGTCAGTTTGGAGGAGGAGGAGCCCCTCGGCTCACAGCTCAGGCTCTTTTTGCTCCAGAACTTCACCTTTAGGGAAAGAGAGAAACGAAGTGGGATACACAAGACAGGTCACCTGAGACCCTGGGGCCCTGTCCGTGGCCTCCCCAGACATGGGTGCAGTGCCCCAACTGCAGGTCTGGCAGCAGCAGGGACTGCTCTGAGCTCCAGCCCGAGGCGAAGGCCTCCAGTTCATAGCCACCACTCCTACCTCATCCCTACAGCACCCGAGAGGTCGGGGGTAGGGGAGGCGAGATGCGGAGACTGACGCAGCGGAAGGTCAAGTGATGCCCTGGCTTCTTGGCTGCTGTGGGGTGGAGCTGAGTGGGACGTGGGAGGAGGTGGCGAGTTAGATGGGAAGACCCCTTGGACCCCCGCCAACCACAGGCAGAGGACCCTCTGAGTCATCAAACTCAGGTCTTGACTGTGCTGCCTGCTTGCCTTCCTCCCCGCACAGCTTCTGGGGGTGTGATGAGCTATACCCACTCTAGGCTGGGCCTGGTCTCTGTACATTGGTCCCCACTGGTGGCATCTTGCTTTCAAGAGACAAGGTAATCTGTGGACCTCCCGTCTTTCCCTCCGCTAGGGAGAGCAAACTTGGGAAGAACAGGTATGTGGTTCTGGGTGGTGGCTTCAGAGCTGAAGCTGAAAGTGGGAGATGGGGGCCAGAGGGGTCCTCCAGGCTCAGGCTCTCTTGCTGGGTCCAGTCCAGCCCAGCAGAACTTGTGCCTCCTCCAGGACACCCTCACCTGGGAAGGCGGTGTACTCCCTGACGCCCCTCCATGCGGCATCTGCTCCCCGCTAATCTGTGAACACACATGCATCACATCTTTGTGTCTTTAAGGTCCAGCATCTTTGGGGGCCCGGCTGGGCTCAGGGCTGAGTCACATGAGCCTGCTTCTCCCCTGTGCCGCCCCTGACCACGGCCTCCCCAAGGCTTCCCTCACTGCCTTCCCATCTCTCTCACTCCCCCATCTTCTTCCTCTTTTCTTTTCCACTTGATCTCTAAGCACTGGGGTTTTGGTTGCCTGCCAAGTCCAAATACAGCTCCAGACCCTCCTGACCCTCCTACCTCAGCACCCCTCCGAGCAAAGCATCCCCACGTGGGGGCTCACAGCAGAAGCTCGGGGTCCTTCTCCAACCTTTCTCCCCTCAGTCTGCTTGTTCTCATCGGTGGGGCTGGCAGACTGGGGGCTGGCCCCAAGGCCTCCACCCTAGTCCAAAGTGCTGATGCTCTCCCTCATCCCACAGCAGCCCCTCACCACTCCTGGAACTGCATCCTCACCTGCCTGTAACCCTCCTCCCACGAAGCCGGAGCCACCCCTGGATCCTTGGCCCGGCCGGGCCATCCCTCGCTCACCAGCTCTGCCTCACCTGCTCTCATGGCCTCAGGAGGATGTGCCCTCGTGCCCTAGGGCCTTTGCAAGGCTGCACACACTGGACACTCTTCCACCCTGTGTCACCCTCCTCCTCCTCACTCACTCCTGGTTGGCTCTGGGCTCCTGACTCCACTGACTGGGAAAACCGAGTACTTTCTCCTTCACACAGACAGATATGTAATTACGGGTCACTATGTGCGTCCCCCTGCCCAGCCATGGGGCTGTACATTCTAAGGAGCAGGGGCCAGCCCACCCTACTCACACTGCAGCCCCAGGCAGTGGCACAAGGTGAATGAATAAATGCCCACAGTGCTTCAGAAGGATTCCTTTGCTTTTTTCCTTTCTGCTCCTTGTGACTTCTGGTCCCTCCATCCCTCCAGAAGGGCCTCAGTTAAAAAAAAAATACTTCTTACTTTTATTTTTAGAGATAGGATCTCACTGTGTTGCCCAGGCTAGAGTGCAGTGGTGTGATCATGGCTCACTGCAGCCTTGAACTCCTGGGCTCAAGCGATTCTTCTAACTCAGCCTGCTGAGCAGCCGGGACCACAGGCACACACCATCACGCTTGGCTAATTTTTTATTTTTATTTTCATAGAGACAGGGTCTCGCTATGTTGCCCAGGGTGGTCGTGAACTCCTGGCCTCAAGCCATCCCCCCGTCTTGGCCTCCTAAAGAGCTGGGATTACAGGTGTGAGCCACTGTGCCCAGCCTCAGTTTTGAGGATATTCCTGGGTTCTGGAGAAAGCTCGGAGCCCTCACATGACCCTGCTAGTGCAATTTCCACCCGTTATTGGATATGGTCCCTCTCAGTAAGAGGGGCTATCACAGAGCCTTAGAACAAGAGCCCTTGTGTTTGTCGGGTGCACCCAGGCGGGCCCTGCCTGATGCCCATGAGGCTGAACCCATTTGTAGCCCAGCGAGGATGGGTGGCCAGGTAGCATGAGTCACCCAGGCATCAGCATCTCCTCAGCAGCTCCTGCCCTGACGGGGTGTTCACCCTGCTGGACAAGCATCCCTTTGCGGGCAGCAGACAGGCAGCCACCTTGCCGCCCACACAGATGGCTCTTGTGTGCCTGACCTGCGGCTCCCGGGGGGCGGGGAAGAGAGGGGGTGCTGTGCACTTTGACACCTATGTGGGGGACTGGGGGCAGGGAGGGGGCGAGGGGCAGGGGGCTGCGTGCTGGCCCCGCTGTCAGGCTCACCTTACTCGGCTAATCCTGAACGTGCAAGAACAATGCTGCCAAAGCCATGAGCTGGATCTCAGCCCTCCGGGGCCCCAAGCCCCCATCTCCTCTAATTGAGGCCTCACAGGGTGGTCTGCGCCCCCAGGCTCCCCCTTGTCCGTGGCTCTGGCCAGTGCCTCCTGCTGTTGCCAAGGTGGTCCAGGCACTGCCTCAGCCCGCACCCCACAACCGCTGTGCCCTCCGCCCAGAACGCTCTTCCTCTAGATATCCATAGGATGCGCTCCCTCACCCGCACAGACCTTTTCCTGGCAGCCCGCACACCCTGCAACCTCTTCTTGAAAGGCCTGGGTCTGACCTGAGGGAGAGAGTTTCTCTTGGGCAGAGGGAGGGGTCACGGCCCCGTCCCTCCTATCCACCTGGCGCTTTCCACCTTCCTGAGAGCAGAGGCCACTGTAAAAGGGACCGTGTGCTGGGGGTTTTCTGGGTGCTGGACTTGTGGGCACACACCCCATCCACTCCTGCCTGGTCCACACACTGGCTGCTGTTTCACAGACAAAGATCTGGCGGCCAGAGGGGCTCCAGGTTTGAGAAGGGCCCTCAAAGGAGCAGCCCCTTCCTATTGCTGCAGCGTCTTCCACACGTGGAGAGGGGTTCAGGCCCACGCTGCTCTGGGCCTGCAGGGCCACCCCCTGGAGGCCGCGGGAGTGCGGGAGGGGACGCCGGGCCTGCAGGGGTGGCGGAGGGACCCGGGAAGGCATGAATGGAAGCGCCGGACCAGGGCGGGAAGCAGCGGACGCGGAACGGGGTGGGGAGGGCTCAGGTTGCCAACCCAAACAGCCCAGCGCGCCTCGGCCCCGTGTTTAATCCACAAAAATTTCCATCTGCCTCTGGAGCACTCGGAACCCGGGCAACGAAAGGCTGTTCGCGCGGCAAAGTAAACACCGGCTCCGTGCAGGGACGGCCGTGCGCCGCGTCAGCCATTTTGTGGACGCCACCGTCCAAAGTGAGGCGGAAGCCCCCACCTGCGGGCTCGGAGCCAGGGCAGGAAGCCGGTCCCACCGCCCGGAGCGGCGCGGCGAGGACCTGGGCATCCACCTGCCGCCAGCGCCACCTCTGACCTGGGGCCAGAACCCGAGCCCGGGAGGCCCGGGCCCCCCACCCCCACCCGCAGCTGCCGCCAAGCCCCCGCACAACCTCGGGGTCCACACCTGACGGGGAGGGCCCGGGACGTGCTGGGCCTGTGCCGCCGGTTCGCCCCGTCCTTCCTTCCCCGCCCGCGGTTTCCCAGCCCAGCCGGCACGGCCAGGTCCCCTCCCCGGGAGGGAGGGGAGGCTCGGGTCGGGACATCTATTTTTGATGGTGACCAAGCCACTGCTTAATATGCAGAACCGGCTGGGGGCAGGCTGTGCCCTGACCCACGGGGTGACAAGTTTGAAAAGGGGCCCATTTTGACCAAAATACATGTTTTTCTGAGGTTGGCCAGGGCAGCCAGGCAGGGTTTGCCGCACAGACAAGGCTCCGCACCGCCCTCACGCCCTGGCCCCTGCAGGCGGCCAGCCCAGCCGGACTCCCGCAATTGATGCTGTCGATTATAGATCCGCACACGGTGCCCAGTGAGGGCTCGGCCGCTGCGGGCTCCGGCCACCGTCCTGCTCGGGCACCTGACACGCCCCTGCCGCCTGCTGTCCTATCCCAGCCTCTCTCTGAAGCAGTTGCACTCACAGAAGTTGACACACACTTGAGCTGAATTTTTAAAAAGACTTAAATTTCCTCTCTGGCCAATATTGGAGGCCTATAAATAGAGTCATTCAGGAGAGGCTTGAGGGTGGCAACTGTCCCCCACAGGCAGGCTAAGAGAGAAACACCCCAAGAAAGAGAGACGCTAGTGTGGGGAAAAGAACAGTTCTTGGGGGATTGCTGAGGGTAAGAGAAGCAGGAAGCCGCTGGATAGCTGGGGAAAGCAAGACCTGGATTCAGGAGGCCTGGCCAGGGCCACGTAGTAGGGTTGAGGCGGAACTTGAACTTGCAGAGAGACCCCTGATGCCATCCTCATGCTCACACCCTCTGAGCTCTGCCATCAGCCAAGCAGGCCTCCTGGGCCAGGAGCTTGTGACACTGCCCACGCCACAGGGCCTTTGCACGCGAGCGATCGGCATAATGGTGCCTGTCCCCTCCACTGGGGGCCAGGAGGCTGAGGCGCTGAGAGCCCACGTGACTCGCCGAGTCTCACAGCCATCGCGTGTAGGGGGCAGAGCTTGCACCCCAGCCACTGGCTCCAAAGGCGTGAGAGGAGGTCAGGCTTTTGCCCTGTGTGGGATGGGAAGGGGGGATGGGAAAGGGGTCTGTGTGTGGCCCTGTGTGCACAGCTGGATGCTGGGTGTGGATGGGCCACACCTGGATGAGGACCCTGAGTGATGAGCCCCTCCTATGGGGTTCAGGGTCCCATGGGTAACCAAGAGTGACAAAGTGAGACTGCACCTGCAGGATGGGGCTTGGCCCGGCTGTCTCAGTAGGTGCTGGGCCAGGCTAGGGCACTGCTGCCAGGGCTGTCCAGAGCAGTAGAACCAGAGGCAATGCCAGCTCCTGGTGTCACCGAGTGGGGACAGTGTAGACAACCCCAGCAGAGGAGGACGGGAGCCACATCAGACAGGCTTCTCCTCTGAGCTGGGCACTCTCCACGGTCCCATCACCCAGTGGCAGTTAGTGGGGGCTGTCTCTGTGGCAGGTTGAGGGTCATTTGGGCTCATGGTATGGCAGAGGGTCATTGGGATATGATCTGGGGGTCATGACCTGGTGGTCAAAGGGATATGATCCCCTCCAAGTCCCAGGGCAGGGCTGGAATCTGCAGCTGACAAGTGCCCTTTGCCAGCCTCTGGCAACCTCATGGCAACCTATCCGAGGATGGGTGGCACAGAGAGGAGCCTCTGAGTGGGGAGGACCTCACAGGATGTTAGGATTGGGGGTGGTCCTCCCAGGGGAGACCAGAGGACCAAGGTGGGACCTTGTTTCTGAGGTTCCCTTTCCCATCACACTCACCTCCACGTGACATCACTTTACTGGGGGGAAAAAGAAACACCTCGAAATGAGCACACCAACTACCTGGCGCATCTCAATCTTGGACAAAGCGAGAACTCATGGTGGATCTCAGAGCCAAGCCCACGGTGGTCCCAGTGCCCAGGAGCTGGGCCTGGGAAGGGGGAGGCCGACGGCCCCAGCATCCCGGAGCGCAGCTGTCCCCTGGCCTCCCTTCCCAGCTGCGTCCTGGGTGCTGTGGCTGCACAGAGATGCGATCACGTTCCTTGGCAACTTTGGTTTCTTACTGAGCAACACATCAATAATATCCCTCCCGAGCAATGACTGCCGGCAAAAGCTCGTCTGTGGCGGGCACTGGGGCTGCGGCGTCGAGGTGTCTCAGTATATACCACGCTTCTCTATGGACAAACAGATGGCTTTGAGCTTGTCACATGACAAAGCTTGCATGCAAAGCCCGACCCTGGTGCTTTTCTTTCCTAGGAGTGATGACGGGTTTCTAGTTTTCACAGGCAGTGCTAGAGTCCCTTCCAGGAGTTGTTACTTTCATTAATTCCCACCTCCTAGTAAGACAGAAGAGCGTCTGCTCTTCCGCACCCATGCCAGCACAGGGTATCATCATTTCCTTACATTTTGACTTTAGGGGTGTGCATTCCCCTGGCCACTGGTGGGTCCACTGTCTTTCCAAAGAAGGTGCTGGGCAGAGCTGGGCTGCGGTTCAGAGGTGCCTGCTGAGCCTGGTTCCAGGGGTGGCCTTTGGGGGTAGCCTGAAGTTGGGGGAGGGTACGGGGCCTCGGTCCCTGGCCAGGCAAGCCATGATGGCTGTGAGAATGCCAGGTCTGAAGACCTCCCACCTCAGGCTCCCTGGGAGCAGACTCAACCTGGCCCCAGGGGCCTCCTGCAAGCCTCCCCGGAGCTTGCTGGGCACAGGGACTCCCTGGCAGACACACCCACCCCTGTGCAGGAACAGGGTGGCGGTGCTCAGCGTCAAACGCTGCTTTCATTATAGGTTTATCTTTGGAACCCCAGACAAAACAGGGCTTGTGTGGTTTGACTGAAGGGCAGCCCCTCCGGACTCCGCCATCCACTAAGACGGCTCCTCAGGAAAGAAAAAATACACTAACCTTAAAATAACCAGTTCCCAGAATAGCAAACTAATGACGGCTTCTAAAGGGAGCCCTTTGATCAGTCAGAGCCCCCGCCTTTGCCTATTTACGGCCCTGTCACTCAAGAGCAGCCCAGCAGCAGAGAGAGGAGTGTTGGGTTGGGTGTGGGGGGCGGGGGGTGGTGCAGAGGGGAGGGGGAGCTGCCGAGGAGAGGCAGGTCTGGGGCTGCCAGGGCAGTCCAGGCTGCCTAACTTTCTGATGCAACCAGCCCTTCAGTGGCAAGGTGCTCCCTGGCCTCTGGGACAGCCTGGAAGTGTGTCCTGCCTGCACCGACACACACTTCTCACAGTCTGCTGAGCAGCACCTTCCAGTTGCGAAGCTACGCCAGGGAACAGACCTGGCTGCAGAGAACCGGAAAAGAACCAGAATCCCAAGCGGACATTCCTTAGGGACCTCGGGGAGGCGTGGGTCATGAGCTCTGGGGACTCGAGGCAGGGGAACTTGGGGAGGATGCTGTGGAGAAGGAGCCCAGGAGGGGTCTGCAGGGATGCATCTCTGTTGGGGGCATGGGGTGGAGAGGGGCGCTGGGGCCATGAGATGGCAACTACTGGAGTGTGCTCTCCCGTATGGTCCCTGCCATCCACATTCACCACATTCTATGGGCACTCACTGAGCATTTCCTTGGGGCTGGCCTGGGTAAACGTTGGGGGAGCCACACTCACCTCCCCACACGCGCGCACGGCCATGCCCGTCCAAAGCAGCGCTGTCCCATAGCTGAATCTGTGTGGCACAGCACTTAAAAAAGTGGTGACTGAGATCCAGGAATGGAATTTTCATTTTAATAAATTAAAATTAAAATTTAAAGATAGATCCTTCATTCGGTTATTAGAAAACCCTTCAGTATGTTTGAAATGACTTAGGCATGGGAATCTCCTTTTTCAATGGTAAATTTTATGAAATCTAAATACAGACCAAGTCGTTCTCATGAAAACTCGGTGTCTAAATTGAAATGTGTAAAATATGCAGTGGCTTTTGAAGACCCAGTATGAAAAAGAAGAATGTCAACAATTTTAAGAGTTTTAAAAATATTAATTATATATTGAAATGATATTTTGGATCTATTGGGTTAAATAAAATATATTATTGTAATCAATTTTACTTATTTCTTTTAAATTAAAAAAGTGGCTATTAGAAAATTTAAAATGATATCTGTGGCTAGCATGGATGAGCTGACCAGGAAGTAAGGGAGGTTAGAGGCTGAAAACTCAGTGAAAGTGGAACCCCAGAGGTAATAGGGGCCCTGAAGGTATTTGATGAGTGAGATGAACTTGAGCTTTGGTTTCACCAGGAATAGATGATTATGTGTCAAAGCCCAGGCCTGCCCCAGGAAGTCTCATAGCAGAGACTTACACAAAGCTGGGACCCTCAAAGGGCTCTGCTTTCATTGTGAGGGCC